>NC_000011.10:2484242-2787272 GCF_000001405.40 Homo sapiens | reverse complement strand
AATGAAAAATCTCCTACTCCCTGAGAAGATTGTAAAGAAAACTGCATTACTGCTAAGAGAAGGAGAACAAGTTCTGTCCTGGAAAGTCATGTTCACAAGTTAGTCCATGCTCAGCTTGGAGGCTTGAATTCATACTACCTAAGTGGCCTAGAAAACTTTGAGCCTAGAATTAAAAGTCCAGGCTGGCAGTACACCCACATATGTGGCAATGGAAGGGGTAAACATGATTCCTCCCTGAGGACCCCAACTTCACACCAGACTTCAAAAATTCCCACAGATAAATTTTAAGATATATAAGTTTACAATGAAAAAAAAAAAAAAAACAGAAACGAAATGAAACACCATGAATGAGAGTCAGCAGAAGAAAAAATCAAACAGGGAGGTGAACTCAGAAATACTTTAGATACTGGAATTAAGAGAAGCTCAATATAGAATAGCCATATTTAATACACTTCAAGAAAATTTTAAAGTTTGAACAGGCAAGTAAAGAGGAAGATACGATTAAAATGACTTATCAGATATGAATAAGAACCCAACAGAACTTTTATAAATAAAATAATAATAATTGAAGTTTAAAATTCACTGAACAGTTTTAACAGCAGATTAAACACAGTCAAAGAAACAACTAGTGAACTGGAAGATGGATTCCAGAATACAGTACAGAGAGACAAAGTGATTTAAAAAAAAAAAAGGTTAAGAGATATGAAGGGGAGTGAGGTGGTCTACTACTGGCCAATAAAAATTTCAGAAGGAGATAATGAGACTGAAGTGAAATCTTACGAAGTATTAACTGAGAATAATCTAGAACTGATGAAAGACACCAAACCACTGAGTAAGGTAGCTCAGGCAGAAAAAAAGAAACCTATTAACATATCCTAGTGAAAATGCAGACTAGAGTCAAAGGAAAGATCTTAAAGGCAGCCAGAGAAAAAAGACAGATTGTCTTCCAAGGAGCAACAATTCATCATCTTCATTCTCAACGGTAACAGTGGAAGCCAAAGGATAGTTCAATAACATTTTTAATGTGCTAAGAAAAAAGAATTTTGATAACCTAAGGCCTATAATTTTATAATTGGTGGAAATATTTTTTAACATGACAGTAAAATGGTCATTTGCGGACAAAATCTGAGAGTTTTTCACTGAAGAAAATTTAAATGAATCCCTCAGTCACATAAAAAGGTAATCCCAGATGTAAGATCTGAGATAAAAAAGAAATAACAAATGACAAAGAGGCAAATGGGTGAGTAAATTTAAACAAATATTGATTGTATAAAACACTACCAATTAGTGAGTTAAAAATTAAACACAGTTCAACTAAAATATACAACAGCAAAGTACTAAGTCAGGGGGAGAATAATTGAAGTTAAAGTGTTCTAGGATCCCTATTTTATTACAGATATGGGTAGATATAGCAATTACTTCTGATATATATTCATTTAAAATGTTCTAGGTTAACCTTTCCAAGGATGGTAGTAGAATACATAACTTCAAAACCAGTAGAGAGAAAAGTAGAATGAGAAGTAATAATCTAATGAGAGGCAAGAAAGAGGAGAAAAATAAATATTACAGATTTAGTACAAGTGGAAAGCACAAAATACACTGCTAGAATTCAATCCAAATCTATTAGAAATTATATTAAATATAAATGTATTAAATATAAATGTATTAAATGATTTTTTAAAAACTCAGTAATACAGTGTTTACAAAAGACAAACCTGAAATCCTACGGTTGTAGGATTAAAAAGAAAAGGATTTAAAAATCTGACATCAAAGTCAGAAAAGAAAACCACACCAGTATCCTTTATGAATATAAAGTACATTCTTTTTTTTTTCTTTCAATCAGCTTTCCTAGGTTGAAGACACAAACATTCTTAACAAAATATTAGCAAACCAAATCCAGCATCATATAAAAAGGATTATATATCATGCCCAGGTAGGATATATTCCAGAAATGTGAGATTGGTTTAACACCTGAAAATTAATGTATTATACCAAATCAGTAGAATAAGGAATAAAAACCACAGGACCATCTCACTAGACACAGAAAGAGCATTTGACAAAATCCAATATCCATTCATAATGAGAGCTCTCAACACACTAAAAATAGAAGGAAATATTCTCAACATGATAAAAGGCATCTATGGAAAACTCAGAGCTAATGGAAATTGATTGAATGATTTTCCCCAGAAGATCTGCTCTAGCACTTCTAGTCAATATTTTTTTTGAAGTTCAAGCCAGTGCAATTAGGCAAAACAAAGAAATTAAAGGCATCTGACTGGAAAGAAGTAAAAATTGTCTTTATTGCCACAAGACATGATCCTATATGTAGAAAATCTTAAGAAATCAATAGCAACAACAAAAATGGCTAAAGCCAAGAATAGAAAAGTCAGTTTACAAGATTGATATAAAAATTTAATGTTACTTCTATATACTAGTAATGAACAATTAATTCAAAATGAAATTAAGAAAACAATTCCATTAACACTAGCATGACAAATAAAATATTTAGGAGTAAATGTAACAAAAGAAGTACCAAATTTATATGCCCCAAACTGCAAAATATCACTGAAAGAAATTAAAGTAGATCAAATAAATGGAGGGATATACCATGTTCATTGATTACAATACTCAATTTTGTTAAGTTGTCAATTTTCCCCAAATGGATCTATAGATTCAACACAATGCCTATCAAAATCCCAGCAGGCCCTTCTTTTTTAATTGACAGGTTGAACCTAAAATTTATATGGAAATTCATAGGACTTAGAATAGACAGAAACAATTTGTAAAAAGATGAACAAAATTAGAAAACTTACATAATTTAATTTTAAAACTTACTGTAAACCTACAATAATCAAGACAGTATAGTATGGGTTTACAGAAAGGCATATAGACTTACAGAAAGGCATATAGACCAACATAATAGAATTGAAAATCCAGAAATAAACCTATAAATTTATGGTCAATTGATTTTTGACCAAGAAGCCATGATAATTCAAAGGAGGAAATGGGGTATTTTCAACAAATGTTCTGGGGCAATTGGATATCCATAAGTAAGAATAAAACAAAACAAATCTAGACTTTACTTCATATCATACCCCAAAATTACCTCAAAGTAAATATAGACCGAAATGTAAGAGCTAATTCTATACAACTTCTAGAAGGAAAAAAACCCAAAACAAAACAGGAGAAAATGTTTATGGCTTTGGATTAGGCAGAGTTCTTAGATAAAACATCAAAAGCCTGAGCCATATAAGAAAAGACAAATTGGACTTCATTAAAATTAAAAACTTTTGTGATTTAAAAGATGTGATTAAGGAAATGAAAAGACAGCCACAGAATGGGAGAAAATATTTGCAAGTCATAGATCTGATAAAGGACTTGTATCCAGAACATATAAAAAACCCTTGCAACTCAATAATAGAACAGACTACTTAATTAGAAAATGGGCAAGAGAGTTGAATAAACATTTCACCAAAGAAGACTATGAATGGCTAATAAGCACATGAAAAGTGGCTCAACATCATTAGTCATTAGGGAAATGCAAATCAAAACCACAATGAGATACCATTACATACTCACTAAAAGGGCTAAAATAGAAAAGACCATGTATTTGCAAGGCTGTGGAGAAAGTGGAACCTTTATACTTTACTGGTGAGAAAGCAAAATGGTATAAATCCTTTGGAAACAGTTTAGAAGTTTCTTAGAAAGTTAAACAGAAATTTGCCCTATGCCTTCTCAGTAATAATAGATCAAGCAGATAAAAACATTCCAATGAGAATATAGAAGATTTGAACAGACCAACTAACAAGCTTGTTCCAGTGGATATGAACATAACACTGCACCCAACAATGTCAGAATATACCTTGTTTTCAAGTACAGAAGGCACATTTACAAAAATTGACCACATTTTTGCCGTAAATCATATTTCAAAACATTCTAAAGGATTAATATCATATGGATTGCTTTCTCTGACAAGAGGGCAACATTATGAGAAAGCTGTGCTACAATTATAACAATGACAAAAACCACATTGCTACAGAACTCCTAGGATAAACAAGAGATCATAATGGAGATTAGAAAAATACTAAAGTGAATGAAGATTAAAATTAAATGCCATATATCAAAATGTGGGAGATGTAGTTTGGATGATATTTAAAGGAAAAATTTATAACCTTAAATGCATACCTTAAAAATTTAGAAAGCCATGAGATTGACAGTGGTTAGAAAAATTAAAACGAAAAGGAAATTTAGGAAGCCTGAAAATTAAGAATTATCCTCTTCTTAATTTAGAGAGGTTAGAGAAAGAACAGTATATTAAGGCCAAGTAAATAGAAGGAATAAAATAAACAGAAGTGAATGAAACAAAACAAAATCACAATAGAGAGGATCAGCAAAGCCAGAAGTCCACGAAACATTTAATAAGACAGGGGAATAGTGTCAAGTTTGACCACTAAGGGGGAAAACAGTGAAGGCACAAATAAATAATATTGAGAATAAAAAATGGGACTAAATGCTAATGGACGGACATTAAAATTATAATAAATGCCAATGAACATGGAAACTAAAATGAAATGTATAAATTCCTAGAATATATAACTTATCAAAACTGATACAAGAAGAAATAGAAAACCTGAACAGTCCATAATTATTAGAGCGATTGAATCAGGAATGATGAATCTTCCCACAAAGAAAACACCAGGCCTAGATGTCTTTACCTTTAAATTCCACCAAACATTTGAGGAAAATAAAATTCTAATCTTATACAAAATATCCCAATATAGGAAAAGAGGGAACACTTCTTAAGTTAGTCTGTGAGGCTCACATACATTTGACACCAAAGCCTGATGAAGACCATACAAGACAGGAAAATTATGTCATGTATGTATCTCACACATAAATACTGGCACAAAAATTCTGATATATTAAATATTAGTAAGTGAGATTTCAGCAGTGTTTAAGAAATAATATACAATGTGAAGGATTGGTGGGTGTGAGGAGAGGCCGGAGACCGCATATATGGCTGGAAAAATAATCCAAGTAAGAGATGATAAAGGCCTGAACTCAGCAGGGGTTGGGCTAAAGGGAGAGGATGAACAGCAGCACGGCGGCTCTGGGGGTGCAGCTCGGGGAACTGCCCAAGACAAAAAAGCCTTGGGGTCCAGCTTGTGGCCTGGTTGATGGAGGAGTCACACTGGAATGAGGGAAAGGGTAGCAGTGTCTGGGGGCAAACACCCAATTCTGGGAGGCTGGGCCTGCCTGCATCCTGGAGGTTGGGGTCATGCACGAAGCTTGGTAAAGGCATGGGCAGGGTGTGGTTTTGGGAGTCCTGGGTTGGGGGGCATTCTCATCCTGGAGGCCTGGATTCTGCGACCGGAGGCAGTGAAAGGAGTGTCAGGTGGTGGGGGCCCCTTCCCGCCCAACGCTTTCTGAACTGCGGCATGGAAACCCAGGACTCCCCTGTGTCCGGCTCTCAGCCATGAACATTTCCGGCAAAAACAGAGAAGAAAGAAACTCTCCCAGCCCACTGTGCTCCTCATATCAGCAAAAGCAGTATGAGCTTAGCTTGCAAAATAAACAGGGCCCAACGTAAACAGTGTGGCAGGTCCTGGAGACCAAGCTAAGAATACTTGCTGGGGGAGGAGGGCTGGAGCGGCCTCTGCCATCGATTCCTCAGAATGTCTGGGGTATGCAGCCCCCACACAGACTGCCAGCCCTGTGTGGGACTTCAGGAAGCCCAGTGGGGCCAGAGGGGGAGTGGGCAGGGCCAGCTCTCTCCGGACCTCTCCCGACCGCCTGCATTGGTCCCTGGCCCACACTGAAGGCCCTGGGCCCTGCTGCTGGTGCCCCCAGCCTGCCCCTGGCCTCAACCCTCCTCAGCCTCTCCATACGGACTTTGGGTGATATGAAACCCCTCCTTGCTCTCTCTACCTCATCTCCCACCCCTGTCTGTGTCCTCCTTGGGACCAGCTCTTCACCTAACTAGCTGTGTGACCTCAGGCGACCACTCAGCCTCTCTGAGCCTCGGTTTCCCCATCTGTAAAAGAGGATTTATGTGGGCATTTGAGCAAATAAGAGTCCTCTCCAGGATAAAGAAGACAATAATCTAAGATGAAAACAGAAAGGGCATGAGGCAGCTTTTGTGACTTTTGACCCTAAGGACACAAGCAGGAGTCAAACCCTCTCATTTGACAGGGGAGGGAGGCCCGCAGGAAGTAGACTCGCTGTGAGGAGGCCCCTGGATCTGCGGGTGTGGGTGGGTTTCTGCTCTCCACACCCTGGAGTGAGGCAGAACCTAAGCCACCAGGACAGGCACAGGGGTGGAAGGGATCCCTGGAATGGGGACGTCCTGCAAGGTAGTTGGGAGGTCTGTGTTGGAGCAGACACTGCACTGTCAAGCAAGAGTTTTGACGAGCCCGCAGGACTGTGACGAGAAGGGAGACCCCCAGACCCCTCTCTCCAATGTGGGTCCCTGGCCAGGACACCAAGGAAGAAGAGGGCTCCCTGCCAGGGAAACTGAGGCAGCCCTGAACAAGCTCAGCTGGCCTGCACTGGTGAACTCCCTGCAGGGGGACACTCTAGGCCTCCCTGGAGGGGTGCCAGCCAGCTGTGCATCCCGGAGACCTCTCATCCTATGGCTAGGCAAGCTGGCCTGGGGTGGGACTCACTGCACAGCCCAGCTGAGGGGCTGAGCTGAGCTGAGAAAACAGTTGGAGGCTGGGGCCTTGACTCCCTTCCGGCAGGCAGCCAGACCAGCGGGATGAGGTGGGGGAGGGTGCTGGTAGGGAAGGCCAGGGGCTCTGGCTGGGGTTGGCAGGGCCGGCGGGCATTGGCACCGCTGCACGCCTGCTGGGCCTCCGAGGGCCGGGCGGCTGCTGGATTTCCTGCCCCTACTTCCCGAAGTCAGCAGGATTGCGCTTGGGGTATTTACGGTCCCGATGGCTGCACTGATAACGGAGAAAACTCGAGCCAGGCTGTGCCACCAAGCCCTCCAGGCCCAGCCAGGCCCTTTCCTAGGGTCTGTCCCTGAGGGGTGCACCAGTCAGTGGCAGGGCAAGGACCGGGTAGGCTACCACCTACCCACCTAGGTCAGCACAGCTCTGTCAACTCCTTGATGGGCAGCCAGGTTCCAGGTAGACCCCTCAGCGGGGCTGAGATTTAGTGTCGACTGTGGGTGCCACTCACCACCTCAGAGACCCCAGGCAGAGGACTCGAATGTAATGGCAGGGAGCCAGGGCCCACCAGGGCTGTGCATGCAGAATCTACCAGAATCCTCGTGGCCCCGGCTCAGAGCCTGACAGGGCACCAGGATGTGGCCCCAGCCTTGTTCTTAAACCTTGCCCTAGGGATCAGGGACTCCGGAAAATGCTTCCCTTTGTTGCTCAGATGTGAAGAAATTGGGTGCATAATTTTGTGCCTTCAAGGCCAGCGCTGGCCCCTCTGCAGGCCCCCACACCGACCTTGGCTGACTGAGGACTGTGTCCTTGTTCCCAGGCCCCAGCAGGCTGCTGGACGGCTGCTGTGCACGTCAGGAAGGGGCCATTGCACTTCAGGAGGCCCTGTCTGCCACCCACCATCACCCCCGCAGGATGCCAGACTCCAGGTCTGGGCTTAGAGGGTGGCCTGTCCCATGGAGCAGGGGCAGAGCCGTAAGAAAGGTCTGGGACAGTAGTGTAGGCAATGGAACCAGAGCTTGGCAGGGAGTGGCGGGGAAAGGCGGGGGCTGTCCCCAGCCTGTGCTGTCCAGAAAGGGCCACCGACACTCCTGCACGTCAGGGATGTTCACGCCCCGCCTGCCTGGCTGCAGCCGAGATGGAAGCAGGAGTGGAGGCTGGGGAACTGGGTGCCACTCCCTGTCTCTACCACGGCTTTCCTTGATGTCTAGAAACTCCTGGCCATGCCAACAACACAGGGTACCCGGCCCTGCTGTACTGGGTGTGCCAGCCAGGAGTCACCCAGCCCTTGCGCAAAGAGAAAGCCAGGGAAACACCGTGTTCCCCGGGCAGCAGAGAGGCCAAGGCTTCTGGGCCTCTGAGCTTGCCAATCCTGTGAGCTGACCTCTCCCGGGTCTTGCTTCCTGTCCTGCCAGATGGGCGCTATCTCCCACTGGGCCATCTGCCTGGCAAAGGTCTGCACCAGCCCTGCTCAGGTCTGTGCTGACAGAGGGTGGCCAGGCCCATGGGACTCAGGGTACTGTGGTCACACAGCCCCATGGGGCCAGGCACCTGAACACCAGCCTTCGCTCTTTCTGCATGACCCAATTTGCTGGTCTCAGGGCCCCACGGCCGCCCCAGGCCATGGGCAGATGGTGCCAGGTGGGGAGAGGGTGACGCTGCAGGTCCTGGGGGCCAGGACGGGTGGGGCAGGAGCAGGAGCCTGGGCCGGGCTGTGCCTGCCCCGCCTGCCCGGCTGCAGCCGAGATGGAAGCAGGCCAGAGCCAGGCGTTGCCAGGGAAACCGGGCGGCAGACGCACTCCCTGCCCAACTGAAACTCCTCTATTTTTAGCCTCTCAGCTACTTTCAGATAAAGTCCATGTAGACGGACTTGCTGTTCGGCAAGATAACAGCCCGCTTCAAACCACAGAGACTTCAAAGGGCAGTGGTGGGCTCAGCCATGGGCCCGAGAAAGGCCCTCCCACCGCCCAGATCCCCCGGCAGCTCCCAGGGTGCCTGGGGGAGAGGCTCCGGCCTGAGGGACCGAGTGATGGGCACAGAGCCTGGTGGGGAGTGGGGGCCTGGTGGGTTCGGGGTGAACAGAAGATGCCTCTCTTCCCATGAACCCATCCCAGCTGGGCCCTGCACCTCCCTGAGCCCTCGGCCGGCCCCAAGTGGAGGCCCCAGACAGCTGGGCCCAGGAGAAGGCTGGGATGTGAGGCCAGCTTCTGCCACCCTCCACTCAGGACACAGCCAGGAGGCTCGCAGAGCACAAAGCAGACTACGAGAGGCAGCGGGAAAGAGCTGGGGGGAGGGGGCACTTGGTGCCACCTGCCAGTAAAGACGCCACTTGTCAGAGGATGAGAAACCAGCCTGGCCTGGCTCCTTCCATGGGGGACCAATGCCCCGCCAGGTGGGCAGTGGGCCTGGGCCCCTCTTGGGAGTTGCTGGGCAGGCTGCAGTAGGCACTGGCGGGAAGGTGGGGAGGCCTGCAGGAGCTTCACGTTCACACGCAGACCACAGGGAGGTGCCTGCTGGCCCCAGGACGCTAACCAGAACCACCGCAGGCCGGCGCGTGAGCCTACCTTGTCTTCTACTCGGTTCAGGCGGGCGCCGATCGTGTTGCTGCCGCGATCCTTGCTCTTTTCTATGGGGGATAAAACACCCAAATCAGGGCCAAGTGCTGGGGTGGGCCGGGGACCCCAGCTGGGCTTGGGAAGTGGGGTGGTAGGGCTGGGGGAGGTAGCTGAGAGTCAAAATGCCTAAACCTACTAGGACATTTTTAAAAAGCATGCTATGACAAAAATACCAGGGGTGGTACGGTGGCCGGGCATGGCTGCAGCTGGGGACCTGGGCTCCATCCTGCTCCACGCTCTCCACCTCTGACCTCTGAGAGCCCTAGGGGGCTGCCTAAGCTGGCCACACTGCCAGCTGTGCAAGCCCATGCCATTCCACTCCCAGGGCGACACAGGCCTGACTCCAGGCTGGGGGCACAGCCATTCCGCTGCTCCGTTACACCAGCCCACACTATGAGCCGTGGCTGCTGTTTGCATCTGGGCTAGGGAAACCCCAGGGAATGTGCCTTTTCCCTGTCATTCCCCGGAATGACTCACAGCCCCGTGTCCAGGGGACCCAAGGAATTTGGTCAAGGAGCCAGAAAACCAGCCCCCAGGCTGCAGCCAGGTGCTTCTGTCCCTCTCAACTTGAGCCCTGCAAGGCCCCCACCCATAGTCTCTTGAATTCTGGGCTGGCAGCTCACCCCACCCAAACCCCACCCCAGGATCACCCCCTTCTGCAAAGTTGCCCTGGGTTCATGTTTCCACACCTAGAGCCTAACCTCAACGCCCTGGAATTTAAAGGGACCCAGGTAGGTTCTTATGAAACCTGAATATTCCTTTGTAAAATGTACTTTGGAGCCACTTTGCTAAGGGTGGGGTCTACCTCCCCTTACTCCCTGGCTTTCATTTCATGTCATGCACTTTGGAGGTGCAATGGCCCATTCTGACATCATGGGGAGAGCCAGGAGGGCAGAGGTGCGGGAGAGTCCATTGCAGGCTGCTGGGCCCAGAGTAACTGACACAGAAACCCACCTGAGACGGAGATGAACAGTGAGGGCTTCCCAATGGACTGGTCCAGCCTGGAGAGAAGGACACAGACACCAGTTCACACCTGGCCCTGGCACTGCGCAGATGCACTGTCGTCTGTGGGACAGACAGCTTGACGTGCCCGGCAAGACAGTGGACTGTCCACCCACTCTGGGGACACCCCCGACCCTAAGGCCTGCCAGGTCACTCCCAACCCCCCAGAGGGCCATGCTCCCGAGGGGGCTGAGCAGGGATCTCGGAAAGGGGGAGTCGGTGGGCTGCCTCTCAGACTTCCTCCCTGGGGGTAGGAGTGGGAGGCAGTGGATCAGCCATGGGCAAGGCAGCCTGACCCCTCGCCTGTGGCCAGGATGGACACGGGCTCCCAGCCATGCCCTGTAACACACGGAGCTAGTTCCCAGGCGAGCCCATCTCGGAGGCACAGCTGCTCTGAGTCTGTGCAGGCCCGGGAGGATGGTGCTAGCTCCATGGGAACACATTAGCTCCCCACAGTCAGGGTCTCCAGCTCCAGGCCAGTCTGGGGGAGACCCGTGCGGTGGGGCCTGGCACCAGGCAGTGTCTTCCCAGGGCTGGGCCTGGCCCCTTGCTCAGAGGTGACAGGGAAGGCGGGTGGGCTGGCTGCCGAGTGTCCTGAAGTTGTGGGGAGTGTGAAGCTGGTGTTGCTACCTGAGCAGGGACGGAGGCGGGTGTTTGCCTCCCCTACGCGCCTCCCCTACCCCAATTCCCCCATCATCTCAGATCCGGGCGGGGAACAAGGTAGAGCTGCCTGGTGGGCTGGCTGTGAACCGTGGCCGTGGCCAGCTGCCCTCCCTCTGCAGGGCTGGGGGTGGTGAGGAGAAGGGGGTGGTTGAGAGGCAAGAACTCAGGGTCTCAGCCCCTCCCTCCTCCGGCACCGCTGATCATGCAGCTGGGGCCGGGCTGGGCAGGACCTGGGCACCCTCCCCGCTGCCGTTTGGCCGTGCCCACCTCCTCTGCAGCTCCTTGATGCGCACCATGAGGTTGAGGTGGCCCTGCGAGTACTGCTCAATGACGTCCCGCACATCGTAAGGCTTCCGCGCTTGCTGCGGGACAAAAAGACACGCATCACTTCTCCTCCCTGTGCCCCAGCCATGTGGCTCAAAGTGCAGGCAGTGACAGTGTCTGCCCTCGGGAGGCTTGTGAAGACCTGGGAGCTCGCCTATGTGGTGATGGCATAAGCCTGGTTCCAAGCGTGCACAGTAGCGAAGCTTGTCCCCATCAGCTTGGCCATGGGTCTCTGGGTAGTCCTGGGCCATCAGCTCGGCCTCTCTGGGTCCCAGCTTCCTGTCTACTCACCGGCAGGGGCCTGCTGTCTCCTCCCTTCCACCCCCCACCACCCCAGGCTACCAGTTCTGGTTCTCAATGGCTTCAGGAAGAGCTGGCCCCCCCAAGGGGTCAAGGAGCAGCACAGTGCCAGGCACTGACCAGGAGGCACAGCTCTGCATGCCCACTACCTACCTGGGCCCCAGACTGACCCTTGACATGCTCACTGGCTGCAGCCGCCACTGTCCTCAGGGTAGGGAGCGGGTCTCCTCTGCATCGTTCCTGGCAGTTTGTGCCAGGCAGCAGGGGTGGCCCCAGATGACGGCCTTAGCCTGCAGCACTTGCTGTGGGTGACGAGCATCTGCTTGGGCTCCCACAGTGGGGCTGGGGCCATGTGAGGCAGGGCAGGGGACCCCAGGGCTCCCAGGCTTGTTGCCAGCTCTAAGCCTATAAGTGGGACTCAGGTGACATCTTGAAACCACAACAGAGAAAACAAAGCATCTCATGATATCAGGAAACCCCAAGCCACATTTGTGGCCTTGCTCCCAAGGGCCTCACTCAGGTGGAGCAGCCAGGCTGAGCAGGGGTTTGATGGCCTAGGAAGGCCTTGGCCCTGCAGGCAAGCCAGCACATAGGACAACAGACTGCCTCTATCCCGAGAGGCCACTGGGTGACCGGGTGAGGCCCAGGGTAGTCATCATTAGTGCTCAAATAGCCACCTTAGCACTGAGCTAGTGGCTTTCCTGCCTTTTGCTGGGGAATTTGCAAGGCCCAAGAGACGAGCCAAGCGGCTTGGTGGGGAGGGGTGGGGCAGGGCCAGCCCAAGTCAGAGGGAGGCAATTGAGGCCCAGGATGAGAAAGGAGGAAGCTCAGGTACCGTTGAGGGCCCGGGCTGGGTCTGGGAACATGCCCTCCCTGCCCACCTGCTACCTCTCTTTGGGGTCCTACTCCTGAGACCAGGGTGACCTTAATCTGAGGATGCAGCCACTTCTACCCTGGGAAGCAGCAAGTTCCCAGATGGGGAGACCCTGAGGTCAGGTCTCCATGTACCCACTTTCAGCTCTAGACACACTTCTGACATGCCCAGGGGTTCTGCCACCAATGCCGGAGGCTTGGTGGAGTTCTTACAGCCCGCCCAACATTGTTTTGGACCCCAGGAATCCCAAGACAGGGCAGAGACCTCCTCCCTACCAAAGGCTGGGCCTCAGAAGTTCAGGGGGTTCCTCTTCCACCTGACACAAGCAGGTAGGGCCCTCACTGGCAACACTAGCCACTCTCTGGGCCCTGAACGGGAGATCCTGAGATCAGGAGGGCTGGGATGGGGCCCGTGTCCTCACAACACAGCTGTGCCCCATGGAAGGAAGGGCCTGCTGCTCCTGGGGCCACACTGGGCACCAGGATCGCCGGCATTGCCCAGAAATGACACACCAAGAACTGTGATAGAGGCAGGCATGGGGTTGGACTCTAGGCAGACCCTCTGGCCCGTAAAAACCGTACTTATGTACAGGCTAGTAATAACATCCTCAGGTCTCAGTTTCTCCTGTAATATGGGAATGCTAAGTCCTTCTTCTCTCTTCTGTAAGATAAAATGCTGAGCCCTGTCTCTCTCTTCCGTAAAAGGGGATGCTGAGCCCTGTTTCTCCTTCCTATAAGATGGAGATACTGAGTTCTCTTCTATGAAATGGGATGTTGAGTCTTAATTCTCTTTTCTGTAAGATGGGATGCTGAACCCTGTCTCTGTCTTCTATAAGATGGGATGCTGAGCCTTGATTCCCCCTTCTGTAATATGGGATGCTGAACCCTGTCTCTCTCTTCTTTAAGATGGGATGCTGAGCCTCAATCCTCCCCTTCTGTAAGGTGGGTTGCTGAGCCCTGTTAGCATCTGGTAGCATCTCTTGTACCTGGTAGCATCTCCTGTAAGATGGAGATGCTAAGCTCCCTTCTGTAAGATGGAATGCTGAGCCTTGATTCTCCTTTCTGTAAGATGGGATATTGAGCCCTGATCCTCCCTTTTGGAAGATGGGACACTGAGCCCTGTTTCTCCCTCCTGTAAGATGGAGATACTGAGCTCCTTTCTGTAAGATGGAATACTGAGCCTTGATCTTCCTTTCTGTAAGATGGGATGCTGAGCCCTGATCCCCCCTTTTGGAAGATGGGATGTTTCTCCTTCCTATAGGATGAAAATGCTGAGCTCCCTTCTGTAAGATGGGATGCTGAGCCCTGATCCTCCTTTCTGTAAGATGGGATGCTGAGCCCTGATCCTCCTTTCTGTAAGATGGGATGCTGAGCCCTGTTGGTATCTTCTATAAGATGGGATGCCGAGCCTTGATCCTCCTTTCTGTAAGATTGGACGCTGAGCCCTGTCTCTCTCTTCTATAAGATGGGATGCTAAGCCTTGATCCTCCTTTCTGTAAGATGAGTTGCTGAGCTCTGTTTCTCCTTTCTGTATAATGGAGATTCTAAGCTCCTTTCTGCAAGATGGGATGCTGAGCCCTGCCTCTCTCTTCTATAAGATGGGATACTGAGCCTTGATCTTCCTTTCTGTAGGACGGGTTGTTGAACTCTGTTTCTCCCTTCCGTATGTCCCTTCTGTATGATGGAGATTCTACGCTCTCTTCTCTAAGATGGGATGCTGAGCACTGCCTTGCTCTGCCTTAAGGGAGGGAGTGAGGATGACATAGGATGGGAGTTGAGAAAGGTCAGGGAATCCTAAGCCAGCACCATGCCAGAGCCAGAGTCACAGCCAGCTGTGGCCGAAGCCTCTCTTCAGAACACATTGAACATGGCATGAGTCATGGTGGTGAGCCTCCTGCAGACCACAGAGCTCTGTGAAGCTGAAGCATGGGGCACCTCCAGCCATCTGGGTGCGGTGTGGGCAGGTGAAGGGAGGCAGGGCAGGGGAAAACCAAGCCCTAGGAGTCTCTGGGCCACTGTGACCAGGTGGGTGTAGGTGTGTGTGTTAGCAGCCTCTGCAGATGCGAGTGCTTCCAAACAGGCCTGTTGTGGGCAAGGAAGTATTATGTACCTGAGTGTGTGCACGTCTGCAGGAGCAGGGCTGGGTGGGCCTATCAGCAGAGAGCTCCCTGCACCTTCAGCCACAGCCTTACCTGGTGTAGGGCATAGCCCAAGAAGGCTCAGCAATGCCCGCAGACCATGAGGACCCACGGCCCGGTGGCATCCCAGCCCACAGAGACTTATCCTGGAGCCACTGAGATGCCTGCTAGGATACGGTTAGGGCTCACGGGGGCCTTTGTCCAGTGGTCCTCTGGGGTTGGGCTGGAAAGATCATCCTGACTTCAGGAGCCTGAGATGAGCCGAGATAATGCAGGCCTGTCCAGACTGACTGATGGTGGACAGGGAGTTCAAGGCACACTTGAAGGGTGGAGAGGCTCCGGCTCCTTGGGCCAGACACAGGGGTGGTTGGCCAAGGACTTATCAGCCAGCAAGGTAGGCAGAGGGGTCACCTGCCATGTCAGCAGCCCCTGAGGCCAGCGGGGGTGGGGTGGGGTGCAAGCAAGCAGACAGGCAGGCGTCGAGGAAGGGAAGCATCCTGAGAGGTGGGCTAGGGGAGCCCCTGGAGCCACACACAGCTCCTCACTGCCACGGGCTACTGCTCCCCTCACCCTGGCCCCACCCCTCCATGCTGCTCCCAGCAATAAGAGCCAGCTGGTGAGGTCGGAGGGAGCCCCAGCGGCTTTGTGCAGGAGCCTCTGTGCCCTGCGAGGATCCTGCTGTTGCCAGGTTTCTGCAAGGCTCCCAGGGCCAGGGAGCAGTGGAGAAGCAGACAGTGGGGTGGGGGTTTCCCAGTCTGCTTCAGGAAGCCTCCTGGGCCATTCTCAGGGTCCCGGCCTGTGTCCTAAGACAGGAAAGGGGACCCACTCCCTCCTGTCTGGAAGGGAGTGCAGGGCTCACTGTGTTCCTCCCCAGGGACCAGCTTTTTCACCTGTGGCTCAGCGACAGGGCCTGCTGGGGCTGGCGCAGATGATCTCTCTCTCTCTCTCTGTCCCTCTCCCTCTCTCTCTTTTTGTATTTGTTAATTGCTTATTTACCAAGAGAAACCATTTCTTGGCCCATATATTCATGTTTCACAGTTCAGGAACACAGGTCACTGACAAGCTTCTAGGTAATTCAACCCAAAGAAATTCTTTATATTCCAAAATCACTTTGCACTCTGAAAGATGCCAGCCTTCCTCATCACCTCAAAATCTTTGACGGCATCATAATATCTGTAGAAATCGTGTGCTTTTTTTCTTGGTTCAGCCACATCAAACTTACAGAGAGCTGCAACTCCCAGGTATTCAACGAATGCTCCAACAACATGAAATTGCAGACGCTTGGCCAGGAGGCTACGCATCTGAGGTTTCACCACAAGACTGGAAGCCATGGTAGTTATTATCACGATGGGATATCCTTGATATCAACCTCAATGCCAGTGTCCTTCCTGGCTGATGGAGAAAGGGATGGCTGGATGATCTCTTGACCTGAGCTGGAAGCTGCCCACACCACCCCTGGAGCTAGGCCTGCCCAGGAGCCATCAGGGTCTGCATGCTCTGCTGGGTTCCCCCAGACCTTGGAAGCAGCCCCCAGGATGCCCAAGTGGCGCAGTTCTGCAAGCCTTGGTGGGCTCTGGCTCTGCCCTGCTGGGACCTGCTCTGCACCCTCAGGCCAGACACCAGCCCCACCCTGGGAGGCTCCCTGTGTCCCTCTGCTCTACTGCTGGGGTGACGTCAGCTGCTTCGGCTGTCACGACCATGCTGTTCTCCAGCGAACTGACACACCCTGGCCCTTCCCATGGTCTCCTCTGCCCTCGGGGGACTGCCCTGCCCAGATCTGAGTCCCAAAGGGGTTCACGCAGCCCCTTCCCTGTCTGGGAGAGCACTGGTGCTGCCAGGAGGCTGGCCTCTCTCTTCCATTGCCCCCGAGTGAGCTCCCTGCTCCAGCAAGGCCCTCCATGCCAGCACCAGAGAGAGGAGACGGTCCCAGAATGGAGACACCCTGGTCCACAGGGGCTGTCAGATCTCCCCTAGAACATGCCAGGCAGATCTCCGGGCACTGGCCAGCAGTGGCATTTGCCATGGCTTTTATTTTGACTGCAAGAGGTCCCAGGCACTGCTGGGAGCTTTGACACAACTTGGTTCAGTTGAGTCATGAACCACCCCCTTCCCTGGGGGGATGCAGGTGGGAGGGCCAGCTGAGAAACACCACTGTGGGAGGGCTGTGCATGCGAAACCCCCCTGGAGATGGTGGCCCGGTGGCCAGAACGAGGGCCCGCATACTGCTCTTGGCAAGGGCCTGGCCGAGGGCTGCTCTTGGGGCTCAGAGTGACGACGAGCCTAGCGGGTGCTGGCCTGGGGTTGCTGGGGGCAAGGCCCGGGTGAGGCACGTGCATATGATCTTATGCCAAACCCTTAGGCTCTCATTCCCCTCACAGCTGGGGAAGAACTTGCCCAGGGCTGCCTGTGCCAGGGTCTGCACCCAGACCGCCCTGTGAAGTCTGGAGGCTGAGGTGGCTCCAGGGCCCAGATGGGTGGGGGCTCCACCAAGGAGACTGTGGGCGGGCCTGTGTCAATCCTGGGGCCTGGAGTGGAAGGTGTGGCCTGGTGTGAAAGACATGGCTGCAGGGGGACCAGACTTGAATGCCACTGTCAGTCCGTCTGGATGGGCTGTGCATTATCTTGGCTCATCTCAGGCTCCTGAAGTCAAGATGATCTTCCCAGCCCGACCCAACGACCTCTTGACAAAGGCCCCCATAAGCCCTGACCAGACCCTAGCAGGGAGCTCAGTGGCTCCAGGATAAGTCTTGGTGGGCTGGGATGCCACCGACTGTGGGTCCTGGTGGTCGGCGGACATTGCTGAGCCTTCCTGGGCTGTGCCTTATGACTGGTGAGGCTGTGGCTGAGGTGCCAGGGGCCCCCAGCTCAGAAGCCCCACCCTGCCCTGCTCCTGCAGACACGCACTCACTCAAGCACGTCACACGCCCCCCGCTCCAAGGGACTCAGGCAAGTCACCCCCCAGCCTTCCCTGCTTTGTGATTTTTGCCTTCTGGATCACCCACCACAGAGGATACGGGGTTCCCACACCTACACATGTATTTCCAAGCCAGGACTCAGTACCCCCCACCACCGCCTTCATCCGAGGAATGTCCCCAAGGCAGGAGGGGAGACATGCCTGCCATCAATGGCATTCTCTGCGGGGCATGGACTCTGGGGGCTCTAAGGGGCTTCTGTAGGGGGGACATGCCCCTGGAGAAGTTAGGGCAGCTTATGGAAGCCCTGGAGCTCCAGCCTCACCTGGCCAAGGGGACCCCACCTCTTACAGAGCAGGGCCCAGCCTCCCTCCATCCTCCCAACTCACAGAGGGTGGAGGAGCAGGGAATGAGAGCACTGAGCCAGTGGAGGACAGGGCTGGGGGGTCTGGGGGACCTGCCTTCCCAGCTTGGTGACTCAGGGCAGGCTCCGCACCATCTCTGAGTCATTCTGATGTCACCCTCACATCTCTCACTAATGCTGCCTTGCACGACCCACCCCACGGGAGGACTGAGTGAGCTACACGGCTGCTGCCTTCTACTTGGTGAAGAAGACACTGCATGTGTCCCTGGTTCCAGGCCGGGCCTCCAAGGATAGGTCCTCTGAGGGGCCTGCTGTCTGGGGTTCGGTGGGGTAGGCACTGTCAGGTCTCAGATAGGCCTGCCTGTGTGGCTTGGGGGCGGAGGCCTTGACACCCTCCACTATGGGCAGGAGAGAACCCAGGAGAGGTGTGGGCAGCTGCATCAGGCTGCGAGGGGCAGGCTGAGGGCAGGAAGGCTCAGCACAGGGCTTACCTGGAATTTCTTCTTGGCCACAAAGTACTGCATGCGTCGAATGACCTTAATGGTGGCCCGATGGTGTTCCCGCAGCCTGCAGTGGAGAGAGGAGAGGAGATTGTGAGTGGCCACCCTGTGCTGGTCATCCCCTCACTGCCCCTGCACTGCCTGAGGAGCACGCAGACTGGATCCTTCCAGAAACAAGGAGAGTGTTCAACTCCATGGGATGGAGATACTTAGGCCATGTCCCAGTGTGGGCTCGAGGGGAGGCTGGGGGCAAGAGGCTTTTCAAGGTGAAATGTTTCACCTCATCTGTGAGTGGGAAGGGGACCCTTACCTTGAGTGTCATTCAGAAGGGGGTCAGGTAGGAGTCAGGGCCCTGAGTTGGCCATGGCTATGCTGCTGACACATGGCAGCCATAGCAACTTCTTTCTATGCTTGGGCCTTCAGGATCCTTGTCAGCAAATGGGATAAGAGGGTACATGCTGGCGATGCCCACAGCCCCTTTCAGCTGCTGTGTCCTGTAGCCCCACAAACAGCAAGCGCTTGGGAAAGTAGGGGCTACAGGACAAATTAACAAGGGAAAGTTGCCACCAGAGCCACTCTGTTAAGGGGGCTGCGCTGTTTTTGCCTCCTAAAGTTTCTTCTAGAAATAAAGATCCTTTTAGAAACAGCATCACAAAAGGAAACAAAGGGGATGATGTGTCTGTGCATAGAAAAAAGACTGGAAGAAAACACAGCGCCATGGAGGCCACAGGAGATTCCCTCCTGGCAGTGAAGCTAACGCCTGCCTGACTTTCCTGATGGAAACACCAGGGACTGCGAGACTAAGTGATGCCAACAGCAAGGAACAGCTGTGTGAGGCTTTGGAGACCAAGAAAGACATAGAAGGTGAGGATCCCACATAGAAAGGAAATGAACTGAGCTGCGCCTGCATCCGAGCGTTTCCTCCTCAGGGCACTTGTCAGTTTGGGGAGCACTGACACCCAACAGGGTGGGGGCCCAGTGGGCTAGTGATAAAAATGTGGAGTCCAGGGCCACAGGACAGCCAGGACACGAGGGAAAAAGATTCTGGTCCTCTAGCCACCTTTCACACAACTTCCTCTGGAAACACTTGTGAATTCCTAAGCCACACGGGTGGGTGAGAATCACAGAAACTGAGCAAAAAGCAGTTGCTGAAGGGGTAAAAGCTAAGCAGAGTACTCAGTAGACGCATGGCACTGTGGAGAGAAGCTTTGGGGTTTAGAAGCTATCTAGAAGGCAGCCCCAGAAACTAAGCAATGCCAACTTTCCATCACATTAACCCCACCTCTCTCAATCCCCTACTGGAGTAAGGTGCTTTGCGCGTGGCAGAAGAAAATAAAATTATCTGTAGGGAGATAATACCCTCGAGCATCTACAATTTTATACACGAAAGACTAAAAGGCAAGGGAAAAGAGAGATCATACAGATCTAAAGGTGTGGTACTTCCAACAGCCTTAAATACTTGCAGCTCCTTCCATTAAGAGATGGAGTCTGTTTTCCTATTACTTGAATTTGGGGTCACCTTGTGACTTCACTGATGAAAGAGTACTGGGGAATGTACACGGTATATAATTCATGTCCTTTTGGAATGTGGCCCTGCAAACAAGCTTGCTGATTAGAGAGGCCACATGGAGAAGAGAGAGGCCTCAGCTAACAGCCAGCACCAACAGAACAACCTCCTAGCTGAACCAAGTCCAACCTCCTAGCTAAGCAAAGAAAAAAAAAAATACACACACACACACACATATAGATGGAGTCTCGCTCTATTGCCAGGCTGGAGTGCAGTGGCACAACCTCGGCTCACTGCAGCCTCCGCCTCCCGGGTTCAAGTGATTTTTCTGCCTCAGCCTCCTGAGTAGCAGGTGCACACCACCATGCCCAGCTAATTTTTGTATTTTTAGTAGAGACAGGGTTTGATCATGTTGGCTAGGATGGTGTTGATCTCTTGACCTCATGATCTGTCCGCCTTGGCCTCCAAAAGTGCTGGGATTACAGGCATGAGCCACCATGCCCGGCCCAAAGAAAATATTTGAAGCCACTAAATTTAGGTCTAGTTTGCTACGCAACAATAGGTAACTGATACAGAAATAAGGACTAAGAAATAGGTAATGTCATATCAATATCCTAAAACTTACAGCATTAATTTTGGGACAAGGAATTGGACAGAGGCTGGAAGGGGCAGATCACAAGATGTCGGACTTTGAGCATGATGCCACATGTAATTGGGTGAGAATTTTAGGTATCGTCGGGAGGGGGGTGAGTGAATTTTGCATAGGGGAGAATGCGAAAAGTTATGGCCAGAGGGCAGACTGTGATTAATTAAAGATGGGCACAATCCATTGTGGTTCCTCCCATTGCAGGCTAGAGTCTATCTCCACCATGGTGGAAATGATCATGTCTTCTGAAGCTCAGCCTCAAGGACCTTGTGGCATCTACTCTTACCCTCTTAGAATTCTGTTGGCTCATGGACAAGTCTGAGCTAGCCTGCTGGAACAGCCGCGTGAAGGAGAGCTGAGAGACCCTGGCTGACAACCCAGTGGCTCCAGACACGTGAGGACAACAGAGACCACTCAGCCACCACCACATCACCATGCAAGTACTGCCATGTCATCGAATCCAAGTGAGACCACCCAACTGGGCAGCCCAGATTGCTGACCCATAGATTTGTGAGCTAACAGATGATTGTGCTTTGCTTCAGAATATTTAGATGAAGACTTCAAAATAACCATGATAAATAGGTTCAAGAAAATAGATGAAAAGATAGACAATTTTACCAGAGAAATAAAATTTATAGATACATAAAAAGGAAGTTCCAGAAAAGTAAGGACCATAATGGAAATGAAGAATGCAATAGGTGAGTTGGATAGCAGGGACGACAGAGTAGAAAAGAATAGCTGTGAACCCAAAGAAAATAGCCAGCTTGGAGCATGAAAAGAAAATAGACTTAAAGGAAGAGATGAAACAAATGAAAAAGAAGCATAAGATGGTAGATTGCATACATTATAAGTGGATTAATAGTCTAATTAAAAGATCAAGATTGTCATGATTAAAAACAACTATATAAATCCACTTTAAAATATAACGATACAAAAACATGTTGGGAAAGGATAGAAAAAGATAGGTCATGGTGTAGCCAAATGAAAACTAGTAAAGGAAAACCAATAGCAGACTTTAAGTATTACTAAAGAAGAATATGTCCTATTTATAAAAGTGTCAATTCAGCAGGACGAGATCAATTCTAAATTTGTATGCACCTAAAAACATAACCTTAAAATACATAAAGCAAACTGGCAGAACTAAAAGCTAAAAGAGAAAATGGTGGGAGATTTGAACACACCTCGTCAGTAACTGATAGAAAAGCAGTCAAAGCTTTGTCAAGTCAGAGACAAATTTGAACAGCCTGATTAGCAACTTGACATATACAGAACACTGCTCCCTACAACTGGAGACTACATAAGCTTCCCTAGTGCACACAGAACATGTACCAAAAGAGACCATATGCAAGACTTCAGAAGCAAGTTCCAACAAATTTCAAAGCAGGCAAATCATATTTATTATGCTCTCTGACTACAGTACAATTAAATTAGAAATCCATAAAAAGAGATAACTAGGGAATCTCCATGTATTTTGGATATTAAACAATCTAAATAACCCAGGGGTCAAAGAAAAATATATAATGAGAATCAAACAACAGTTTAAATTAAATAGTAATAAAAATGTAAGGTATTAAAATTCATAGCCAAATAGGTACTGAAAGTACAGTGAAATAAGCACAGACAGTGAACCTCGTGGCTTTAAATGCATATCTCAGAGCAGAGGAAAGGCTGAAATCCATCTCAAGCGGTTAAAAAAATGGCAAATTACCATTTGCCTCCTACCAAAGATAGTAGGAGGGAAGAGATAAAGTTAAGAGCACAGTCTATGAGATAAAAAATGAACATTATTTAAGGAAAATCAACAAAGCCAAAATTTGGTTCTCAGAAGAGACTAATAAAACAGACACACTTTTGGGAAGACTGATCAGATGGGGGAGGGGACACAAATGACCGCCATCAGGAGTTAAAGATGGAATGTCACTATAGACCTAGAGGTGCAGAAACATTTATTCAGAGGACATTACAAACAAAAATACTTTTGATGATTTAGATAAAATATACAAATTATTTAAAAACACAGTATGTAAAAGTAGACACAAAAACAAAAATAATCCAAATTGCCCAATATTAATTAAATAAGTTAAATTTGGAATTTTAATGATCTTCTGGCAAAGAAAACTCTGTATCTAGACGACATCACCAGTAAATTCTTCCAAATGTTTAAGGAAAAAATAATGTCAATTTTATACAAGTATTTTCATAAGGCAGCATAACCTTGATATCAAAATCTGACAAGGATATTTCAAGAAAGAAAAAAAAAATCACAGGTTAATCTCTCTCGTGAACATACGTGCAAATATCCTAACCACCACCAGCAAGCTGCATGTAGCACTGTGCCCAAACACATGCTCGAATGTGGTTTAATCCACTTGTGCATGCTGAGTTTACCCTCTAAGGACCAAGCAGCGTCACTCTTCACATCAACAGAATAAGTCAGAAAAAATACAATCAACACAACAGATTGTAAGAAAGCATTTGATAAAGCGAGACCTGTTCATAATTAAAAACACAACTCTCAGCAAACTAGGAATAGAAACTCCATTACCTAAAAAAAAAAAAGACAAAAACTAAAACAAAAAAACCCAAACCCTAAGCAGACATCATACTTAATAGTGAAATGTGATACGCTTTCCTCCTGAGACAGGAAGCAAGGCAAGGATGTTATCGTTTCTATTTCACATTGTCCAGAAAGTCCCAGCTGGTATGTTAAAAAGGTAGGAAAAGGGAGATAAAAGGTACAAGGATTGGACAGGAAAAAATAAAACATTTGTTATTTGCAAATGACATAACCATACATGTAAAAAAAATCCCTAAGAATCCTCAGATAAACTGTTGGAATACATGAATTTAACAAGAACGCCGGTTTTAAGGATGATATATAATAATTATATTTCTAGGCCTGACAGAGTGGCTCACATCTGCAATCCCAGTGTTTTGGGAGGGTGGGGTGGGAGGATCACTTGAGCCCAGGAGTTTGAGATCAGCCTGGGCAACATAGTGAGACCCCATCTGTAGAAAAAATAAATTTAAAAAATAGCCAGGCTTGGTGGTGTGTACCTGTGCTTCTTGCTACTCAGGAGGCTGAGATGGGCGGACTGCTTGAGCCCAGGAGCTCAAGGCTGCTGTAAGCTCTGAGCCTGGAATGCAGAGACCCTGCCTTTAAAATATGTATATGTATATTTCTATATGCTAGTAACAATTAGAAAATAAAACATATCAATTACAATAGCATCAATAACCATAAACTTGACCAGAAACTTAAGAATAAATCTTTCAAAAAAGTTTTTTGTTTCTTCTTTACTGTCTTGCTTTCACAATCTTTCTTTCTTTCTTTCTTTCTTATTTTTTTTTTTTTCTTCTAAGATGGGGTCTTGTTATTTTGCCCAGGCTGGTTTCAAACTCCTGGGCTCAAGTGATCCTCTCACTTCAGCCTCCCAAGTAGTTGGTATTACAGGTGTGAGCCATCGTACCCAGCTCTAAAATAAATCTGTTTAAAGATGTGTAAGACTGCTACACAGAAAAGCACTGAGCATTGGAGAGACAGATAAAGAAGCCCTAACTTGACTTGGGGATATAGTATGTTCATGTATAAGAAGACTCAATATTTATAAGATGTTAATTTTCTGCAAATTGAGGTGTGGATTAAATATGATTCCAATCAATATCACAGTGCTTTTTGTTTGTTTGTTTATTTATTGGAAACCGACAAGGTGATTCTAAAATATTCCTAACAACGTGAAGGGCCAAGAATAGCCAAGACGATCTTGAAGAACAACAAAGTCAGAGGTCTGACACTCCTAGGGTTTCATGAGGCCACAGGGCTTGATTAAGAGCGTGTGGGCAGACAGATGAACAGTGGGGGTCTGACGGAATAGGGCAGTGGTTCCCCAACCTTTTTGGCACCAGGGACCAGTTTCGTGGAAGACACTTTTTCCGTGGACGGGGTGGGGTGGGGGGAGATGGTTTCAGGATGAAACTGTTCCAGTTCAGACCAGCAGGCATTAGATTCTCATAAGGAGTACACAGCCTAGACCCCTCACATGTGCATTCACAACAGGGTTCGCGCTCCTGCGAGAATCTAATGCCACCACTGATCTGACAGGAGGCGGAGCTCAGGTGATCACGTTCACTTGCCAACCGCTCACCTCCTGCTGCACGGTCCTGTTCCTAACAGTCTATGGATGGGTACCGGTCTGTGGCCTGGGGACCCGTGGAATAGGACATTAGACACACAAACCCTCCTGTGGCCACTGGTTCATAGAAAAGACGCCTTTGCCGTCGAGCTGGCGGAAGGATACGCTTTTCAATAAAGGGTGCTGGAACAATGTGGATGCACCTGTGAAAGTATGTCAACCATGATCCTTACCACACACCGGTCACAAAGTTAACCCAGGGAGAGTCACAGGCCTAACTATGAGGCAATCGGGCCTGTCGAAGAAAGTTGGATAATATTTTCACGACCTGGGATGGGCAAAGACGTCTTTAAAGGAACGCAAACAGTATGAACTGTAACAGAAAACTATTTGACAAATTGGAGGCCCCAAGATCTCCGTGATGGTCTCATGAAGGCCCCCCTCCCAGGCCTGACACACGAGAGGAACTATTACCCTGGCCTCACGTCCTGGCCTCTTTCCATCACCCCAAACAGCCTGGGAGCAGGCAGGGAACGGGGAGTCATAGGTGCCTGACCGTGAAGGGTCTACCACTGGCTGTCACTTAGGGCCTTGGGAGCCTGTGGCCATGACCGCCAAGGTCTGGATGCGGCCCCACATCCAGTGAGAACACTCGGGGCTCCTCAGATCCTGTTCTGCACAGAGGGCCATGCCCCGTGGCTGCTTCACAGGCCGCTAGAAGCTGCTGCGGGCCTCCCCTCCTGCCAACTCCCTAGAACACAGCCGGAGCCTTCACAGGCAAACAGCCGGCCGGGACTGCAAGCAGCCAGGGCTGAGGGTGCCAGCCCAGGCCCCCAGCTCTGTCCAGGCCATGCTGTGGGTCAGCCACTGCTCTGGTGACAGCGCTGGCTACCTGGCTTTTCTGCTGAACACAGTCCACCCTGTGGTCTCAGAGAGAAGGGCCCGGCTTGCTCCTTTGCAGGGGGTGGTGTCTCTCTCTCTGTCTTGGGCGAGGCCTGGGATGGGGCCAAGTGGCCTTTCCTGGTAGTGATACGGAAGAGGGGCAGGGAAGTGCTGGGAGGAGAAGGGCGGGTCCCTGGCTAGGGTTCCACCCTACGGCCTATGTGCACGGACCCAGGTGAGGACAGACATTTCGGTGTTTCTGCCCAAATGTTGCATTTCCCGAGAACACCCTGGCCTGCCATGCTCCCATCCCGTGCCTATAAAGATCTCGAGACCTTAGTGGGCAGACACACAAGCGGCTGGACATCAAGAGGAACACATCGGCAGAAGAAGACACAAGCGGCTGGACGTTGAGGGTAGGTCGAGAGGAACACACCAGCGTAGGAGCACACCGACAGGCACCAACAGGCACCGACAGGCCGGCAGACCATTGACCGGAGGAACGATGAAGGGTTTGGCTGGGGTGGACGCAGGAGAGCCCAGGCTGCTGAGCCGCCTGATGCCAGGGGAAAACCACCCTCCCACTCCATCTCCCTTCTTGCTCCCCCATCTGCTGAGAGCTACCTCCACTCAATAAAACCTTGCACTCATTCTCCAAGCCCACGTGTGATCTGATTCTTCCAGTACGCCAAGGCAAGAACCTCGGGATACAGAAAGACCTCTGCCCTTGCCGTAAGGCAGGGGGTCTAACTGAGCTGACTAACGCAAGCTGTCTATGGACGGCTAAACTAAAGAGCACCCTGTAACACACACCCATGGGGCTTCAGCTGTAAACATTCACCCCTAGACGCTGCTGTGGGGTCGGAGCCCCACAACCTGTCCGACTGTATGCTCCCCTAGAACTTTGAGTAGTGGGGCACTGAAGAAGCGAGCCACACCCCTGTCACATGTCCTGCAAGGGGGACAAGGAAACCTTTCCCATTTCAGTAGCACTGATGCAGGAGCGAGCTGGTAAGAGACAGGGGGCAGGACGGAGGCCTTGGGCTCACTGGGCCGTGAAGGAAGTGACCCCTGGACCCTGGTTGCAGGAAGGCACTGAGGGCCCGGGGCTGGTGCCCTCCTGCCTGGGCTGGGCCACCCTCCAGGCCCGTGGCTTCCTCACCTACTGAAGGGCGGATGGACCCTCTCCCTGCCCGCACCACCCAGCTTGGGAGAGGAGGAAGGGACGTGCTGCCCAGCGGGGGCTTGGCCGTGGGTCAGCTGCTGAGAAAAGACCCGCTTCATTCATCTCCTCACTCATTCATGCACCCACTGACCTGTATCTCACCTGTTCATTCATTAATGAACAAGTTATTGTTAATAATTTGTAGATGAATGAGATGAGCTCCCCACCCCCATCCGCTGGTTCATTTGTTAATGTGCTGCCTAACTTACCCATTAGCTCCTCCACGCCCGCCTGCCCGCCTGCCCCGTCCACGTACATGAAGTGCCGCTGGGCACACAGCCCAGGCTGAGTGGTCTCAGGGGCTGAGCCCACTGAAGGAGCCGTTGTTTCTGGATAGGTCAAATTCAAAGCCAGGAGCCCCCAGTGCTGCCCAGGCTGGGCTGGCTGGGGTGGGGGCTGCTGGGCTGCCCAAGGGGCCAGCGCCACATTCAACACACGTCACTGGGGGCCATCGAAGGACACTGTGGGAAAGCAGAGGCAGGAAGTTTCCCGGACTGGGCTGCCCATGGCGGGCCGACCTTCCCACCTGTGGAACAGATTCCCAGCAGCTCAGCGGCCTGGCCTCCATCCAGGCAGATCCTGAGGCCCAGGGTAGGGGCTGGCATGTGGGAGGGCTGGAGGTGACTCCAGGGGGTCCTGGGGCTTGGGTCCAGTACAGCTCAGGGTGGGGCTGGGCCTGGAGATGCCCAGGGTGGAGGAGGGGCTGGCCTCACCTGTGTCCCTGAGCCTTCAGCCCCTCCCAGGACCTCTGTCCCCTCTCCCCCAGCCAGACAGTTAAGTCAGATGCAAGCCCCTTGTATCCACCCTGCCTGGACAAGCTCTCGGCCCCTTCTGGAGGATCCTCTAACTCTGGAATAAGGAAGAATTTATCAGCTTTGCCTGGGAGTGGAGATGGAAAGAAAATAAGGAAATAAGAGCTCGCTCCCTTCCTTCCCACATGCTGGGGTGTCGCTCTTTGCAACTCCCTCCCGCGCAGTGAGGTCCCACACCTGTGCGTCCTAGGAGACACAGAGCTGTCTTCAAAGGCCCGAGCTTGGGGGACCCTCTAAGTGGCCACAGCGCCTTGGGGAAGGAACATCCCCTGGGGACCCCTGCCCTCTGCACACATGCAGGCTTGTGAGATGAAGAGAGGCAGATGGGTGGGGGTCTTGGCAGAGGAAACCCAGAGTGCTGGAGGACCCAGGAGACATGAAGAGGGAAACTGAAGTCACTCTACGTCACATCCCCCTAGCAGCCACCTCGTAGGCATGAGGGCCTTGCAGGCCTTCCAGACTCTTCCTTGAGCACTTATGTCAGCAGACACAAGCACATCACGTGTGTGGTTTCCTGCACCTCCCAGTGTGTTGTTTTGCTTCTTTTTATTTTGAAACAATTATAGACTCCTAGGAAGTTGGGAAAAAAAAAAAAAGTACCAAGAGGTCCTGTATGCCCTCTACGTGAGTTCGCGACGGTCACACCTTGCATGGGTGGAGTAACAGATCAACGCCAGGAGATTGACATTGGTACAGTGTGCGTGGCTCTGCCTTGTGTTCACACGTGCAGATTCACACAGCAACGAGGAATGGAAGTCCTCCCCACCAGAAAGACCCCCTCTGCGTCTCCTGTGCAAGTCACTCCCACCCTCACCATTCCCAACCCCAGGAACCACCATCTGATCTCCATCCCTACAGCCTGGACTTTGAGAATGTTATCTATACGGAATCACACAGCATGCGACCTTTCGGGGGAGGCTTTTTCTCCTCAGCACAATTCCCGTAAGATCCGCTTAGGTTGTACCGATAGTGGGTTCCTTTCTACTGCTGGGTAGTGTTTCAGGGTAGGGATGCACCACTGTTTGCCTGTTCCCCTGTTGAATGATACATAGATTGTTCTCAGCTTTCAGCTAGTTAGGAATAAAGCTTCTATAAATTTTCATTTAGTTTTGTGTATGAATATGAGTCTTCGTTTCTTTGGGATAAATGCCCAGGAGGAGTTCAGTTGCCGGGATGTGTGGTAGTCGCATGCTGACTTTTATAAGAAACGACCACATTATTTTCCCCGAGTGCTGCATCAGTTTACATTCCCAGCAGCAACAGATGGGCAATCCCGTTTCTCCACATCCTCGCCAACATTTGGTGTCATCATTACTTTTCATTTTAGCCATTCTGATAGGTGCGTAGTGACCGCTCACTGTGGTTTTAATCTGCATTTCCATCTTTGCTAACGAAGTTGATCATCTTTTGGTGTACTTCTTCCCTATTTATTTTCTTTGGTGAAATGTCTCTTCGTGTCTTTTGCCCATCTTCTAGTTGGACAGGCTGTTTTTTACTGTTGAGTTTTGAGAGTACTTCATGTTCTAGATGCCAGGTGTCAAATATGTGGCTTGCACATATTTTCTCCAAGTCTATAGTTTGCATTTTTATCCCCTTCACTGGGGCTTTCACAAAACAAGTGTTTTAAGTTTTAATGGGGTCCATTTCATCAATTTTCCTTAAACAGATCATGCTTTTAGCATCCAATGTGAGAACTGTTTGCCCTTCCTAAATCCTAAATACTATCTCCTCTATGTTTTTTCTAAAGGTTTCAGAGTTGTACACTTCATATTTAAGTCCAAGGTGGCTCTTGAGTTAATTTTTATATAAAGTGTGAGACTTAGGTCAGGGTTTTAATTTATTTATTTGGCCTATGAATGACCAACTGCTCCTGTACCGTGTGTTGAAAGAGGAGTCTTCCTCCGCTGAATTTTGCATCTTTGTCTTAAAATTAGTCAGGCATGTTTGCGTGTGTCTATTTCTGGATTCCTCGTTCTGTTCTGTTGAGCTACATGCTTATTCCTCCAATATCAAATCATATTGATTCCTTACTGTATAGTAGGCCTTAAAATTGGTAGAGTGATTTCTCCCACTGAATTCTTTTTCAAAATTGTTTTAATCTACAGCATGTGCCTTTCCATATAGATTTTAGAACAAGTTTGTCCATGTCCATAAGAAATCTTGCTAGGATTCTTGTTAGGAATTATGCTATATTTATAGGTAATTCTAAGGAGAACTGAAATGTTTACTATTTTGAGTTTTCCAGTTCATGAACATGGAATATCTCTCCATTGATTTAGGTCTTGATTTCTTTCATTGGCATATTGTAGTTTTTAGTATATACATCTTTACATGTTTTGTTAAATTTATACCTAAGTATTTTAATTTCTTTAGCGCAATTGTAAATGGTATTGTTTCTAATTTTGGTTTTCACAGGTTCATTGTTAGTGTATAGAAATGCAAGTGATTTTTGTGTGCTGAACTCCTAAGTTCCAGATATTTTTATTGTAGATTCCTTGGGATTTTCTATATAGACAATTCTATCTTTGCAAATAGAAACAGTTTTAGATCCTCCTTTCTAATCTACATGTCCCATTTCTTTGTCTTGTCTTATTGCAGTGGCTGGAACTTCCAGTACTATATTGAATAGAAGTGGTGAGAACAGATACCCTTGCCTTCTTTTTTATTTTAGGGGGAAAGTATTCTGTTCTTCACTATTAAGTGTGATGTGATGTTAGCTGTGGGTTTTTTTTTTTTTTTTTTTTTTTTTTTTTTAAGATGCTCTTGATCAAGTTGGGAAAGTTCCATAATAGATCACATTAATTAAGTTTTGAATGTTAACTAGCCTTGCATTACCTAGAATAAATCTCTCCCGGTTGTGCTAATATAATTTTCTTATAAAATGTCATATAATTAGTTTTTAAAAACAATGTAGAAAGCTCCCAAGGACTCGTTATTCAAAATAAACGCTAGACGGCCAGGTGTGGTGGCTCACACCTGTAATTCCAGCACTTTGGGAGGCCAAGGTGGGCGGATTGCTTTGAGCTCAGGAGTTCAAGACCAGCCTGGGCAACACGGCCAAACCACATCTCTACAAAAACAAACAAACAAAACACAAAATAAATGCTGGACCCTGACAGCTCCACCCCAACTGTATCCTTGTCTCCCCTATCCTGGGTAACCATCAACCTGAATCCTGTGTTCCTCTCTCCCTTGCTTTCTTTTTTAATATAATATTATTGAAACTATATGTGTCCCAAAAGTCATGTTTTTTTTTTTTTTTTTAATTTTAGTAATTTAAACTTGATAAGAATGCAGTGGGCTTTTCCTTGGTATTATATTGCCAAGCCTTCCCACATGGTTGTCTGTCACTCTGGCTTGTTTGCTTTAATTAGTTTAAAATTCTCTTTTGTATGGGCATTCCATGTTTACTCACTCTCCCTCCTGCTGGGAGGCAAGTGGCTGGTTGCACGTGGAGCTTGTGAACAGCGTTGCAACACACACTCCTGTTCATTCTCACTCGTCCACACACCAGAGTTCCCTTTTGGTGTATGCCCAGATATGGGACTGCTGGGTCAACAGGTATGTGAATTCACCACCTTGGAGGTGATGCCACCCTTTTAAAGTGGTAGTCCCACTGTACACTCCCATCAGCAATGTAGGAGAGACCCTGGGCCCTACATCCCTGCCACCGCTCCCAATGGTCAGACTGTGGTTTATGCCAATGGAGTGGTGTAAATGGTTTCTGTAAATGGTGCCTTCACGTACTCACTGGCCACATGTGTTCCTCGACCATGAAGGGCAGAACAAGTCTTTGTCTTTGGCCATTTTTCTGTCTGATAATTTGTATATTTATTGATTCGTTATTTTAGTTTCTATTAGTGATTTTATTGGTTATACACACACATATATAAATACATTATACATGTTATGTATTAGTTATACATACACCAATTCTTTATCAATTCATTGTATTGTGAATATCCATTTCTTTGGTAGGCAGAATAAGGGCTCCCCCAAAGATGTCCTAGAACCTATGAATATGTTACGTTATATGGAAAAGGGACTTTGTATCTGTAATTAAGGTCATGAACACTGAGATGGGGAAATCATATTGAATTGTCCAGGTGGGCCCAATTAACCACAAGTCTTTAAAAGTGAAGGCCCTGGCCAGGCACAGTGGCTCATGCCTATAATCCCAGTGCTTTGGAAGGCCAAGGGTGAGGTGGGAGGCTCACTTAAGGCCAGGAGTTCAAGACCAGTTTAGGCAACATAGAGAGACTCCACCTCTACACAAAATTAAACAAAATTAGCCAGGCGCGGTGGCACGTGCGTGTAGTCCCAGCTACTCAGGAAGTTGAGGTGGAAGAATCGTTTGAGCCAGGGAGTTCAAGGTTACAGTAAACTATGATTGCGCCAGTGCACTCCAACCCGGGTCACAGAGCAAAACCATACAACAACAACAACAACAACAAAAACAACAACAACAAACAGTGGAGGCTCTTTCCTGGCTGTGGTCAGAGAGAGCTGTGATTACGAAAAAAAATGTCAGAGAGGAGGAACATGATGGCTCTGAAGATAGAGGAAGGGGCTAAAGGCCAAGGAATGCAGACAACCCCTAGAAGCTGAAAAAGGCAAGGACACAGATCCTCCCCTAGGACCTCTAGCCCTAATGACGCCCTCCAGCCCCATCAGACCTGGGGTTGGACCTCTGACCGACAGAAGTGAAAGAGAGTAAACGTCTGTTATTCTGATGTGTGTTGGGGGTCACCTGTTAAACCAGTGCCAGAAAACTAGTGCAATCGCCAGTCTGCAACTTGTCACGTTCTTTAAGGTATCTTTGGATGATGAGGGATTCTTATTTTGTAAAATCGAATTGACCAATGTTTTTCTTTCACAGTCAATGCTTTTGTGTCTTGTAAAATAAATATTTCCCTATGCCGAGTTATAAAAGATACTAATAAACGTATATTATCCAGTAAGAGTTTTAAGGTTTGCTTTTAACATTTAATTCCTAGATCCACCTGGAGTCAGTTTTTATAGATTGCATGAGGTGGGGGCCCAACTCTAGCTTTTTCCTTCTGGAGGATGATTGATTCCAGCAACCTGCAACACCTCCTTGGTCACATGCCAATGTCCCACATTTGTATGGATCTCTTCAGGGCTCTCTGTCTTGTCCACTGGGATAATGGGCTAATTGTCTACCCTTGTGCCTACACTGCAACATCTTAGTTAGTATAGCCTCTTCCACATCCTGATATCTGGAAGGCAGGGCCCTTCCTTGATCTTCTTGGTTATTTTTATTCAGTTCTTTATTCAGCCATAGAAATTTTAGACTCATCATGTTAAGTTCCCTGAAAAACCCACTGGAGGATGCCTGGGCTGCAGGTGAGAGGCTGGGGTGGTGAGAAAGCCCAGCAGAGGCTCTTTCTGGCACCACTGCCTGTGCCCACTGCATGGGAACACACAGACATGCAATGGGCACACCCCTCCAGGGCCCTCCTCCAGATACATGGCATGGCTAGCCTCGCTCTGGCAGTCCACATCCTTGCCAACACTTGTTATTGTCTTTTTTGTTTTAGTCATCCTACTGGGTGTAAACCTCACTGTGGTTTTGATCTGCATCTCTTTAATGACTGCTGAGGCTGAGCGTGTGTTCATGTGCATGTGTTCCTGTGATCATTTGCCATTTGTATCTGCTCTTTGGAGAAATGTCTGCTCAAGTCCTTTGCCCATTTTTTAATTGGGTCAATGCATTATTGAGTTGTAAGACCTCTTTGTATATTCTGGATACACATCCCTTATCAGATATACAATTTGGAAAAACAACAACAACAAAAAAAACCAGCCACAGATGTCTCAGTTCCTTGTGTTGTAATGGAGTGAGCCTCAGATAGAGGGAAGCTGGGAAGTTTCTCAAATGTGTGTGTCCCCGGCCAAAGGAATACACCAGTGGATGAAAGAAGAACTAGAGTAAGGTCCAGGGGCAGGATGTGCAGCAGTCACAAGCCATCCCCATGGGGCCTGGTATGGCTTTGTACCTGGGATGCAAGGGACATTTTGAGGGTGATGAAAATGCTCTAAAGTTAGAGAGTCGTGAAGTTGCATGACTCTGAATATACCAAAAGCCACTGAGGTGTATACTTCAAAAGGTGCATCTGACTGTCCCAGATCACTCCCAGGTGGCAGGTACTTTGCTCGGGAGAGAGGCAGGCTCCAGAGGGAGGGGACACAGAGCAGGTAGGGAGGCTTTGAGACATCCCCAGCTTTCCTGGCTCTGCCCAGGGCACATGCCTTTTCTGGGAGGGAGCCCTTTCTCAGGGGGATCAGGGACCCAGGCAGGAACCCTCAGGACAGCAGCTGAAGCTGGCCTCCCTCCTTCCCTGGGCAGACACGGAGGCCTCTGAACTCCCTATTTGGGCTCCAGCCTCACCCCTTCCAACCCATCCCCCTGAGTGGCGGCAGGAGGGGCTTTCCGAGGGACAGACTGAAGATCTCGTGACTCCCCCGCCTCAGATACTGTATGGCTTCCTACTGCTCATGTAATGACATCCACACTGGCCGGGTGGCCTGCCAGGCTCCTCGCAACCTGGCCCAAATGCAACAGAAACAGAGCTTGTGGCTGAGAGAGTTCTGCGTGAATGCACGTTCTCTCCTCCCCCTGGGTTGATGCATCACACATGACACTAAGCATGTGTGGTTCTTACGTCTTTGTGAGATTGTTTTCATATCAGCGACCCACAGAGGAGAACGATCCCGTGCTGGTCCTCAAGCCCAGACCAGCCAGGGCAGACCTTCCTGGCTGGCAGTGAAATTGTGCGAGGATCCTCGGGAGAGGTGGCTGAAACAGATTCAGCAAAGGGAACTCATTTTGACATAACCCAGAACCGAAAGAAAGGAACCAGTTTCCTCTGTTTCCCCAGGAGCAAGGTGCTGTAGTCTGAATGTGTGTGTCTTCCCAAAGTCCCTATGTCGAAAGCTAACCCGCAGCCCTGATGGTGTTAGGAGATGGCGCATTTGAGAGGTGATTCGGCCGTGAGGGCAGAGCCTTCAGGAAGAGGATGCGTGCCCTTGGAAAGGAGGCCTGAGGGAGCTTGTTTGCACCTTATTTTTGCCTCTTCTGCCACGTGAGGACACAGCCCGCTGACTTCCATGAATCAGACAGACCCCTTACCAGACACCAGATCTGCTGGCGCCCTGACCCTGTGCTTCCCAGTCTCCAGAACAATGAATTCCTAAGTATGAATCACCAGGTCTAAGGTATTTGGTTATAGCAGACTGAACAGATTAAGACACTAGGTATCCCATCGGACCCCCCGAGAGACCACCTGGCACACACCAGCTAAACAAGCTGCTCAATGAAACTCAGTTTAGCTTAGTCCGGATCAGCTTCATGGAAGCCACTCAACTGGGTTCAGATCAGCTCCATGGAAGCCACTCAGCTGGGTTCAGATCAGCTCCATGGAAGCCACTCAGCTGGGTTCAGATCACCTGTGAAGCTAAAATCAACCCAGTCACCTCAACTCAGTAACACTCAGCACAGTTCAGCTCAAGTCAACACAACACGATGCAACTCAAGTCAACACTACACAACACAACTCCCAAGCTCGGCTACAAACAGTCTTGTGGTGGAAACAGGGATGACCAGGGTGAGTGCTGCCTAGGACGGCCCCTCAGGGCGTGGGGAGGACAGGGCAGTACAAGGTACCCCAGAGAGGTGCCAAGGTGGCAGCGGCAACCGAGAAAGTGCAGCTTTGCAGAAGAGCATCTTTGAGGAAACGTCTTGCCGTGTGTGGGCATCCACGAGGGGCTCAGAGGAAGGTCAGCCATGCTATGGGGGGAATAGGGCAAAGCTGGCCGGGCCTCATGTTCTGCAAGTGCCATTTTGCCCTCACCCTGAGCCAGTGGGAGAGGCACTCTGTGTAGGGGACAGGGCGGCTGAACACCTTGGCTATGGGGACCAGTCCCTGGGGTCCCGATCTGCCTGCCCTTGCAGGGACACAGCGCATCTGCAGATGCTTTAATTTAAAAACCATGGTAACGCTACGCTCACCGAGGGCTTCCCTGGGACAGCCACCGCTCTCAGAACAGCCGCCTGTCAGACGAGGGTCGCCGCCCCGTTTGAAAGAGGGAGAACACACTAGTGGCCTGTTGGCCGGGATGGTGCCCACCAGCAGTGAACTCAGATGCTCATTTCGGAGCTGCACTGTCCCTCCACTGCCCTCTGCACTGAGACGCAAGTCCCCGCGTCAGGAGAGAGGGTTTCCTGGGGGTGGAACGTGGGACAGATGCTCACTTTGGGCAGCTGCTCAGCCTTGCCTCCCCTTTCCCATAGAGCCCCCTTCCGGGAGCCCACCCGCTCCTAAACGCTGGCGTCCGTTTCTGCTGAGAGCGTGGGGCTTTCTCTGCAAGTGGGGGGTGGGAGATGAGGGTTTGGATGAGGGTGTGGGAGGACCCTAAACTGATTCCCATGCTAGTTGGAGAAAGAAAGGTGTGGATGAGGATAAAGTTTTCATGGTGACCAGGGTGACCCTCCGCTCAGAGGGACGAGCGGAGCCCGGCAAAACCAGTCACTGCCTTGTAGTTCCAAGCTTTGGGGATGATCAGCTCCCAAGAAATTGCTGTGGGGTGCGGGGGCTGTGGGTGACCCAAATTGGGCAGAGGGCCTACAGGTCTGAGGCTGCCTGCACAGAGCCACCAGGAAGGAGCTAGCGAAGAAATACATCTTTGTCCTGGCTTTTTCCCAGGAGGGGCTGGGTGGGTGCACAGACAGAGGTAAAGAGCCTCGAGGTTGGGGTGTAGGCAGGCAGCTGGGGAGGACCCCGTTTAAATCCTGGGGAGATTATGAGGACGTTTGTCGCAGGCTGTCAGCCCTCATTAAGTTAATGGAACTGGCGAGTTGGCCGGCTTCCAGCATGCCGGAGAAAGAAAACAAGAAAAGTGTTTTCAGTGAAAGAGCCAGGGGATCCCATTTCGCCCAGCAGCCCAGGAGATTATGAGCCATTGGTAATGGCCTGACTGAAATGACTTATTGGGAACTGGTTGATTAAAACAAGGGAGAGAAAACCCCTAATGTCTCAGAAGAATGACATGGGCTTCTTACTGGTCTTCGTCTAGAAAAGTGATTTGTGAGCACTGCCTTCCAAAGCCTTGTGAATTGCAAAGCAACTGGTCCAGCCAGGGCCTCTGCAGAGAGGGTTACCAGGCAGGAGAGGAAAAGACGTGGGGTGAAACCGGTGGATTCCACACAGACCCTGGGAGCCAGAGAACTTGGAGCTTGGGCCAGCAGGAGCCTGGACATTCTGCTGGGAAGGCTCCCCAGGGCCCCTAAGGAAGGCCCAGCAGTTCACAGAGCAGGGCTAAAGCCTCCCATGGATTCCCCCAACTGGTTAGGCCAGGCCAGCCACAAGCCCAACAGCTATACCCCCGTCTCCCATGTCCTCCGCCCTGGGCTGAGGGCTCTGTCGTCCTGTTTCAGCCTCCGGCCCAATTCTTCCCTGGAATACATGTCATTCCTCAACTTCCCCAGAGATCCAGCCCCTGCTGCCCCTGGCGCTGACCTGGACTCTGGGCCCACAGTGCCTCACTCAGGTGGGGTTGCGCAGGTCTCTCCCCAGCTTCACCAGCAAGATGCCCCTGCACCCAGGCTCCGCTTCCTGGCCTCTTGGCTGTTCCCACTCCCTCCCTCTCACCCCATTTTCACTCATTTACACACAATTCTCAGGGCGCCGTGTAGAGCCCCTGTACTTTTTATTTTTTTTTTTTTGGAGACAGAGTCTCACTCTGTTGCCCAGGCTGGAGTGCAGTGGCATGATCTCAACTCACGGGTTCAAGTGTTTCCCCGCCTCAGCCTCCTGAGTAGCTGGGATTACAGGCGTCCACCACCACATCCAGCTAATATATATATATTTTTTGAGATGGAGTCTCGCTCTGTTGCCCAGGCTGGAGTGCAGTGGCGCAATCTTGGCTCACTGCAAGCTCTGCCTCCTGGGTTCACGCCATTCTCCTGCCTCAGCCTCCTGAGTAGCTGGGACCACAGGCGCCCGCCACCGCGCCCGGACAATTTTTTTTTTTTTTTTTTTTTTGTATTTTTAGTAGAGACAGGGTTTCGCCGTGGTCTCGATCTCCTGACCTCGTGATCCGCCCGCCTCGGCCTCCCAAAGTGCTGAGATTACAGGCGTGAGGCAGCACGCCCGGCCAAGCCTCGGTGCTTTTAAACACATGTTAACTCCTCGATCATTCCCGTTGTACGAATAAGGGAACTGGGGCCCAGAGAGGCTCAGCAGCGTGCCCAGGGTCACACAGTTGGCACCAGGCAGAGCCCTGGCCTTGGGATCCCCCATTCCCAGTGCAGACTGAGTGACACTGAGCTGCTTCCATCCTCATCTGTGCTTGCCCCCCAGCCGAGGCCCCCGACACCCCTCGATTTCTAGGTCTCCCAATCTCAACCCCAAACCCCTCCCTGCAGAGCCCTGGCAGACAGGTTCTGACACCACCCTGGAAATCATGGCATCCTCTCATCCTCCCTACTGGGGTGCTGGCGGAACAGCCCCCCATTTGGTAAAGGAGACAGACCTGAGGTCTCTGATGTTTGGCCTGGCCTGAGCCTCCTTCCTCCTGCGGCCCCATGTGTGTCAACTGTAGGGCCACCAGGTTTCAGAGTTACTTTTTATGCTATCAGTGGCAACAGGGACTTGCTGGACACAGCCACCACTCTCTTTCCTTGCTCCAGAGGCCTCGCCCCTCCCGCCATTTTGAATAGCTCACGTCAAAGGCAGCACAGCCCCAGTTAGACTCAAGGACAGGGTGACAACCGCAAAGAGGGGAAGAGGGCACTCTGGAGGTCTGGGGCTGCCCCTGCACACCCAGCTGCCAGACCAGAGGTGGGGATCTTGGCCCCCAGGGGCACCATTCACCTGGCCAGAACACAGTCTCTGTAGCTCACAGTGAGTTCAAGAAAGGCCTAGCCTGCCCCTGTCACGTGACAGATGGTCTTGAGGCCCAGAGGGAGGGGCAGCAGCAGCTGGCTGGACCCGAAGCTCTGTGATCCAGCCGGGCCTGGCGTGGGGAGTCCCTGCTGTGGGCTCTGGGTGGCCTCTGAGCCCCCACATTCCAGGCTGGCTGGGGCTCCTGCACCTGCAGTTTCATGCTGGGTCCTGGTTGCCAGGCTTGTCCCACCCGGGCCCCACACCTCCACGTGGACGCCCAGCTGGGCCCTCGGGCTCACCTGGAGGAAGAGTGGAGCCTGGTTTGGCATCAGGTGCTGAGGGCCCTGCCTGGGGAGGTACCCAGGGGCATCTGATAGGGACCCTCCCCACCAGCACACCTCACCACATCTACCCAACACACACAACCACCCTTACTGGGACAGGTGGGGCAGGCACACCTCTGGGATTCACTCTGGGAGCAGGCCCTGCGTGGACCCAGGGTGAGCTAGGGGGTGGGGGCATGCCAGCTTCACCAGCATTCCTGAGGGGAACTTGCTTCTCCCTCGCCCGAGGTCTGGGGACACAAGGAGACAGGGCTGACTGCAGAGCTGGGGGTCTGTGTAGGGGTCTTTCCTGGCCAGTTCTGGGTGTCCCAGGCCACTGAGGATAGTGCTGCACTGGCCACAAGCCCAGCCCTGGGAACCTGCCCTTTCCTAGGGTAGAGTGTGGGTGAGCCATGGTTTTCTGAAAATCAGATATTGCTTGCAGAGCCCTAGGCCCGAGTGGTCTTCTTGAAGTATTCTGCTGGTGGTGGAAGCAGCCGGTTCTGGTCTGTTTTCAAGACGGCTTGCTTCACGCCAGAGGGATTGTTTTGAAACACAGCCCTTATCGCTCCCCATCTGGTAAAGCCCGGGGAAGCTGGTTCCTGGCTCCTGAGGCTGGGCTGCCTCACCTGCCTCCAGCCAGCCTCACCCTGCGTGCCTCTTCCCACCACCTCCTTCTGATCTCTGGAACCTGCCCCCATGACCCCCACTCCCTGTGGGCAACCAGTCCTCCCTTTCCCGGCATTCTCTTGCCTTCCCACCATCCTAGCCTGTGGCCTTTCTGCAAGAAGCCTGCCCAGACGTGTCCACCCCCAAAGCCATCTTCCTTTCCTCTGGGCACCTGTGACAACAGTGAACTTATGGCCTTCAGGGAACAGGTTGTTTCTTGAGGGTCCTGTCTTTCTCATGGCCGTATTCCAGTGACTGGCACACGGTGGATGCCTAGTGAACAAGAATAGATCAGTGGGCACTGGGGCAGCCCCAGCCCAGGCCAGCAGGGACCAAGCACCGGCTGCCCCAGGGTGCAAGGCTGCACCGCTGGGCAGAGGAGCAGAAGGCTGGACGAGCCCCTCCCGGGGCCACCCCCAGGCCCCAGTCTTTCCCTCCCTCCCTCCCTAAAGGGAAGGAGAGGTTAATAAACCAATTACTTTGGGCAACGAAGCAAAATAAGTCCCATTAAAGTAATTAATGTCCTTTGCACAGTCCCCATTGGAGAAGACTAATAAATTGGGGCTTTGTCACCATCCGGTAATTTCTTTCTAAGGCGTTTCTTCATCCCCGTCCAACAGCACAGTTTAAGGCTCTGTTAATACTTTTAAGACGGGCTCAATGCCAGACTAATTAGATTTGCATTTCCACCATGGGCCAGGCTGGGCTCGGATGTGCCCAATGAGAGAGGCTCCAGGACCCCGCCAGAGCCCCAGGGACAGCACCCGTCTTTGAGAAGGGCCATGTGTGGATTCCCACGCCTGCCTGGGGCGGTGGCCCATTACCCAGGCTGCCTGCACAGCTTCCCTATCCCCGGGGAATGGGGGCCATGGCTTTGATCCAGGCAGAGGCCAGACCTCATTCCCAGGAGGTCCCTTCCTGGATCTGTCCCCAGTGGGGCTCACAGGGGTCACCAGTGTGATCCACATCCCAGGGTCTCTCTAGGGCCCCAGAGCCAAATGCTGGCGGGTCCAAGGACAGTCTGCAAAGGGGGAAAAGAACAAATCACAGTTGAAGAGATTGACAGCCACGGCCTCAGAGCCAGGAGACAGAGACAGCATCGCCCATGACGAGCCACACCGACAGGATGGGCCCTCGGAACAGGGCGATGAGAAGGGCATTTCCCTCTGTGCTCTCCCTCCTCACACCCACAGCCCAGTCGAATCGTGAGGACAGCAGCAGACGGATCCTAGTAAGGGACACCCTACAAACACCTGACCTGTCCTCCTCTGAACCGTCCAGGTCACCACCAACAAGGAGAGCCTGGGAAACAGTCACCGCCCAGAGGAGCCCAGGGAGACGGATGAGGAATGTCACATGGGACCCTGGGTGGGGCCCGGGGAGAGAAAAAAGACAGTAGGGAAACTGAGGAAATCTGCATCAAGCATGGACTCAGTTAACAGTCATGTAGCACTGTTGTTTCCTTGTGACAAATGCATACTAATGTGAGATGCTGATAATAGGGCTGCTGGGGGAAGGGCACCTGGGGACTCTTGGTGCCACCTGTGTAAGAATTTTGTAATTCCAAAACTATTCTAAAATCAAAGTTTATTTAAAATAAAAAAAATGACGGCAAGAGGCTGGGCATGGTGCCTCATGCCTATAATCCCAGCACTTTGGGAGGCCGAGGCGGATGGATCACTTGAGGCCAGGAGTTCGAGATCAGCCTGGCCAGCATGGTGAAACCCCACCTCTACCAAAAATACAAAAATTAGCTAGGTGTGGTGGCGCACACCTGTAGTCCCAGCTACTCAGGAGGCTGAGGTGAGACAATCGCTTGAACCCGGGAGGTGGAGTTTGCAGTGAGCCGAGATCGCACCACTGCACTCCAGCCTGGGTGACAGAATGAGACTCCATCTCAAAAAACAAAACAAAACAAAACAAAAACCAAATAGTAGTGAGGGAGAAGAGGCAGCCGAGGATGAGCTGCCTTGCTGCTGCCGCCTGCTCCTGGTCCTGGCCCCGGGCTCAGGCCTGAAGGCGGCCCTCGCTGAGCGGCCTTCTCCAAGGCACGCTTAGTGAGCAGACAAGGAACCGTCAGCAAATCCCTGTATCGTGTCAGAGGAAGCCCCTGCCTCCGCCGGGTGCTGAGGCCCAGCAGAAGGATGACAAGTGTCAGGTAACCCCAGCCTCTGCCAGCCCCGCACCTGAAGACATGAGGCAAGAACATTAGGGGCTGGGGAATGGGGGCCTGTGGTCACGCTGACTCCTCCTGATAGGACCGATCCACTTAGACAATCAGCAGGATCAAAAGATCAATCAATAGAGCTGATAGAAAGTATGACATGGTTGTCAGGTGTGAGATCAACCCCCCCAAATCAATGGCATTTCTTTATACCAGCAATAAACTCCTGGGAGAAAAAATTCCAAAATAGCAGGGGAAAGAAGGTCTCATCCAGGAATAATGGAAGCAAGACCCCACCAGCCCTTTCAGGAAAAGATGGCAACAGAGGTCCAAGAGGGCCTGACTCAATGCAGAGAGACTCCTTGTTCTTGGAGGAGAAAACGCAACATGAGAGAGACTCCAGTTTTTCCCAAATTTAACCTGCAAATTCGAGGCAATCCCAAGCAAACTTCCAGTTGAAATTTTTAAGAAATGCAATAAACTTAACTTTAAAGTTGGCATGGAGGAATAAAGGTCCCAAACAGATAAGTCAAACTTAAAAAGAGATTATTATAAATAGGGGTTTAGGAGCTCTTCTGGGCATTAGAACCCGTTTCTAAACCAGAGCATCAGGTCTTGGGGTGCCGCCATTGTCCTTCCGACCAGCAGACTATCAGTGCAAAGAGGGAGCCCCGATCACACACCCTTGTATACTCGGGAACACACTAGACCACAAAGATGACACCATCGACCACCATAGACAGGATGGAATGGCTGCAGGGCAGGTGGGGAAGGGGAGTCACTCCACGGAGGAAAAGGAATCTGGATTCTTCCGAATGCAAAGGTGCACCTGGACACGACGACAGGCCTGAATGACAAAGGCTGAATTATAAATTTCACAGAAGAAAATGTAGGAAAATACTGCCCAACAGCACATGTGACGAGGCCAAGGGTGGATGCATTCGGTACACCGTAATTTAGAAATTTCCATTTAAAGAAGGACGCAGTTCACATCCTAAGCTCTAGGATGAAGGTCTCATCTCTTTTGTCCTCTTTTTTATCCCCAGGGCCTAGTAAGGTACCTGGCATGGCATGGGGCCCAGGAAACACTGGCGAATAAATGAATGAATGAGAGAGTGAGGGAACGCCACCTCATGTGCCGGCTCTGCGTCAGGAGCAACCGCAAACAAGTCTTGGCTATGCCTGCTCTCAGGCACCTCTTGCACCCCTGCAGGTATCACATGCTCTGCAGTACTGGAGCAAGAAACACATTCTTCCCTCCCAGAAGGCTCTGCAGGAGCTCAGCTGCTACACAAGCTGGTGCAGCCAGTGAGCCCATCAGGGGCCAGCTGGCTAAGAGCCTTCTCTGAGTGCCGCATTGGTGTTCCCGATGCCACATCGTCTCCTGTTTGAGCAGAGACACTAGAGTGGACACACGGTGGCCTTTTATCCTAAACAGGCAGGGTGCAAGCCTGAGTCCCCAGCTCCCTGTAATAATCTCTTTTTAAGTTTGACTTTTTAAGTTCAAGGAGGGACTAAACATTGATTTTCAGAATGCGGCCAAGAGGGTGGTGAAGGTACCATGGGTACCGGCAATGGGCTGATGATGTCCCAAGCTACGTGGGTGAGGGCAGGCACCTGGGGCTGAGAGCCCACGAGAGACCTGCAGTCAAGAGGCCCCGGATCAGGCCAGAACGGGCAGGAGCAGGTCTGCAGGCCAGCACCCTCAAGGCCCACCAGGGGAGGCCCCAGTCTGCCGTTCTGTGACAACACCTGTTTACCTCCCGCTGAAATATCCCACCCTACCAGAAGAACCCGCTGCCTGTGAGATTCCTTTCTGAGGCAGTCCGCTGACTAAACAGGCATCCGATGTCATTGCTGGGGGCAACTCCTTTTAGGCTCAAAGGCCTGTCACGAAGCACAGTTGGGCCTTAGATGGCGGCTAATCAAGAAGGCTGGTTAAAGCTGGGAGGTCGTGAATCTGACCCTATGTAGCTGTGCAGACTCCAGGAATCAGTAAGAGAGGGCTGCGCAGGGCTGCTCTCCTCCGGGGAGACGCAAGTCCCCATAGGGCCATGCAGGGACTGGCGTAGGGATTCGAGCCCCTTCCCTTCCCTGCTCAAGTTCTCCCTCTGGGAGCTGCATGCCGGGGAGCTGGGAGGGAGGCCACAGTCAGAGCAACAGCCGGCAGGCAAACTGACATCTTGGGCCCTGAGCTCTGGGTAAAAGCTGGGATAATTTCTACCCCTAAGTGAACCAGTGAGTTGGGTGGTGGGCCTGCTCTGAGGCCTGTGCCAGGGCCTGAAGGGGTGGGGTCTTACCTCATGAATGCTTCTGAAGAGGTGAAGAGAGACACCCAGCAGCACCTCAGACCCCACCTTCTGGAGGAGCACAGGGCCTTGAAGACCCTCGGAGTCAATGAGGGGCCCCGCATGGTACGGGAGTCTAGGTGGGCGGTGGGCTCACACCAGTCATCCCTGTGATTTCTGGGAATGCCCCTTCCCTCTCAAACATGACAACTGGGTCTCCAGGCCCAGATCTGCCCAATTGTGGCCACCTGCTCTAATGTTCATCAAAGCCTGCTCAGGCCGGCTGTCCTCACAAGGAGCTCTCCAAAAATATGAAAAATTCACGAGTGGGTTCAGGCAAAAAAGCTGCTCTCCTGGATCTGAGGCAAGAACAAACCACCTGCACTCCCTGTGCCCACCTGGCAAGGGTGGCTGCCCACGTGGCCTCTCGGTCCAGTCTTGCTGGGTGGCTGCCACACCACAGGTGTGGGGGCTCGGAGCACTGGATTTCCTGTGGGTCTGCCTGCTTACTCGGGGGTCCCTAAGCCGCTGGCCTACTTTGTTTGACCTGCATTCCCTCAGCAGCCGTGCAGAGGAGGCCACAGCGGGCCCCCGCGCATGGCTGTCAGGACCGCCCCGAATTCAGCACATGGGGAGGGGAAGGCCTCCTTCTCTCCGAGGCTCTTGTTTGCAAAGCTTTAGAGGAGCCAGCAGGACAGAGCCTGGACAAACACCGAGCATCCTCAGCCCCAGAAAACCAAATCGGTAAACATTCCCCTGCCAGGCATTTCTGCCCCTGATTGATTCAGCTGCAAAGTGTAAACTGCCCCGAGAAAGGGCCGGGGGGAGCCCAGGGCCCCCAGGACCAGCATTGGGATGAATCCACCACATGAGTGGGCACAGCTGGGCAGGCAGACACCCCACAGGCATGAAGGCCCCACTGCTGTATCAGGGTGCAGTGGCCAGGTGGCCGTGAGTATGAGACAGACTGCAAATGGGCACATGGGGACCGGCTTGAGGGCCTGAGGCCGCCTGATGCCTCTCATTGTAGCTGATGTATCTGATCTTGGGGCACAGGGCTTCCCCTGCCCTGGACTGCCCTGCCCATCTCATAGAGGCTGATTCTGGCCAGCACCACCCAGGGTCTCAAATCATGGTGGTACCCCCCAAGCCACCCGCTGCAGGGATGGTCGTTCTGTGCAAAACCTCTGTTCACCTCAAGGTCAGGGCAGAGGCAGGGCAAGTCTGTTTCTTTCAGAACTTATTTTTCTTCCTTCTACCTTCTAATGTGGAGAAAACCTAACCATGTCGCAGCACCCAGCAGAGTGTCTTGCAACAGGTTAAACAGTCAACGCTGACTCATATACATGAGAGCCAAGAGTTCTGGGGGTTACAAGGCGGCAGCCCGCCCTGGGGCAGGGGGATAGGAGGGGCGCTGCTGGGGGCCCCTGAGGGCTTCTGCAGATGGTGACCCACCCTGGCCCTGCCTGGGGTGGCAGAGAGTGGGGCCTTGGCCAGGAGAAGGAACTGGACCCTCCTAAGAAGGTCAAGGAGGAAAACCACAGGCGGAGGATCCCTGGAAGAGGCTCCCAGCCCCAGCTGTCTGCGCGCCCGCAGCTGCCCCTGCAAGGAGGCCGGCTGTGCTCCGGCCCGAGCACAGCTTCCTCAGCCTGCCCCCACTCACAGCGATGGGGTGATAATTGCAGGCCAGTGGTGGTGGAATGCTCTGGAATGTTCTATCAGTAAGAGAGGAGGCTAAAGGGCAGGAGGATAGAGACCCGAACAGAGCTCAGGCCTGGGTTGGAAGAGGGTGAGCTGGGAGGGCTGGGCCTGGGTAGGGGATAGGCTGTAGGTAGAAGGGATAAACAGGGGCACAGGGGACAGGCACCAGGTGTGGACAGGGGTCACACTGGGCATGCGTTTGTGCGTACACGTGTGCAGCCCCGAGGGGGCACACAGGGCCTTGCAAGTCTGGATAATAAAACAAAAAGAAAGAGCAAATATCTCCAGGGCCCCAATGCCTGCTGCACACAGCCACCCCGGCAAGCGCCAGTCAGACCTCTCTGGGGTGACTGCCTGGGCCACACAGTCACTCAGCGGCAGAGTAAAAGTCAAACCTGCCCTCTCACAGGAGGCCCTGTCCTCACACTCCCTCCAGCTCATAGGGGCCTCCCCTGTCTCTGAGGCCACCCTGAGACACTCTGAGGCCTGTCTGAGACTCACCAGAGACTCTTGACTTCCCCCGGAGGCAGCACTGCCTGAGCTGGTCATGTGTCCAAGCAGGGGCTGCAGGGAGACACAGGAACACCCCCCACCCCAGGGCGCCCCCAAAGGAGTCTATGCCCTAATCCTTGGAACTCACGCATGCGTCACTCAATTCCCCTTTGCCACTTGATTTCCTTTGAAGGGGAATCAAGGCTGCATGGAATTCAGGCAGCCAAGCAGCTGATCGTGCAATGGGGAGAAAATCCTGGGTTCTCTGGGTGGCCCAATGTGATGACAAGGGTCCTGATACGGGAAAGAGGCAGGGGATCAGAGTCAGAGGAGGAGACGTGGCCGCAGGGGACGCACAGAGTCTGTGATGTGAGGATGCCATGAGCCGCAGCCGCCTTTGAGGGTGAAGGAGGGGCCATGATCCAAGGGATGTGGGCGCCCCTAGGAGCAGGAAACTGCAGGACAGGGACTCTCCCTAGAGCCTCCAGAAGGGACCAGCCCTGAGGACACCTTGATTTTAGGCCACCAAAATTTTGGCGACTTGTTCCAGCAGCCACAGGAAACTAACCCAGGCCCCTCCAGAGACCCTGGCTCCAGCTGAGCTGAGGCCCCCAGGAGGCCTGGGTCCACCCGCTCACATTCGGGGCCTGCCAGGAAGGACTTCAAAGCCCGCGTGCGCTGTCCTCTGGGTGGGGCTGCATCGGGGTCCCTCGCCCCATCTGTCACTCATTCCATATCTTTGAACACCTGTACTATTGTTTGCTTAACATTGTTCCTTAAATAGACTCTGTTTCCTTATCTAAGTATATTTGGAGAGCCAGAAAAAAGTGACTTTAAGTGAAGGCAGTTGTCGAACATACACAATAAAAAGAAGAATTTGCTGAATTTGTTAGTTGCCCAGCAGCGTCGATGGGCAGCAGCACCCACTCCCCATCCCCCACCCTCCCTCCTGCCATTCCTGGAGGCTCCTCAGAGGCCAGGCCCAGCCCATCTCACAGAGGGGTAAAGAAGTTCTAACGTTTCTCATGGTTTGAGAGCAACCAGAGTCACTGGCACCCTGGGCGCCATGCAGGGCTTGCCTCTGTCTGTTCAGGGCCTAGGCAGCAGCACGCTCAGGGTGAAGCCACGGGGACCAGGCCGGCCAGCTCCGCACAGCTCCACAAGGAGCCTGCTCTAGTCCCCAGGGGCTACTGCCGCATGGCTCACCACCCCACCTGCACACCCAGGCCTCAGCCCCAGTGACTGGATCCCACTGGTGAGGCCTCTGTCCCGACCCATAGGGGCTGGCCTCCCTTAGGACACTGCTCCAAGCTACATCTGCAGAAAGGCTTCCAACAACCTGCCCCTCCCCTCTCTCTGTCCCCTGGACACGGTCAACTTGGCCAATACCAGCTGGGCAAGGACACCATACTGACAGGGCCGGCAGTCCTCGGAGCAGCCGACCTGCCTTAAGACGGAGCATGTCAGCTCCTGGAGCTCTGCGGGCCCAGTGCCGTGGATAGGAGCCATGGCTGGGCTGACAAACGCTGGGGCAGAGTGAGAACAAGTTCTTGTTAAAAAACCAGGACACCACCAGCCCCTGGTCTGAGATGGAGTCCTCAGCCTTTCTAGAATGAAATGGTGGTATTTCATTAGAGTAATGTTGTTCTACGAAATGTCCTTTTTTGCGTAATAAAAATGTTGCCCACCTATGTCCATCCACCTTTGGGGGTGGGGGAATATGTAGCGGACCTTTGATGGGGCTGTGACATCCAAATGGCTGGGAACCACAGATAGGGCAGAAACAACTGCCGGGTGCACATGTGTTACCATGTGACCTCAGGCAATCTCGGGCCTGCCACCTGTCATCTGTGGCTTTGGTTGGTCCATCTGTGTGATGGGCTCTCAGTACCTCACACAGGGGCTGGGTTGGTGTCACCTGTGGCCAGTGGCCAAGTATGAGCCAGCCAGGATGGGTGGGGGCCCTGCTGCGACCCTGGCCCTCCCAGACATGCTGGGCACACATGTGGGGTACCTGCCTGTGCCAGACGCACTGCACACACTCAAGGCCACCCCAGGACAGGGGATGTCAGTCCCACTTCACAGGGAGGCGGAGGCAGCAGAGAAGTCAGTCCTTTTTCAAAGCAGCATGGTGGTAGCAGGGCTCGAGCCATCCTCTGCAGACCCCTGGACTCCACCTGTACCAGGGTCCCCCCAAGCCCCAACCCTGCTGGTGAGTGACAGCCTGCACCTCGCTCACCCACCTGGCCGCAGGCACCTCACTGCACCCGCAACAACAGGGCAGGCCTGGGGCCAGCGTCTGATGATAGCCCACTCTTTGGCCTGCTGAGTGTCTGCGGAAGGCCAGTGTGCCAATGCCCAGGTGGCAGAAGGACAATCCCCCCAGGGTCTGTCTGTGTGGCCAGTGCTGCAGCCCACGTTCTGCTGGGAGGACAGCCTGGCCCAGCTGTGGGGCCCCCAGGAAAAGCAGACATCCACCCCACCCCTGAACACCCAGGAACCGCACAGGCCCCTCTCCAGGCTAAGCCCTGCATCTCCTGGTGACTCGGGGGCCCAGGAGGGATGGGACAGGCTGACTTGGCCTCCTCCAGCCTCCAAGGGCACTCTGCTCTAGGCCTGGCTGGGAGTGGGGGGAGGTTGGCCATGGCTCTGGCCAGGGTCTCTGCCCCCAGCAGAGGTGAGCAGAAGCCTGAGATTCCCTTGTCACACACGCTAGTGCCAGTGGCCCCGACCTGCTGCATTCTCACATGGCGCTTAGCCTGGAAGAAGGATCTTCTGCCTCTTTCCTTGCTTGGTACAAATGTCACCTCCCTCAGAGAGCCTTCCTTGATCTCCCGGCTTCATGATAACACGTCTGCCCACCCCCATGGCCAAGGAACCCGCTGTGCCCCCACACTCCAGACCCTGCCTCCCCCTGGGCTCAGTAAGGAACCCGCTGTGCCCCCACACTCCACAGCCCACCCCCACCGAGCCAGGGGCTCACTTCTGCCCTCGTCTCTCCTCCCTCCCCACCATTTGGAGCAGTTTCTCCTTTCCTCGTTCATCTTCTCCATTTCCTGCCCTGACCACAGGCCCAGGCTCCTGGGGCCAGCAGTCCAGGCCAGGCTCGGCCCCTCCCAGCAGTGGAGGAGGGTGTGGTTCTCCCTTGAATCCCTGCAGCCCAGGCCCAGGGCCCTGCCTGGAGCAGGAAATGGATGAAGCTGAGAGGACCCAGTGTCATTCTGTGCCCCCAGGTGTGCCTCCCCTGGGCAGGGGGCACCAACCCCTTTCCCTGCCTCCAGCCCACTCCTGTATTATGACCGCCTCACATCCTCATGTCCATGATCACAACAGCAGGCATCCATCACAGAGTTAGGGCTGTGACGGTCGCACCCTGCTGCAGCCCCACTCTCCCTGGCAGCGAGGTGGACATGGCATTAATAGGGACTTTGCTGTGACCCCATATCCCTGCCGGGCTCGGACCCACCAGCCGTGTTTTATGGTCTGCGAGGGCCGAGTCAGCACGAAGGCTTCCCGGCATTTTACACAAAGCTTCTTCGCCGTGAACGGAGTCAAATTCACTCACGTTGGGATCATAAATATAATTAGGAGACTTTTATTTTCAAGTAGCACTTCTGAAATCTATAAAATTAAGCTAATATACTGATTTTTAAAACACAAGAATTTTATTGCTCTGTGAGTCAGAGTTTGCCAGCCCACAAGGCCAGGAATTAACTCCTTGCAGCTCGCGGGCATCCAGCAGGCCTCCAGGGGCCCCCGTGGGTCTGGGCCTGCTGCACCCACTTGAGGTGCACATGCCCCAGGAGAGCAGCTTCCTGGGACAGAGAGGTGGCTGGGCAGTGGCCGGACATCCACCCACACGGCAGCAGCTGCCCGGGGCTCTCCCTCTCCACCGGCACCCCTTCACTTCTGTGCTGGGTGCCCTGGGAACAAGTCCAGATGCTCTCGGGATCCAGCCTCTGCTTACCCTGTGGAATACACTCCCCCCAGAATTTCCCTGCCTGCCTCCTCCTCTCCTGGGGGAGTCCTCCCTAATCCGCTGCCCTACCCTGAAGGCTGCCCCTTCCCGCTGGGATCTCTTCTGGACCCACTAATGGAAAGTGGTACCCCTGGCTCCTCCTCCTGGAATAATGGGATCCCCGAGCAGGGAGTGCTGGCGAGGGGCACTCAGGATGTCTTGGGAAGGCAGGCGGTGGGGGTCGGGACTGGGCTTCCTCAGCCACCCTCGGCTGGCACTTCAGGGTAGCCCGAGGCAGGCCCAGGCTCTGCGCCACTCCCCACCTGTGACTGTGGGGTCCCTGAGCCGTGGGCATCTTATCTTGACCGAGTTTTCACCCTTAGGCCCCACCAGGCCCAGCAGAGGCGCAGGGCGCATGCCAGCCAGCCAGGAACCCACCAGGGCAGCCGCATACCAGCTGCAGATGCGCAGGTGAAATGGGAAGCCGCCCTTTGCTCTGGGCCACACCTATGTCAGTGGCGGAAGATCACAAGGGACACCTGGAAGGGGCTAGGTTGGGGTTTGCAGGCTGTGTAACTGGGGGGTGGGAGGGACGGCCCTAAGCAAGCCGCTATGGCGATGAGCTGGCATTGACTCCCTCAAGGGTCCAGCTCCAAAGCCCCCTCCTAGGGCCATTGGCACCTAGCGCCTCCCATCCCCAAAGTGCACCTTCTCTCCAGGCACGGGGGCCACCGTCTAACCCCAGAGGCCCCTCAGGCTCTCCCAAGCCCACTGGTCACAAGTCTCAGGAAGACTCCAAAAAATCCAGACTCCCCAGAGGCCTGGGACCTGGGCCCTCGGCACTCCAGGGCTCCAACTATTCACAGCCCCCGGTGGGCCCCAGATCCCAGATACGGCCCAAGCTCGGTCGCCTTTAATCCCATTAGGTCCCCAAGACTTAGAATGGAGTTTCAACTGGTCCCAGTCCTCTAATCCCCTGGACTGCTGGTTAGGAAAGGCTTCCTTCAGATTTGGGAGCACAGGGTAAACTGAAGGGCAGGCAGGAAGCCTGGGCCCCTTCCCAGGTAGGTTCTGCCCAATGAGCCCCCTCTGGCATCTAAAGTATGTATAAGGACCACCCCCCAACCCCAGGCAGCTCATGGGCCTTCTGCACACACATACTGGAGGGCCAAGGAGCCCCCTCGCTTCTCTGTCCCTTTGTACACAGGGAAGGGGCTCCAGACACACTGGAGGAAGGGCGTGGGGTCCTCTCACCCACCTCCTCCTGCCTCTGACTGTGACTGTGTGTCTGGAGATGGGGTCTTATAAGAAGTAATTAAAGCAGAATGGGGGTATAAGGGTGAGCCCTAATCCCACCTGACTGGGGTCCTTATGAGAGGAGAAGGTGACTCGGGCACACACAGAGGGATGGCCCCATGAGAACACCGGGGAAGGTGATGTCTACAAGCCACGGAGAGAGGCTGCAGGAGGACCCAGCCCTGCAGCACCTTGACCTTGGACTCCAGCCTCCAGGGCTGTGAGGGGATGAATGCCTGCTGTTTAAACTGCCCCACTGTGGTCTTGGTGGTGACAGCGGAGTGGACTCATGTCATCCCCCAGCTCCTCCAAGTGCTCCTCAAGTGTGCTCAACAGAAAATGGTGAGGAGGGAGAGGGTGGTGGGCCAGGCCCTAGGATGCCTGCGGGGTGTGGATGGGTGGGTGAGGGGCACTTCAGGACGGTGGCTGAATGCAGTGGAGTGTGGCTTCAGGCATCCCTGGCCTAGGAGGGGTGGGAAGGAGCAAGCAGTGGTTGGGCTCTGAAGGAAGGGGAGAAGCTTGCGGGAGGGGAGGTGGGGGCGGCCATGGCCCACCCTCCACCGGGCAGGGCCTCAATTGCCATTAGCCTGTCCCCACCTCCCACCCCAGGGCCCCAGGCATCTCTGGCCATCCAGGGGCCAGGCTGTCCCCCAGGGCCTCAGGGCAAGTGGCGTCTCATAGGGGGTCACCATCAAGGAGAGCCCCCTGAGCAGCCCTTCCCTGGCTCTCACACACAGTCCCTCCCTGTCCTGCTGCGGCGCTGCTGTCAGGTTTCACACGTTTTATGGGGGAGTTCAATGTAAGCCAGATGCGCGCTGACAGCCACGGCACAGGTGATGACAAGGCAGGGCTTCCCTGGCACATGTGCCTCTTGTTAGTGTGCCCTCCGAGGCGCTTACCCCACCAGCCTGGGGCAGCGTGCACAGCCGGCTGGGCACGCGGCCACTCCGGGGCACATGTGTCGCACTGGAACATGCTGCTGGCCCAGAAGCCTCCTGGAGACATCACCTCTGCGGTGGTCCCAGCCGGGGCCTGGGAAGCCACAGCCAGGCCCCAGCACAGGAGGTCATCCCTATTTCACAGTGGGGGAAACTGAGGCTGGAGGAGGCAGGAGGCCCATCCAACACGGTTTATGGCGGAGGAGCGGTGGTCTTGCCCTCGCTTCTGTCTACATAGCAGCTTCCAGGATTACCTCTCACCTCCCTGGCTGGCACTGAATGTGCCTGGGACCTGACTCATCTCTTCAGGAAGCTACCCCCGAGACCTGCTCCTACTCTCCAGTCCTTCAGGGCCTCGGAAAACCCCTGTTATCCCCCACCCAGCAGCCGCAGCAAGCATCCTGAGATCAGCCTCGACAGCCCCGCTCCCCACATCTGGCTCTCAGCCAAGGGGCCCGTCCTACCCTGCTCCCCACATTCTGCCCATCACCAAGGATCCCGTCCTGCCTTGCCCAGCACAGCTGGCTGCGGGGCCCCGGGGACAGTGCTCCCCCGACCTGCGGTGGCCGGGGGGCTGTGAAGCTTCCTCATTCAACCCATCCATTGCTCCCCTGCCTCTACCCTTGGTGCTCCCCGCCACCTCACGGAAAGTCCAGCCTTCTAGGCGCCTTTTGGCCACCCCTGCCCTGCTCTGCAGCTGGGCTCCGGCCTGAGGCCTCTTAGGACCTGACCCTCCCAATCTGCCTCTGGCCTGTGCTTTGGATGGTTCATTCGTTTATTCTTTGGACGTCCACCATGCACCTCTCACACACACCTGCGGGCCCTGGGGCCGGAGCAGGACCACCCCTGCCAGTGCTAGACAAGCTTGAAACTGTGCCTGTGATCAGAGGCCAGAACCACTAGAAAGGCAAGGCTGGGGCTGGGAGAACCGCAAGGTGGTCCTGATTTAGAGCGCGCAACTGCTCTGAGGAGGATGTTCAGGGGAAGCGTGGGTTGAGGCCTGAAGACTCAAGAGGATTAAGCAGGGAAGAGGAGAGCGTGTGCATGTTTCGGGGGTGGTGCGCCTGGCAGGGCAGGGGAACAGCGGGCGCGAAGGCCCTGAAGTGGGGGGGGAGAGAGAGAGAGAGAGAGAGAGAGAGAGAGAGAGTGAGAGAGTGTGTGTGTGTGTGTGTGTGTGTGTGTGTGTGTGTGTGTGGAAGGCCTGAAGTCCCCCTCCTGCCCGCTAGACCCCTCTCCACTGCCTCTGCCCTCCAGGAGGCTCTATAGCTTCAGATCTGAGGCCAAGAGGGCAGCACACTTGGCCTGGCTCCTCCCCCAGGGCTGCCCAGGCCTGGCTGTTCTTCCTCTCAAGGTGCCCACCGTGCCCGACTGTCTCCCTAGGAGCTGCCAGCAGCAACCTCGGGGGTCCCCTGCTACTCTTTGGGGTCCCTATGCTCTACCTGTATCTTTGCAACTAGAATGAGTCCCCCTCACTAGGGGTACCACCTATGGCTGCTGTCCCTGCCTGACACCGCCCAGGGAAGCCAAGCCGTGGGGAGGGCCTGGGCCAGCCTGTCTGGAAGGAAGCTGAGCAAAGGAGACTGAGGGTTTGTGGGAAAGTGAGGGTCGGGGTCGCAGTGAAGGAGGGCGAGTGTGGGGAGCCCCTGTGTTGAGTGCAGCTGAGAGGCCTGAGTGGGGTCAGTGCTGATGGAGGATGCCCCTTCCCTCTGGACACACAAAGGAGCACTAGGGAAGGCAGAGAGAGGCCTGGGGGTGGGGGTGGGGGTGGGAGTGGATCTCAGAGCTCAGGGCTCTGCTCTTCAGACCCCAGCTGCGGGGCCAGAGCCGTTCTGAGGGACACTGGAGACGTGCAAGGCTGGGTGATGCCTCCTATTTTACAGAGGGGGAAACTGAGGCTCCAGAAGGTAAGGGGCTGGCTCCAGGTGGAGGATGGGCTCAGGTGTGGCTGTGTCCCAGACCCCCTCTTCCCAGGACCCTGGCTGGCTTGCTGCCTGTGGGTGGTCACCAGCCCCCAGCAGGAGCCTCGAGTTTCTGGGCCTCCAGAGGGTGGGTGGGACCAGAGCCACCCCTGCCTCAGGCAAGATGGGGCTGGGGCCCATGGGGCAGGGGAGACCGCCAGGGCAGGGGTCCCCTCCCTGGGCCCCAGTGGGTGGGACAGAGGCCCCCAGGCTCCGGCTGCAAGGCGAGGCCTCGGTGGCGGCCACAATAAATATGTTTGTTCAAGGGAAGCCAGGCTGGGAGCTGTGTGCGCCGGCCCGGTGAGGAAGAAAAGGCCGCTTGTGCCTTGCACACTGGGGCGATTGTTCCTGCTCACGCAACTGCTGCCCCGTGGCCGGAAAGGTCAGACGGCCCTCGGGCCCCGTCGGAAGCACCGGTGCCTCGGGCCCCTTCGCTCGCGCCTGCTGTAACATTCGCCTGCGCTCCTCACTGCCCGGCTGCATCCACATCACCTCCAGGCCTTGGCACGGGGAGAGAAGGTACCAGGCAAGGTCTGAAAGATGGCCCAGCAAAGGCGAGGGAAGAAACGAAGCCAGGAGTCCCCTGCCCAGCCCAGGCGTCAGGAATAGTGTGGAAAGAGGAGGCCCCAGCTGGTGGCCTCAGCACCCTGAGGGAGTGGCTCTGGCCCCGAGGGTCTTCGCAGTGCCCACGGGGCAGCTTGTTTTGTGGACTATTGTTTGGATATTGGGGGATGCCAAGGTGAGGGTTGGGGAGAGGCCCAGGAGCACATGAGAGGTGCCAGCAATGCTCCTGAGGCAAGACCAAGCATCGTCCTCACCCACCAAACAGAAGGCTGAGAGGCACTGCCTGGCCGCAGCCCCGCTTCAGAGCAAATGGAGTCGACAGAGGCCACCACGCAGGCACTCCTGGCTCTCCCACAATTTAAAAACCCTAAAGGGCAAAAATCAGGAACTCAAGCCTGGTTTCCTCCCATTCCTCTGAAGGGGGAGGAAGGAACACAGGAGCCCACGGCTTGCAGGCCACACCTCGCTGGTCCCCTGCTGGCAAGGCGGCCTCCCTCTCCTCTCCTCTCTGCAGGAGACAGCTCTGTGAGATGGCTTCATCCAAAGGGCCCTCAGAATTGTGGTCCTGATGGTGAAGGCTGTGAGCAGCCGCTGCAGTGGTGTGATCAGACGCTCTAGCTGAGTGAGTTACCCACCACTGTCTTCCACCCGGAAGAGCTGGGAGATGGGGCCATAGGAGCCTCCTGGGTGGCTGGCAGAGGGGACAGGGACTCTGGACCAGCCCTCCCCTCCCTTGCTTCAGGCGCCTTTCTCTGGGCCTCAGGCCCTCCTGTGTGCGCTGCTGGGGGTGATTCTAGGAACCTGATCTCCATGACCACAGGGTCCCCCAAAAGATGGGTCTGTTCCGGAGGGCTTGCCTCAAGCAGCGAAGGGGACTCTGACATGGGAGGAAAGCCCTCTCCTGGGTGAGAACCTGGAGCCGCACCTCCTGTCCCGAGAGATGGCCGCCCTGGGTGTCCGCCTTCCCTGTGTCCGGTGCCCGAGTGGGCGTGTGGTGGGCGGCCTGCAGTGCTGGCTCCCTTTCCCAGGCCTCTCCCGCTGACACACAGCCGGAATGTGCCAGACTCACCAAGGCCTGAATTCCCGAGGGGTCTGGCATGCCGACTGTGGGACGAGGGCATTTGGGCATTGTTCTCTCCATGCAACAGTGGGGTGCATGGGCGGTGAGGCCCCTTGGATTCCGCCTGCCACCCTTGGCTTTATGAAGCTGCACCAGGTCTGACTCAGGCCTTGAGGAATTCAGCACCCCCTCGAGTGGGCACAGGGGACTGTACCTAGGGGCTGCCTCCCTCTGCCAGGCTGGGCAACGCAGCCCCTGCCGTGAACAGAGGTGCCTGGCTGCCCTCTCTTTCCCCCAGGTCCCTGAGGACCTTTGGGTCCAAGGTTGAGCTGTGAGGCCAAAGGAAGTGTTTGCTCCCAATGCAGGGCAACAAGGGCCTTCCTTTTCTATGAGCAAAGCTGGGCTCCCAGAGAGCGGCGGCTGGGAGGAGGCTGGGCCGGGGCTCTCATTTCTGTAGTTGGTTCAGCTGGGGGCAGCCTCTGGTCCATCTGGCCTGGTGCCCAGCCCTGCTTCTGGCCACAGCCACAGAGGCCTGCCACCAAAACGGCTCCAGCGTCTGTCCCCCATCCCTCCATTCTTCCCTCCTCTGCCCTTCGAAACCACCATTACTGAAGAACCCTGCGTCTCCCAGGGGCAGCCCCTCTTGGACCACCTGCAGCAGTTCATACCATAATCCGCCTCCCCCAGGGTAATGGGGCCTGGATAGGGAGACTCTGTGGCCATACAGGTCTCACCTCTGCACTGGATGCCTAGGGACAAAGTCCACCTGCCTCCTGGGGCCTCCCAGGCCCCCTGCAGTCTGTCTCTGCCAGACCCCACCACGCTGCTATTGACCGGCTCCTCCAGATCACCCCTGCACTCCCCATAAGAGAAAGAGGGAGGAAGGGAGGTTGTGAAGAGCGCAGGACAGAAGCAGAGACAAGGGGGCCGTGGGGAAAGGCCACAAGCCAAGGGAGGTGGGGCCTCCCTTTGAGCTTCCAGTGGGAACCAGCTCTGCTGGCTCCTTGAATGTAGCCCATGTCGGACATCTGACCTCCAGAGCTGTTAGATAATAAACGTGTCACTTAAAGCCACTAAGTTTGTGGGAATTCATTACAGCAGCCGTAAGAAGCTAAAATGGTCCCTCTCAAAACAGTCCTGAATCTACTACTTCCTCCTCGCCCTCCTGGTCCAGCTGCCATCCTCCGCCTGGACTAGTGCAGTGGCCTCCCTCCTGGTCTGCCAGGTCTGTCCCAGCCCCTCAGTGGTCCATTCTTGGCTCTGCAGCCAGAGTGACCCTGTTGCCATCTGCGCCAACCACACCGCACTCGGGGCCAGCCAGGGCTTCACGTGTCCTAGCTCTCGGGGTCCCAGCACATGGGTCTCCTTGCTGTCCTGCCAGCCTGTGGGCCCATCCCCACTTCAGGGCCTTTGCTGTGGCTGTACCCTCTCTCCACAATGCTCTTAGCCCTGACACCATGAGATTCACCTCGCTTTGGGGACACTGTAAGGTCCTCCACGACCCCATCCACAACAGGCCCCTTCCCCAAACCAGCCCTGCCTGTCTTTGTTTTCCCTTCCAAGCACTCTGTAGATAAATACTAAAGTGCAGCTGTCCCTCAGCACCCATGGGGACCTCCCGCAGGTACCCAAATCCACAGGTACTCAAGCCCCCGATACGAAATGGTGTGATACTGACATGGAGGCCACATACATCCTCCCATCTCCAGACCACTTACGATACCTAACAACACAAATGCTGCGTGACCCACTCTATTGTTTAGGGAATAACGACAAGACAAAAAGCCTGTACAAGTTCAGATGTTCAGCACAGATGCAACTTTCTTTCCAAACATTTTCCATCCACAGTTGGTTGAATCCATGGATGCAGAGCCCTTATACGTCTCCCATTGGTGGACATCCCTTTGGAATTTCGTATCAGTTTTGTATTGTCACTGCTGTCCCTGGCACCTGGAGCAGGCATTCAGTATTTGTGGAGTAAATGCCAACACATCTCACTTTAAGGACTTCACTATCTTCTTTCATTTAATCCACCTGGCAGTGCTACAATGTGGGGACTTTATTACCCCCATTGTATAGGTGTGGGCACCGAGGCACAGAGATTTGTCACGTCCAGGGCAGTCACTCGAGCCCGCAGCATGGCCTTAGCCCTGTGGCAGGGGGCTCAAGGGAGAAAGAGCTAGGCCAGACCAGCCCTTGCCCCTAGGCCTTGCTAAGCAGCTTCTCGGCAACAGGTCTGGACCCTCGGCCCCGGGAGAGCCCAGCTCATGGGTTCCTGGCCCGAGCGCCCTTTGTGCCCGCCTGGGGCAGGCGGGGGGTGGGAGTGTGCTACATAAACGGGCTATTGTTCTGTGACTACAGTTGCCAGCCCTGCATGCACAACAGCCCCTGTGTCTGCAGTGGCTCCCAGAACCAATCAACACCTTATCACGAGCATTAATCACCCCGCTATCTGCCCCAAATCAGGCAAACACTTCTGGGGACTTCAAACCCCTGACTGCACAGAAGTTTCTGTGTAATAATAGATTAAGTTTCTGGTGGTTCAGCAGCATCCACTGCGGCCGGCCCTCTGGGGTGCTGAGGGGCCAAGGGCTGCCAGGACCAGGAGGACGCTCTGCTCCGGCCTCAGCTCCTCCTGAGATGCTCCTCCTGCAGCTGGAGCCCTCAGGGACTTCCTGTCCCCCTGGCACTCTGGGCCAGCAGAACCCCATGCCCAACTGGCCACCCTGAGCCTCCGTCCTGTAGGCCAGCTTCTGGGAGGATGCAGTAGGCTCAGGCCCCGTGCCCTCACGCTCCCAAGGCCCGGCTCTGCTGGTGGGCTGTGCCAGAGTGTTTTAGAATCTCCTAGAGGAAGTGACCTGGACCCTAGTGGGCGGGAGGCTAGCAAGCCAGAGGCTGCAGAATTAGTAGGAAGCCAGCCTAGCTCTTGTCACCAAGCACCAACCCCCGGTTCTAGAGTCAAACGCTCGGTAGGTCCTATAGAAAAAGCAGCTAACCAGTTGGCGTTCAGCCGGCTGTGGTCCCCTGAGGGCTGGCGCCGGGTCAGGCATAGCACTGTGAACAAGAGTCCTGGCCCTGGCCTCAGAGCACAGCCACCTGGGGTCGGACTTACCCTACGAGGTGCCAGGAAGAGCCTTGGGAAGCCACAGAGAAGTCAGGGCAGAAGGGTGGGCGAGTGGCCGCTCCAGAGGTGGAGGGGGCAAAAGAGGTGAGGCCTGTGTGAGGGGAGGACAGAACCATCGGAAGTCCTGGAAGGGATTTGTGCAAAGGCCCTGGGCAAGAACACTCTGGAAGGAGCTGAAGGACGAGGAGAAGGCCAGAGTGGCTGGGGAGGGAGGAGGGGAACAGGGAGGCAATGAGGCTGGGAGGTGAGCGGGAGCGGTCACATGAACCTCACGCAGGGTAAGAGGGTTAGATTTTGCACCACATATGATGGAAATGAAGCGCTTTGACTAGCGCGGCCCCGGGGGCCATCAGATGCTCCCTCTGCCTCCACAGCAAAGCCCCACAGTGCCCACAGAGGAACGAATGCCTGGCCACGTCCCTGCCCCTTCATAGTGCAAGACGAGCCCACACCAGGCCAGGTGCTTGGTGTTGTACATCGACACCGTTGTGGAATCCTGGGCTCTGTCTGCTCGCCCTTCTGCATACAGCCCTTCTCCATTCAGCTCACTCTGCCCTAGGAGGCTGATCTCTGCAGGTTATGTCCACAAGCTCCTGGCCCAGGGCTTCAGATTGGGTCTAGCCAACTGGACCCCTGGCAGGAGGCAAGGAGGGAGGAGAGCGGATCCGGGGTGTCTGCTCCTGCTCCCTGCCGTGGAGCTGCTGGGGCCAGTTGTGAGCCTCATGTCAGACAGCCATCATTCTGTTAAGCTCAGGCAACCTCCTCCTCCTCTTTATTCCTCGAGTCTGGGGTAGGATTTCCCCCAGGGACACTACCCCATGTTCCTGCACAAGGCCTGGTGGTCCCTGACACCTGACTCACACAGGAATGATCCTTGGGTGCCGTCCTGCGCCCCACACGTAGCTACCGTGATTGTCCCTGTTTTACAGATGAAGAAACAGAACCTCAGAGAGGGCTTGAGCTGCCCTGGGCCCCTGAGCTGGGATTCAGACCCTGATGTGTCTGCCTCCAGGGCCTGAGCACATCCCCCAAGCTGCCTCCTTGTCCCTAACATCTGTAGACGCTGAGCTTTTGAGGCCTCTGTTGCTCCAGAGCCCCACTGCCCCATGGCTGCTCCTTCCTGAAATCTGGCTTATGTCTGTCTCGCTCCTACAGGGGCAGATATATCACAGGACCTAAGAGGTAGAAGCAAACCTAACAGGGCAGAGGAAAGGGCATAGCACAAACCCCCAACCAAGTGGCTTAAGTGTCCCCTCCCTGCTGCCGACCTCCATGCCCAGGGCCAACCCTTCACCTGGGGGCAGGGACAGGGCTTGGAGAGTCAGGATTGGAGGCAAATGTGTTCCCTTTCTCACTGCTTTTGGGCTTCAAGTGTTCTGCTGGGAGCTACTTGGGAGGGGCCTCTGGAAGGGCAGACCTGGCGCCCATGCCAGTGGGGCACGGGGGATACCTCTCTGCCAAGCAGTGAGGAGATGGGCACAGTCACAGGAGAAGCACATTCCATGGGAAAGCCGGCTTTAAAATCACTATTTCCCCCGTATTAAAGTCAGCTCCTATTCAGGCCAATGCAGAAAAATAAAATTTTGGGGGAAAATATAAACTACTATTCCTCCCTGCTAGGAATGGGTCATCCCCTTTTTCTCTGGCCTCAGTCCACCAGATCTTCACCGGGGTCCCACCCAGTGTCCCTCTGGACTTCTGGCCACCTCCCTCACATCAGCCATGGTGGGGCAGGGGTGGGGTGGGGGACGGCTGGAACCTGCAGTGGGTGGTGTCTCCGCCTGGGGCCTCAGTTTCCCCACTCTGACAGGGCAGCATCCATCTCCTGAGCTGTGTCTGTGCCCTTTTGGAAACCTACTGCTGGCCCAGGAAGAGCACCACCCTCACTCGACACACCGTCTGTGATCTGAGGATGCTGCAGTTCCCCCAAACCCATCCAGGGGCCCTAGGATCCTCAGGTCAGGGGGCCAGGCAGCCACTCCTTCATGAAGACTCCCGCCCATCTTGCCACGTCAGCACACATCTCGTGAGCGAGCTCAGCTTCTCTGGGCCACTGCCCGGGACCCACCCTTGGCCTGCTCCTCTGCCCTGGCCAGCTGGAAGCAATCTGCCTGGAGCAGGCAGGTGGTCCTCCTTAGTGGGCTCCCAAGAGGCCGTCCCCAGCCCTTCACCCACGCAGAGGTGGCTCTGTATGCATGGCTGCCTGGGGCCCCTTCTCTGCCGGAGTGAACCAAGTGCTCTGGAATTCATGAAGAAATCAGGGGTCTTTAGCCTGCTGTTTTTCTTGGCGAGGCCTTATCACAAATTAGTGGGGAAGCCCGAAGGTTAGGGTTTCAGTTAGTTCAGCAGAATCTGAGGAGCGGGGAGTTGGCCTCCTGCCTCTCCAAGTCAGAAAACGCTTGGCCTGTGGGGCCCCAGGGAGCTCTCAGAGCCCAGGATGATTAACCAGGCAGGTGACCTGTGCTTTGGGTGGGGGCGGGGGTGGGGCCTGGGGGAGATAGCTTTCACACAAGCTGACAGGTTTCACAAAGCCCAGTGATCTCTCGTACCTTCCCCAGGCTGCCCTCGGCTGGAGTGCACAGCCTGTGGGCCTGGGGCTTTGGCACTGAAGGCAGGGCAGGGCGCCCAGCCTCATGGAAAGGGTACGTTCGGGAAGGGGGCGAGGGCAAGTCTGACTTGGGTTCCAGGGGCAGCCCTTTGAACTTGGCGACTTCACGTGAATGCACTTCCTAAACCACAGCTAAACGCAGAGGTTCTATATCAGTAGCTCGAAGACGATTGGGGACCCCCAACCGGACAAATGGCAGGTCACCTCCACGCAAAAAGTGGGCTCTTCTGAGGAAAAAGCAGGCCAAGTTGCCTCTCCTGTTTTGGAAGGCAGGAACCCGAAAGCCAAACCACTAAGTATCCACCAGCCACTCACGAACTCAAAAAAGCTGGGAACATTTCTGGCAAGCGCTGGTCCCGTGGCTGAGCCCCCGACCCTGGAGTGTTTCACAAGTCCAGCCGTCTGTCCCGGATGGATTCTGGGAACTTGTCTTAGGCTCACCACTGGGTCTGAGCACAGATGGCCGTCGGCTTCCTCCTGTCTCCACGTCAGGAATCCGTGCCTGCCCCACCCTGCCCTGGCTCTCCCCTGGAGCTGAAACGGGTCCAGCACTGCTTCAAGACGTGAGCTTGTTTAGGAGTCATTGTCTGATGCTTCTCAGACCCTGTGCTTCTCTATTGGGCCCACAGGCTTTTCTTAAACGGACAGGGACCCTGGTGGCACACCAAGTTCCAATCCAGTGGCTCCTGATAGCCACACCAGACCCTGCCCTCGGCACCCTGTCCAGGTTACTGGATCAGTCATCTCTACCCTGTGACAGAGACCACCGTGTTCCCATTTCACAGTTGAGAACGCTGAGGCCTGGTACCTTCCAGTGCCTTGTTCCAGCTCCATACGATGGCCAGAAGCTTCAGCCCAGTGACTCCACCCTCTGTGGGTGAACTGGCCCCTTCCCCCAACTCTGAGCCCTGGTTCTGTTGCCTGTGTCTCCTTGGGCAGGTCCCCACGTCCTCCTCTGTGAGCCCAGGACAATCACAGTGTCGCCTCCTGGGGAGCGAAGTGAGAGGGAAGGGCAAGGCTTGGGTGCAGCTGCAATGGCACCCAAGGGGAGAAGCTGTGTTTCCGCGGGAAGGGGTTCCTAGTGGGGTCCTTCCTAGGTGACAAGGCCCCTTCTGCCCTCAGTGCAGCCACGGCCTTGCAGGACAGCCTGCTCGCTGCCACCCACCACTTCTCTCTCTTTGCCCTCCCACCCTCCTTCCTCCAAGGGCAGTGTTAGCTTGCCAGGGAGGGTTCGAGGCCTAGGGCTGGCGGGACAGGGACCCTGGCTGCCAGCTCCATTCCACTGTGCAGAAACCCAATCCGGGCGGGAGGACGCTGTCACTCCTGAGGATTTAGGGCCGTCACCTGGTGGAGCGGGAGGGCTCTCCTCCCTGACAGAATAAGTGGTTACATGCCGAAAGGTGACACCGCAAAGGGGTCCTGAGCCGGGAGGAGGACTGTATATCATCTGAGCCTGGATCTGTGCGTGTTTTTCTTTCTGTCTTTCCTTCCTGGTCTCCTTGTCGCGGCCCCCTGGCGATCTTACCAGAACGTCCTGGTCCAGATGTGATTCTCTATCAAAAGCCTGGGCCCCCAGGCACCACCGGAGGGGCTGTGTGCAGAGGTGGTGGGGGCTGCATAGATGGAGTACAGGGCTCTGTGTCAGACACAGAGAGCCATGTTCTGATTTCTGCTCCCCCGGTGAAAAGAGTAAATGCCTCCACGCCCACGGCAGATACAAAGGCTGAGATGCCCCATCCCTGCGGCACATCCCCCAACGTGTGACTTCCTCGTCCCGAGGTCCCCCTGGAATCCGTGACTTGCTTTGACCACCATGTCATGAGCAAATGGGACACAGAGAGGCTGGAGTACATGTGCACCGAGTGGCTGGGAACCCTGCGGCCACCAGCGGTTAGTGAGGCCCCACTAGCTAGTAGAGGAGAGGCTGTCTGCCAAGGGTCTTCTCCGGGAGCAAGGCCATCCTAGACCACTCAGCTCGGACCAGTCCACCTGCCCAGCCAACCGCTAGGTGTGAGGGATTCGAGGCTGTTGCTACTTCGAGCTGCTGAGTTTGAGGCTGGCATCCCCTCTTTGGACTTCAGGGTCCTCTCTAAATGCCACTGCCTCCAGGCCCACTGCTACAGTAAGGACAGAACAGCGGACCAGGTGTGGGGCTGCCTGTGTAGGGCTTCCACGTGCCACAGCTGCCAAGTACCACCTGGTCTCACCTAACAGCTCCTCTCTCCCTGCCCATTCAGCAAGAAGGGTATTGTCACATCCCACTTTACAGATGGGGACACCAAGGCTCTGAGACGGAGGGGCTTGCTAGGAGTCTTGAGGGTTGCAGTGTCCCGGGGGAGGCTGCGGAGCCTCCTCGTCCCTCACTTGCCCCAACGGTAAATGGGACAGGGCCGTGGGCACCTTGTCCAGGGCGGCAGGGAGTGGGGTAAGCAGCTGTGGCAGGTGTGTGGAGCACCACGGACAAGCAGCACCACACCCCTCTCAGGCCACCACGGAGGAAGGCGGAGCCAAGAGGAAGGCAGAGCCACAGAGGAAGGCGGAGCCTGTTTTCAGGATCCGTCTGGGATCCCCCCTGTCCTCTCCGCTCAGACCACCCTGGCACGGGAATGGAGGCCAGGAGGCTTTTGGGCCGCAGCTGGCCCACAAGGGTGTGAGGTGAGCCTGCCCCGAGGCACCCCAGGTGGCAGCTGCAGTGCCCAAAGACCTTCATCTGCCAGTTGGTCCTGGGAGTGACACATGCCCCCACCCCCACTCCGCTAAGGCAGCACTTGCCATAGCTCCCACTCAGAAGGGTGGCTCAGATACTGCCTCACAGGGCCCTGGTGTCAGTTGGCTGAGCCTGGTGGGGTAGAGGGAAGGAGGGAGGAAGGGTCTTGGTCACAGGGCACAGCTATCTAGGGGCAGCTTAGCCACCTCACTAAGTTCCAAGAGGCTGCCATAGCCTATTTACTAAACAGGTCATGACTCCCAACCACGTGAGAAGGGAAGCACTCTCGGTCCGCCACTGCCGACCCTGGCTACGGCATCGCTCTCATCAGCTCCCCTAGGACCTCCATGTGGCCAAACCCCACTGCCAGTTCTATTCTCAGCTTCAGTGGGACCCACCAGCCGTGGCTGACATGCTGGCCTCTCCTTCCTTAGAAAAAGCTCCTCCTGGGGGTGACCAAGCCTCCACCTTCCCGATCTCCTTTGTGAGGTCCTCCTTGATCCCTGACCTCTGAATGCTGCAGTCTCTGGGCTCAGTTCCAGGCTGCAGCCCCCATGGTCCAGCACTCAGCTCCCAGGATGGGCTGGCCTTGCCTCGTTCTGTACAAATGTCACTGCCACAGAGAGGCATGCACCCGAGGCCCGCCCTGGCCTCCCATAGTCCTTTCCTATCTTCACCCAGCCTACCTCTCTCCACCTGTCAACACCTGGTAAGATGACACATCACCTGGGACCCCCAAAAGGCAGGAGCATGCTGGCTTTGTGGCTCCCCAGCCCTGACTCACCAAGCTCAGGACCTCAGGATCCAAGCTTGATCCCAGGGGCACAGGGCTTCCCATACCCTGTGCCTGCCAGGACCATAGTAGGCTGTCTGTGTGGGCCCTGCGACCCCATGGAGGTGAGGCGGCCACCAAATGGAGGACAGGAAAGCTCGGCATGTGCCTCCCAGGGGCAGGGGGTGTGCGTAGGGACAGGCTCCTTGGGCTTGGGGTGAGGGTATCCCCAGGCAGTGGAGTTGGGTCTCACTGGAAGTCCCAATGAGAAGTCCACGGTGGGGTCTCCCTGCACTGGCAAAGGGGACAAGGCCTCTTAAAGGGGCCAAGGGACAGATGGATGGATGGACAGACAGCTCCAGGTGAACCTCCTCGGAGGCTCGGTCAGCCTCCAGCCAGGGCTGCTGCAGGCCAGGCAGGCCGAGGGGACCATCACCACCGCTGCTGTCGGAAGAGACAAACGGCCGGAGGCCTGCCTGGCGTGATCTGCAGCATCAGAAGTGGCCCAGAGTGAGTGGGTCCTCCTGAAACACCCAGGCTCTGCTGCCCCCACCAACTCTACGCGAGGCCTCCCACCCCTGCAGGCGGAGTAAAGCCTCCCAAAGGCTGCTGACCGCCGGAATGTAAATCCCTAGAAATATTTCTTGATACAATTTGCTGATTCCACTCACACCTTGGGGGTGAAACACATCCCTGGACCTGCCCCTCTTGCGAGCTGGAGACAGCAATTTGCTGATCTGCCAGCCCTCTGAGGCAGGGAGGCTGAGCTAGGACTGGGAACAGCGGCCTCGCTACAAAGCGCCCAGCGGGAGTCGGCTTATTAGCTGCCTCTGAACAAAGGCTGCAGAGGCCCGGGGGTCCCTCACGAGCAGACCCCTGCGGGTAGCTTTTCAACCCCCGAAGTGCTGCCTTTTAACTCGACCTCCACGGTAGGACAAACAGGGGGAAGAAATTAGTCGTGGATGCTGCTGGATGTTTCGTAACTTGTCGAGTTGTCTCCCTGGAGTTGGTCTGGCCCCAGCAACATGTCCCCCCGGCGTCCAGAATGGAAAACATGAGACAGGCCCCCACCAATCCCCTCCCCACCTTTTAGAAACTCTTTACAAGCTTTAAGAAACAAATACCCTTTCTTGCATCTGGGGCCTGGCTGCTGCAGGTGTCCAGGGACCGTCCATGGCTCTGGCCTGGAAAGCTGTGCCTGCCCGAGTCCCTGGAAATCTGAGAGCCCCTGGGATGAGGAAACCCTGGGAACAACCTCATCTCCCTCAGGTAGCCAAGTCCCCAGTGGCCTCGAGGTCCAGGCCAGGCCCCAACTCCCAGCAAGGCCGTTCCCCAACTCAACACCATATAATGAAGAAAACGAGGACCATTTGCCCCAAATGATCCAAGGGCACGACTTCCCATTGGCTGAGAGGGACACACTATGAACCCCACAGGTAGCATGGACTCCTAGGTTCTGGGAGCCGCCCTGCAAAAGGGGGAAGGGGCTGGTGGTGGCTAATGCTGTTTCCGTTTCAGTGGCCAAGGAGGCTCCCCTCTTCAGCCTTGACACCCAGGCTGACACCCCCAACATAGGACACTCAGAGAAGGACCCACAGGAGCTCAGAGTTCTGGACAGGTAGGGGTTAATGGCACACTGCTTGCTCTGGTCAGCCCTGGGTCCCTCTCCCCTTACAGAGAGAGGCCAGGTGAGCTTCGAGGGGGCTGCCTCTGCTTCGAGAGGCCTTCTTGAGGCCAGCAGCTTCCTCCTGGCCTTCAGCTGTCCCCAGGCAGGGCCAGCACATGCTCAGCACGAAGGAGGCCTGACTGTAGCCGGGCCCCGGAAGGCGGCTGAGCCAGGGAGTACGTGCCTGAGTGTACACATAGGATGGATGAGGAGAGCTGCCAGGACACTCAAGCCCCCATGAGCCCACCGATACTTTTTAAAGATAACAAATGGCAAGGGCACTTGGCTTCTCGATTCTTTACACATCCATCATGCCCACAGTCCATTTGGAAGACTGTGCTGTCTAACATACTAGAAGCGTCTCCTTGCAACCCTCCAGTGGGTTTGGGAACTGAACCCCACCTCTTTCAGCAGGAGCCCCTCCAGTGAGCTGGCATGGAGGGACACGGACAGTAAGGGACTTGTTTTGGGACATTTTGCAGTTTGCTACATTTGCATGTATGGTGAAGCGGCTCCACCTCCGCCCAGGCGTGCAAGGGGTCAGACCCTGGGGTCTTTTGAGTGGTTCGCTGACCTAGCTATACATCTGTGATGCAGGTTTGATCTGTGTCCATTTCCGTCTTTCTGTCACTGAAAATGATGGACTATTCGGACACCTCCAAGGGCCACAGCTACATCAGGGCTGTTTGTTTCTCTGAAACCAGCACGGTGTTTGGCTCCGAAGCTCTGCACCCAGGCCCATTCTCCAACCCAACACTGTGTGGTGAGAAACACAGGTGCCAATTTCCCCAAATGATCCGAGGGCAGGACTTCCTACACTGTCCTGCCCTGGTTTCCTTTGCTACTGCTGGGCCTTCCACCACCAGCAAGGCTCGCCAGCCAGCAGGCAGCATTTGGGTGATAACAAATGAGGGTTTTCAGCTGGAGAGGATTCTCTGACTTCTTATTTTGATCTGTGTTCTCTGAACTCTGGGATTTGTGTGCAGGGGGTGATAATGGTTTTTTTTTTTGTTTGTTTGTTTGTTTGTTTTTGAGTGCCTGGTCAACACGTCAATCACAGTCATCATGGCTCACTGCACTCTTGACCTCCCAGGCTCAGGCGATCCTCCCATCTCAGCCCCCAAACAGCTGGGACCACAGGCACGCACCACCTTGTATGGCTCTTTTTTTTTTTTTTTTGGTAGAGACAGAGTCTCGTTATACTGCCCAGGCTGGTCTCTAACGCCTGGCCTCCCAAAGTGCTGGGACTATAGGCACCAGCCTGTGATAATGGCTTTAGCCAGCACCACCTTCTGTGTGTTCTCCTAATCTTATGTACATAGCCATTGTTACCCCCAATGAGAGACAAGAAGCCTGAGACTTGGGAGGTCAGCTCTGCACCCGAGAGCACACGGCTGGAGATGGTGCTCTGCGGTTGGGGCTCCACTTGCCACAGGGCCTCCTGCCCCAGCACACACTCAGGGGCGGGAGGGGGGTCACAAGCGTAGATGAGTATCTGTGGTCTATGGTCCCTGGCAGACGCCAAGCCTTCACCCCAGGGTGGGGATTCAGTAACTCTTGGAATAGCCCAGGAATCTGCATTTGAATGGACTTCCTGACCTTAAGGTGCATGGCAGGGAGGGTGCAGACATGAAGGCCCTTACAGGCCCAGTAATGACCCGGGATGCCTGCCTAGCCAGCTCTCAGATCCCTGTAGTAAAATGGGCACCTGGATGCTGATGGGAGTGCCTGGCACAGCAGGGTCCAGGGCTTGGTCAACACCAGCGTGGACATTAACCTTTTAGTGTGGTCCTAACTGCAACTGCCCTTCCCCTGACAGATATAAGTGGCCCTAGCCCAGGTCATCTAGTACGGAGCCAGCTGGGGAGTCATGCGTCTACACAAAGCACGTAGACGACTTCTGGACAGTCCAGGCCATGCATGTGCTCCAAGGAGCCTCAGCTAGCTCAGATGCCCGAACTATCCTCCATGACATGTACGAGTCAGCCTTGCATCCACTGGAAGCCAATTCCTGGGGTTCATCATCCCTGTCCTCCCCTCTGCTCATCCACATCCTCAGAGCTGTGCCCCATGAGGCTACGGGGAGGGGCTGGTGCTGCGGGGATCAAGTTCCGGCTTCAGGAGGGGCCCTGAGGTGGAAACAGGCAGGTGAGGAGGGGGTCAGCCAGATGCAGGGAAGCCAGTCTGGGGCTAGGGATGGAGTGTGGTGAGGCACCCTAAGTGTGGGGGTCTACCTGGGGCTCAGGCCCCTGAAGCCCAGAGCAAGCACAAGGTGTGTGAGGGGGATGTGGGGAAGGACGGAGCAGAGGAAGGCAGCTGTCAGGGGAGGGCCTCTGGGCTGCAGTGGGGCTCTCAGCTCCCCCGAGGGCAGGGAGGGCCTCAAAGTGTTTAAGCCAGGACGGGGCACGCGGGTGTCAACCCGGCTCTTCCAGAAGAGGCAGCTCCACAGACATTGAACATGCCCTGAGACTACACCCATCAACAAAACAAAACAAGGTTCACTTCTGCGACAGACGCAGCTTTCGCAGCCTTCAGAAACCAAGGAAGCCATGCCAGGTGTGGTCTTTACTCCATGACCACGGCAGCCCCTAAAATGCTGGGCTAATACCCCGGGGGGCTCAAACCTGGAGGCCCTGGGGCGAGTGGGCCATCGGGGGAGAGGGGGTTCCTCTGGCCCAAGGTCTTGGACAGGCGTGTGCTCCCTGCTCTCCAGCCGCTGTGAGCTGCTTTCCTGTCTACCCGCTCTCTATCTCAGGCTCCCCAGTGCTGCCCTGCGGCACCTCCTGCCATCTGTCTTTCCGTTTCTGCTCTTCTGAAAGCTTGTGTTTAAAACAAAATTAAGAAGCCAGTTCATACGGGCCTGGGGAACTTTCCTGAATATGGGGATGGGAGGATTGGGACAGGAACGTTCCTGGGTGGGGCCGTGACCTCCCGGAGCTCCTCTCCCTCACCCATCCTAAGCCAGGCCCTGGTGGGGCAGAGGCACTTTCATTAAAAGGTTCTGGAAGAAAGCCAGGGAAAAGGGTGGAAAACTGGGAAACAGGAAGGGAAGAATTCCACCTGGGCTACCCAGAAGTCTCCCTGTGGCTTTGCTGTCTACCTTCTCAGTATGTAGATTTTGGGGAACATTGGCATACTGTGCGCAGAGGTGTGGGCTGCGATCACAGAAGCCTGGGAGGGCCTGGCTGTCGAGGCTCTCACTCTGGGGTAACCCTCAAGCTGACATCCAGCTTGTGATTCCTGCTCCCCAACAGCCTTTGAAATGGCCCAGGTGACCCGACCAAGCCGTGGGGTCTGAGGGACACCATGCCAGGCCCAGTCTGTGTCGCACTGCAGCCATCAGTGGAATTGCCTGCCCTGCCAGGAGTAGGAAGGAAGACTTGGGTTGTCTGCAAGAGCACCTGGGTCCCTGAGCAGAGCCCCGGCCACTTCATGGTGGACAAGCAGCACCAGAGGGCAGGACATCTGGGGGGCTGTTTGTCACTCAGCAGGACCATGGCTGTGCTGGCGAATACAGGGCCCACTGAACAGCTCCACAGGCACCACTGAGGTTCCTGTACTCACATAGGGGATATGCACAGAGCTCCTACTGCAGGCCTGGCCTTGGGCCAGAGTGATGTCTGCCAGTCACCCAGTATTCAGGATGCACTGGGTCCTGGCTCCTGCCTGCCCTCGGCTCCCTCCAAATGTGGGAAGAGATGGTTGCTTTGGATCCAGAACACCAGTGCTCCTGGCCTGTTCAATGCGGGCCACCCAGTTCCACCTCCTGAAGGAGAAGCACCGCGCTGCCCGTGCCTTTCACGGCTGCCTTCCGTAGTGGGGAATCTGGAGTCTCTGGGGCTTGGGGCCTACTGTAGCTGAGCGGCCCTCAAGATAAGATTTCTGGGAGGCAGGGAATGGAATTCCACCAGGCCCTGCAGAACTGAAGCTGCGTGTCCTAACACCGCTTGGCAAGCCAACCCACAAGAGCCTGGGTGGGAAGCACACGCCTGGGAAGCTGGAGCCTGGCCCTGGAGGCTGGGGACAAGGCTTTTCTGCTGAGAAAGGACACCCAGCCATTCCTCGAGAGCCTAGCTGAGGAGGCTTGGGGACTGTGTTCTGGCCAATGGGCCACCTTTTCCCACTGTGGCTTGGCCAGCTGACCACGCAGCTCCACTCCCCAAAGCTGTGCCCTAGAGGGTTCCTTGAGAGCCGCAGCACATCTGATGCAGAGGGTAGGTGTGGGCGCTTCAGCTTGGAGCTTTTTTCTGACTTCTTTCCCTAGTGAGAGGACCGCTTGAGCCTGGCCCGGAGAGGGTACATGTTGCTTTGGGGTTATTCACGACCCCTCCAAAAGTGAAAAATTGTTAAGTGATACAAACAGCCATTAATGAGGATCCGGCAACCAAAACGCTCAAGGGAGGCTAGGAATAGGGGCTCCGACCCCGGCGGTGGGGTCAGTGCTCTGCAGACAGCGCTTGCCCATTACTCTCAGTGCATGAGAGGTCAAAGGCAGGGCAGCCTCTCCCAGGGCCATTCCTCACCAAGAGGCCAGCCCAAAGGGTTTGGAGGTGACGTGGGGGACAGGTTTATGGTTTGCATCACCATGGTTCCCACTCTGGCCACCCCCTCTACCCACTCAATCACCCAAGCTCTGGCTGGTGTGGCCACCCTCAACCTCAGGAGGCTGGGAGGCATTTAGACCAGCGCAAGGCTGCGGGGATGTGGGATGCGGGGCTGCTCCAGCTGGTCAACCCTCACAGGCAGGGCCAGCTGGAATGTGGCCAGAGGGACAGGGTGTGATATGAGGGTGCCCCAGAGGGCTCCCCATACCCCCTTTGCTGGTTCCCCTTCCCCCAAGAGGTCCTTCTGTGTTTGACCACCTGGGGAGTCACAGGTTCCAAGGCTGGCAGGGGCTTGGAAGGATGGGTCCCAGGGGACCCCAGCAGGGGTGGTGGAAGAGGAAGGCTTGGGCACAGGCATCCCCAGGTACACTCCGGCTGGAAACGAAGTCTACCTGGCTGCTCTCTTCCCCCTGGGCCTTCACACATGCCCCTGCCTGAGCCAGGCTGCAGGGGGTCCTCCCTGGCCTCCCCCCATTCCCACACTGGCCAACAAAGGGTCTGGGTAATCTGCAAAGCCCCCTCCTGCCCCACTCCTGCCTGCTCTGTCCACCTTCCTGGCTCCTCCGGGGTAAGGGCCCTCCATGACACAGCCCGCAGGTCTTTACAGGTTCCCTTGAGCTCTCCAGAGAGCAGAGAGTCAGACAGAGGCTCAGCACCAAACCCCAGCTGGCCACTTTCTAGCTGTGTCTCTACTGAGGCTCCTTGGCTGTAAATGGAGCGGGTGGCATGGGGTGCCCATGCTGAGGTTCATGGGAGGATGGGTGAGGGGCATCTCATGTTTGGGTCAAGACACTTGCGGTCATCCTCGCCAAGTATCATCAGTGGCATTACCGCCGGACCCCACCCTGCTACTCCTCACCAGCACCAACCACCGGCAATCTGCCCAGCTGCACCCTGGAGCTCTGCTTGTGTGACACCTGGCCCTGGCTAGGCCCCTCCTGCAGGCTCCCCCCTGGCTTTGTGCCCCCATTAGAGTATCCAGGTAACACTGACGAGCTGGAGAGCATGTGTCCTGAGGGACCCAGAAGTCAGGTCCCCAGGACCTCCATTCTTTCTGAAAGGCACCTCTGTCTGCATCATTCCCTTGCTTGGGGAAGGGATGCCACCATTGGAAAGATGACGACGATGCTGCAGCCACCCTCAAGATGCTCTCCTACCCCTACCACCCCGGCCCCAAGGGCTTCGTGTCCCTTTCTGGGATGCTGGCTACAGCTGGTGCCTTCACCTCCCAGGCGTTTGCAGGTGCTATGTCCGCCACCTGGCATGCCGCTTCCTCCTTTGAGATTCCACCTCTGTGAAGCCTGGCCTCGCCCCCCACACCCCATATGTCCACCCAACACTCCCTGCAGCTGTGAGCTCCTCCATCTATCTAGAGCACCTATGGCGTCACAGCCCTGTGCCCAGCCCTGGGGATTCAGAAGTGCACAGGGGAAGCAGAGAGAAGACAGTTCTCACTGATGGCAGAGGGGCTGTCCAGCTGCCCTGACTCCACTGCCACCACACTTAGCCCTACCCCGGGAGCCCCAACCCAGGAGAGTACCAGAGCCTGTGGCCCAGCAGGCAGCTCGCCCATAGTGCCTGCTGCCTCTCACGGGCCTGGGAGGGGGCTGACCTTGCGGCTCAGGCCATGTGAGGTGAGTGGGCTGCCAGGGAGGTGAGGCCCAACCCCCCCATGAGATGCGGAATGCTGGAATGCTCCCATTTGACTTATCCTGTGGATGAGATGGAGACGCAGGACCTCTCCAGCCTGGGCACTGCGCCTGCCCAGGACTGTGCCCTTCAGGGAGCAGGCCCCAGCAACAGGAGAGGCTCGGAAAGAGTCCTGGCCCGCATCCTTGGCGCTCTATCTCTGTGGAGACTGCCTGTGTGGGGGAGGGCTGCAGGCCTGGGTGCCCCAAGGCGCCCCCCACACACCCCTGAGTGGCAGCCACCTGGAGCTCCCTGAGTTAGCAGGAACCGAGCAGGAAGCAGAGAACAAAGGCGCGGCAGTGAGCGGCGTGCTGGGCCATCGTGTCTGCAGGGCCAGGCTCCGAGCGCGCGTTTGCCCATCTGGAAGCAATATTGCAGTAATGTAAGACGGCCAGAATACGGTATATCCTCTGAATCCATGAACTCTACAGTGAGGAATATGGATTTAATGGATAATCTTACCAGCAGCCAAGAGAACCCAGATTCCTCCCCAGGCCTTCACCCGGCACTTGGCTTCTCCTGCAACCCAGCTCGGCCAGAGGCCCGCAGAGCCTGTGGCTGTGGCCTCCAGAACAGGGGCCGACCCATAATGTCAGCTCACTTTTTTCTCTTGCTGGGTGGGTCGAGGGAGAACAGAAACCTATCCACGGCCAACAAGGGTGCCTGTCCTCCAGACCCCCTTCCCACAGTGGGAAAAATTCAGCTGGAGAAAGTGAAGAAATAATGGGGATGGCGATTAATCAAAATCTACAATGGCTGTGACTTGTTCTGGAATCTGGGGGAGAAGAAACCATTTCTGTAGCTCTTCCCAACGTAATATAGCTGGAATAATAAAATAAAACAATAAAAACCACAGCGGAAAAGATGACTGGAGAGTTTTTATGGCGAGCAGCAGAGGAAGAGCCCAGAAGGCCTGAGAAGCGCAGTGAACAATGTGATTCAGGGAACGTTTCCAGGGAGCGGAGGAGGAGCGGGATGCAGGTCCGGCTGGCTCGGGACACCAAGCAAGTAGGGGCTCCAGGCTGCTCAGTCCACGGAAGCCACATCCCAGGCATGGTCCTGGCCCCTCTCCGGGATCTCATTTCAGAGGCTCATTAACCCTAATGTAAAATCCCCCAAATACCAAATGCTTCACAAAGTTGTTAATTTCATGGGGAGTCGTTAGCCTGCTGCCTTCTGGGTGCCCCATGCCAAGGGGTGGTTCCTCATACTTACCAGGTCTCTGGTTCCTCATACTTACCAGGACCCCTGCCCCACCCTGTTTACAACCCGGGTGTCTTCCAGGGAGCTGATCTTGCTCTGACAACTGCCTTGGAGGGAGGCGGGGGCTGCAGTCCTTCCATTTCCCATGCTGCCTCCTCCCTGTGTCCAGCCCCCAAACTCTCTAGGAGATGCCATGTGTGCTCCCAACCCAGAGGCTGTGAGGGAGTCCCGTGCAGAAAAAGTGCAGGAGCCAGGGGACTCTGGCTTTCCAGCCACTGGTGTGGTTGCGGATGGCAAGGAAGGCTGAGGCTGGAGTGTCCACAGGGCTCTCCTGTAGGCCTGAGCAGGGATGGGGGCCTTAGCCAGCCCCTTCTTCATGTTCCAAGGGGAATATGGAAGCCCCTAAGTCTCCTCAAACCACCTAAGAGAGAAGAGTGTCTAACATTTGGGCCGCCAGCATGCATTCAGCTGGGGCGGTGTCTGGCCTGGTGGCTTCGGGAATATGTGGGCGAGATCTCCACTCTATCCCTAAATACCTCACTATGATTACTGGGGGCTCTGCTCTGAGTCTCCCCACAGCTTTCCAGGGGATGGCTGGTGAGTCTAACATCCCCCAGGCCGGACTCCTGTTCCTGCCCCATTTGCACCCCAGCCCCAGCGAGGGTTGTGATGATCTCCTGAGGCCAGGCTGCCCAGCTAGAGTCTGCTTCCCCCAGGCAGGGGTCACCAGTGTCAGTCCATCCCACACGGTAACTCCCACATCTAGTAGAGGGCCGGGCACCCAGAAGGCACTCAATAAATGCAGGGGGTGTGGATGAATAGAGAGCCGGCAAGTGTTCATGGCTTAAATGAGATGCAAGCACAAAACCCCACTCAGGTTTCCAAAGGGCTAGAAAGCCGTTACCTCCTTGGATCCTGGCCTCTCCCTGGCTCTCTGGGAGGCAGGGAGCACAGAAACGATTTCTCCTTTTTACAGATGGGTAGAGATTCAGCAAGGCTGGGCATACCATTTGGCAGTGATCCAATTTGGTCCAAAAGGACTTGGCTGTGTGCTGCCCAAGGGGATGGACACAGGTGAGCAGGTGAGCAGCCCCAGCCACCTGCCACCTGCCATGCCTCAGGGCCAGCCTTTCCCGTGAGCCAACTCTGCCTCCCCTCAAAGGCACCCTCCTCAGAAGCAGTGCCAGGACCCTCCCTCCTAAGTCTGCTGAGTGGATTTGAGACCCTCGAGTTGAAAGGAAATTTGAAAAATAAAACTCCTTTGTAAGCTGCCAAAGTTCTATTTCCCTGGTGGTAAAGCCTTAAGATACCTCACTTAGTTTAAGCACAGTTTACCGATTGTGAGGTCTGACTGGGAAATAGCTCCATTGTACCCACAGACCCTCTGTGGGACCCTGTGCCTTGTGCATGGCCGTGGGGTACAGAGGTTGGTGGGATAGTGGAGTCACCCTGGCCTCCGAGAGCCCCGTTCTGGGCAGGCGACACCCAAGGTTGAGAAGATTCCACAAGCTGCCACAGAGCACTTGGATAAGATGGTGGCTCAGTAAGCCCACAGGAGGTGTTTCATGACGGCTCACAGAAAAGGGAGGAGAGAGAACACTCCAGGCAGGATGCAGGATGTGCAAAGACTTGGGCAACAATTAGTGCGCAAGACAGGAGACCACAAAGAAGCATTACCAGAAGCCAAGGGCCTGAAAGGGGCCATGAGCCCTGGAGTCGGGGAGAGACTCCAAGGGAGATGGGCTGGAGGATGGGCAGAACCCAGTACATGGGGAGGAAGTATGGCTGCCAGTCACTGTCACACAAAACCCTGTAGGATTTACAAAGTAGTGCAAAAACTATACTGAAAACTATGAGATATTCTTGAACCAAATTTTTAAAAATCCAAATACAATGAAATACATGCTCTTGGATTGGAAGACTTAACACATTGTTAAGATGGCAATACTCCCCAAGTTGACCTACAGATTCAATGCAATCCCTATTGGTATCCCAGATGGTTTCTTTGCAGAAATTGACAAGCTGATTGTAAAATTCATATGGAAATTCAAGGGACCCAGAATAGCCAAAATAATCTTGAAAAAGAAAAACAAAGTTGGAAAACCCACTTTCCAATTTTAAAACTCACTACAAAGCTATAACAATCAAGACGATATAGTACTGGCATAAGGATAGACAAACAAATCAATAGAATAAAATTGAGAATCCAGAAATAAACCTTCATATTTACTGTCAACTGATTTTTGACAAGGGTATCAACATCCTTCACTGAGGAAAGAAGAGTCTTTTCAACAAATGGTGTTGGGATAACTGTCTATCCACATGACAAAGAATAAAGTTAGACCCCTACCTCACACCATATGTTAAACTAACTGAAAGCGGATGAAAGACCTAAGTGTAAGAGCCAAAACTATAAAATTCTTGGAAGAAAATATAGGGGTAAATCTTTTTGACCTCAGATTACATGTTGTTATTTAGTTATGACACCAAAAACATAAGCATCCAAAGAAAGAAACAGATAAATTGAACTTCATCAAAATTAAAAACCTTTGTGAGTCAAAGGACATGATCAAGAAAGTGAAAAGACAACCCACAAAAAGGAAGAAAATATATCTGATAAGGAACTTGAATCTAGAATATAAAAAACTTATATCTAGACTATAAAGAACTCTACTAAATAATAAAAACACAACCCAATTAAAATTTGGGCAAAGAATTTGAATACATACTTCTTCAAAGAAGAGATACAAATGGCTAATAAGATGCTCAACATCATTAGTCATCGGGGAAATGCAAATCAAAACCACTAGGAGATATCACTTCACACCCACTAAGATGGCTAAAATGAAAACGGCAGACAGTAACAAGTGTTGGTGAGAATGTGGAGAGATAGGAACTCACATACACTACTGGTGGGAATGCAAAATGGTGCTGCCACATTGGAAAACAGTCTGGCAGATCCTCAAAAGGTTAAATATGGAGTCACCATATGACCCAGCGTTTCTACTCCTCTGTGAATACTCAAGAAAAATGAAAATCTATGTCCACAATAAAAACTCGTACCCAAATGTTCCTGGCAGTATTATTCACTAATAGCTAAAAAGTAAAAATGGCCCAAGTGTTCAATGAATGAATGGATAAATAAAATGTGATAATATCCATAAAATGGCATATTATTTGGCCCTAAAAAGGAATGAAACACTGATACATGCTACAGCATGAATGAACCTCGAAAACCTTAGGCTAAGTGAAAGAAGTCAGCCACAAAAGTCTGCTTAGTGTGTGATTCCAGCTATGTGAAATGTTCAGAACAGGCAAACCCGTGGAGATAGAAAGCAGAGCCGTGGCTGACTGGGGCTGGGGAATGAGAGAAGGGAAGTGGGGAGTGACGGCTAAAGAATGCAGGGTTGCTTTTAGGGGCACTGAAAATGTTCTGGAACTAGATAGTGTGATGGTTGCGCAACTCTGAACGTACTAAAAACCGTTGAATCGTACACTTTAAATGGGTGAATTGTATGGTATGTGAATTTTATCTTAATAAAGCTGTTACAAAAACAAAAATGAACACCAAAAAATACAAAATAAAAAAAAAACAGCCCTGCAGGACCGTAGCACCAGAGCAGACACCGAGAGTGGCTCCCAATTCCAGGAAGCCCCCGCAGGTCCTGGCGTCTGAGCCTCTGCCCGCTTCTTGCTGCACGGTTCCCAGGTTTGATATTTCTCATGCTGAAAGCCCAGGAACAGGGAGCCAGAAGTCCTCTGCAGCTGGGGCTGGGGGGTGGGGGTGGGGGGGGCCTGGAAGCCGTGCAGGAGAGATGGAGGCTCCCACGCTCCAGGGCCAAGCTGACGTGACTAAAGCTAAACAGACCCCGTGCCACAACAGGGTTACAGCGAATTCTGTGCAGCACACTCAGCCGCTCGCCAGTGATGGCAGCCTCAGGGAGGGGCGGTGGAGCAGGCAGCCCCAAAGGTAATTTGCACACGGAGTTTATAAGGCCCCTCAGCTCTTTTAAACATATGCTTCTCTGATTATAAACAGCTGATGGCTCACAAGATTCAGATTTTCCAGCAGGGCTTCCAAAAAAAGATTGCACTCCAAGCAGAGAAAGGTGACCGGGTGCTTTGCCGCAGACGTAAATCCAGCCATGTTCTCGCACAGCTGGAGCTGCCCCTGTTGCCAGGCTTCGAACATGTCACATCTTTAAAATGTTTGCTGCTATTGACATGTCCCAAGGAGGGCTTTAGCCCTGGCCATTGGCCTGGGGAGAGAACAGGGAGATGGAAATGGACCGCCCCCCGCAACCCGCGTATAAACTGTATCTTCTGCCTCCTAAGAGCTGAGGCTGCCTGAAACCCTCACCTCTTGCTCAGAGGTGCTTAGACCCAGATCAAGGGTCAAAATTAGAGGCCCTGGGGTGAGTCTTCTGGTCACTGCCCACCCTGTGCACCCCAGGGGTCTCCGCACCGACCCTCTTGGGGTTGGTCCCTTTGCTGCCTGCCTGGCCCACCAGGGGGATAAGCCTGGGCTCCACCTCCAGCCTCCTCAGCCCCACCCTCCTCGGGGGCTGTGGGTGCCCTGAAGAGAAGTTACAAAGAAAAGAAAGGAGCAGGGAGCAAAACAGAAACGCCAGCAAGGAGCCTCAGGACCACGTGCCTAAGTGAGCTCCCAATTCACTGCTTTGCCAAGTTCCGCTCAGCCATGCCAGCGGCCCGGGCCGCAGACACCAGTGAGGAAAGGGATCCTGTTGAGAAGAGTGTCAAAGTCAAGTCTCCAAAGCGGCTGCTGAAGAAGTGTGCACGGTGGGTTCAGGAGCTCTCTCCCTACTGAGGAAAGAGTCACAGAGGACTCCCCAGCCCAGTTCCATAAAAAACAATGTTGTGTTCAAGTGGAACAATTCATGAGCGTGGTCTCCTGGGTGCCCCCGATCTTGGCCATCTGTTTGGGAAATCTTGGGAAACAGGGGAACAGCCCTGAGGGGCCTGGTGCTTTGGGAGGTTGGCTGCCCACACCACCTCCTCGACCTGTGCACATTCACCCGGCCACACACAGGAACTCTGGGGGGTGGCACATGCAGGTTCGGCGCTCAAGAAGCCAAATGTGGGCCAAGGCACACCTGCCCTGTCCCCCATGCTCCATGAAAGGAGCTGCCTCTGCAAACAGGGGCTGTGTCCCTCACACCAAGGCCGTGTGGCAGAGGGGGAGGGATAGACCCTGGCTCCAGGATACCCAGGTGCAGCCCAGCTCTAGTAGCTTCTACATCCTAAGGCCTGCCCAATCCCTTGACCTTGCTATGCCTCAGTTTTCCCATCTCTACAGTGGGTGGTAGTGTGGATGAAGCCCTCAGAACCATGCCTGACATACTAAGTGCTACAGGACTAATTGGGAGATAAACAAAGCCTCCCTGCTTGGAGTGTGCCAGTGCACATCCATTTATCGCTCTCCTGGGTCCAGGCTGCTCTGAGAGCCTGGCAGGTCTCAGAGCTGGACCTATGAACTGACGGCCCAGAACACCAGCTAGGAGTAAGGTTGGAGGCAGGGGCTGCCTGGGGGTGGGGTGGGGGCACAGTCCCCAAAAGGGAGGGCTCTTGGAAGAGTGGTGGCAGCTCTGTGCCCAGGCAGGGCCTGACTAGGGCAGTTCTGTCCTGTTCTGTAACTTGCCTCCTGAGGGCTAAAGGAATTTCTCAACACTGCAATGTCTGCTTTTTATTCCAGTGGACGTTACAGCAGAAGCAATCCCTGCTTCTGGCACAGGCCTGTCCCCAAGACCCAGGGATAAGAGAAAAACAGTAGTGAGCTTTGGTGCTACTTCTCATCCACCTACAGCATCCCATCACCACCCCATCACACCTGCTCCCCCTTCTCTGTGGCTGACCCCAAGAGGGCCCTTTGACATTCCTGGGCATAGAAAACAAATTTGGGACAGAAGTGGCTGTTGAGAACCCCGCTCCTGGTCCTTGTGGGTGCTGCCCTTAGCCTTATCCATGTCCCAAGGAAATGGATTTGGTGTTCTCTTGGGGAGAAAAGGTCACCCGTTACATTTCCTAAATCACATTCCAACTGTCAGTTTCTCCCACCCATCACGCACCCTCTCCACCCACTCCACCCAAAATGCCACAGCTCTCTGCTGCCTTAGAGACTGCAGGAGTCAAAACCGCTCTCCTTTCTGGGAGTGGGACCTGCACCGGGGAGTGGTTCTCACGAGGAGCCTAGGTTAAGAGCCACTGGTCTGGTGGGCAGAGTTCAAACTCTGCAAGAGCAAAGACATGCTATGTATGCCTGGGGTGGGCATGCTACCTGGGCACAGTACTCTTTCTCCTGGGAGCCACCAACCATCAGTAAAAGCCAACAGGTAGGCTGAGCCCACTTTGCTGCCCCTGACAAGGGTCAGACTAAGCCTGGTGAGAGTGGGTGGCTCTGTCAGCTGGCCTTTGCTGTGTGACAAGTCACCCTACAGCTTCATTCCTAAAGCAGCCCACATTTATCATCCCACATGGTTTCTGTGGGCGAGGGATCTGGGGGTGGCTTGGCTGGGTGGTTCTGATCTCCTGTGAGGCTGCAGTCAAGGTGTAGACCAGGGCTGCTGTCTCATCAGAGGTTTGACTGGGGCTGGAGGATCCACTCCCAAGCTCATACAGGAGGCCATTTATAGGAGGCCTCAGTTCCTCACCACAGGACCTCTCCAGAGGGCTGCTAGTGTCCTCACACCATGGTGGCTGGCTTCCCCCAAAATCAGTGATCCCAGTGAGAGGGCAGGGAGGCTGCAAGGCCTAGTCTTGGAAGTCATGCTCTGTCACTTCTTCCATATTTTATTTGAAAGAAGCAAATCACAGTCCAGCCAAAACTTAATTAGAGGGGAATTAAGTGCCACTTCCGGAAGAACGGATTGTCAAAGGCCTTGTAGACACATACTAAAACCACCACAGCCACACGGTACCCCAGGTAGGTTTCCCTTTCTTTCCCATTCTTGTCTTTTTCCTCCAAATTACATCCATCTTCTGAGCCTGCCTAGCTTGATTAGAATATTCTCTTCAGGTTCTCTAAGGACCTTTACTGCCAATGACTCTGCACCCACTGCTCACCAGAGGCCTGGTGGGTTTCATTTCAGCAGCCTCACCCTCTACAAGTACAGAGCTGGGAATGGAGTAGGCTCTCTGCAAATATCTGTTCTCACTACAAATACCGATCCAGGGCCTTTTAATGCGTAAAACAAACTATAACCACCAGAGCGACAGGGATGGGGCTTTTTGTTAACACCTCTCCCAGGACTCAAGAGATAATCAGAAACAACTTCCCAGGTTGGCCCTGGCTGTGGCAATGTCCTCAAAGGCCTGGGCCCACTTTTCCCTGGCAGGCTGAGGGGATTGTTCTTGGCTGGGGGGCAGCTGTGGAAGTGGCAGGCCTGCACAGGAAGGGGGGCACACACCCCGAGCTTGGGATGCTTTGTGGGAGGAAGCTGCCTCTGGAAGGTGGTGGTAGAAAAGGCCCTGCAGGCAATGGGTCTGGCAGGCCCAGTTCACTTCATTTTCCCACCCCCCCGTGCCTGGCACCCAACCAGGCCCCAAGCAGGTGCTCAGGAGACAGCTGCTGAGTTAACCCGCGTCGAAGTGGGGGCTCTGGGAGAGTTGGGTTCGGCTAATCAAGGCTTGGCTGAGCAATGCCCAAACATATACACACACAGCACAGCTGCCCTCCCAATGGGAACTGGCCCACACCCCGTGCTGCCACTCATGGAGACCGCCTGAACTCCAGACCCCCCACCCGTCTGGCCTCACGTTATCACTGACCCCAAATGCAGGAACGCAAATCTGCCTGTGAGGACAGGCTGGGAGTGACCCTAACACAGCACTGTTGTCTGAGGGCATTCCCCGAGCAGCCCATGCTGAGGCTGCTCTTGCATGGGGGCTGAGACTGTCCTGGAATGGGGGATTCCCTGAGGGAGCAGGACCTGCATCTGTCACACTCTGTCAGCCTGAGCCGTGTGCCTCTCCCTGGGCCTTGGGTAGCTAAGACGGCAATGGACACCACAAACAGGCCATGCCACAGGGTGACAGTGCCCCAGAGCCACAGAGTTGTCACTGCAGCTGGGTGGAGGGATAGGGTCTGACCCCACTATATCCAAGCCAGATCTTCAGAAACCCTCCAAACCCGTCCTTCCCTTGGGCTCGCTCGTGGTCATACATGCACTAGGCTGCTACCCCTGTTGGATGCTGAGGGCTACCTTAAGCTCCTCCCTGTCCTCAGCCAGAAGTCTAGACAAAGTTGCCGCCTGAGGGAGCCCAGCCTGGCACTTCTCACACCTCCACAGATGCTCGCTTTCTCCAACCCTCCCATCTCTCTCACTGGGTGACGGCAAGTCCCCCGTAGTCTTCCCCCTCACCCTGCTGCCTCTCTTCAGTTCTCTCTCTGTTCAGCAGCCAGAGTGACCTTTCTAGAAGGGAGATCTGATCCTTGGCACTGCCTTGCCCAAAACCTCCTAGAGACTCCCCACTGTGCCTCCCCTCTGACGACAGCCTACAAGGCCCAAAAGGACCCAGAGCCTGCCCATCCTGGTGGGGATGTGATTTGGGTGGGGACATGAGTCCATGCCACCTGTGGGTACAGCAGAGACCTGGGGCAGGAAGTCAAGTAAACATGTCTCAAAGGAATAGCCGTCTCATGGGCTCAGTGGGAACAGAGTTGACAACAGGCCCATGTACCTGAAACCATCAAGTTGGAAGGGAAGCCCCAGTGGAATGCAGGTGCAGGCGACACACAGGCCACAGGAGGCGGAAGATTCTGGAACAAGGACATGGGCTGCAGGGTCAGCAGAAACCTATGACCAGTGAAGGAAGAAGGTGGGCGTTGCAGGATCACAGAGCCCTTACCCAGGACAGCTGCAGTGGTGGGTGTGTGGACCAATGCATGCAAAAAGCCTCACTGAAGGGGACCGAGGAGGGGCCACAGACTGCCAACTGCAAGGGCTGACCTTAAGAGCAGGCTTCCTGGCAATGCATCAGCCACTCAGGGATAACCCTGAGGTCCTAACCACCCCCACTCCCCCACGTTCCTGTCCACTCCTGAGAGCAGCGTGGGGTGGGGCCTTTCTTCAGATGGACTGCGGAGGCTGCCACGTGGCCCTGGGCCTCTCAGCTTCCGAGGGAAGCAGCAACTTGGGAACCTGGCTGGGTCTGAAGATGGTTCCACCCTTAGACTCCGAGGGTGGGGGCAGGGTAGGGAGAGAATTGAGGCCCACAGAACTCCTTGGCCAGGGCCTGCCACACATCCTGCTGCTTGGGTGAGGGGCTCCCACAGCAGTTCTTTCTCCTGCCTTGCACTGCAGAAGAGGACTGGTGTTTCCCCTGGGACACCGCCGGGGCTCTGGGCCCCATCTGCACTTCTGTGCTGGCAAATGCAAAAGAATTAGCTCAGCAACTTCCTCCCCTAATCCCCCACCCCCACTCTAAATACCTTGGAATCAAGAGAAAAGCCGAGTGGACGTTTTGAGCCTAATTCTCTTCAGCTGTGAGTGCGTGTGTGCGTGCGTGCTCTCGGGTGCACAGGCTTGCAAGGGAACCTTTTGAACCCCAAAGAGTAAAGCTGGAGGGAGTGCAAGGAACGCTAGCTCAGCCCCTACCATGTACAGATGAGGCAAACCAGACACAAAAGGAGAATGGGACCTGCCCTCTGTCACGTGGGGAGCTCAGGGAGTGGCCACCAGGTGCCCAGGCTCTCTGTCTCACACCCACCCCTGCAGCCTTGAGTCCCAAGAAGGTGACAAGGTGCAGGCGCCAAATTTCAAAGCCTTCCACAACCCACAGAACAATTCAGAAAGGGAGCTGGCCGTGACTGCAGCCCCCTCCCAGAATTCTGCCATGGTGCCCAAGGCCAGCCCTGGGCTCACCTCCCAGCCTGCCTGGCAGCCCCCATCTGCCTCTGGGGCTGGCCTGGAGTCCGCCCAGCCTCACATGCTTCTCTAGCCAATTCCCACGTGTCTCTTGTCGCCCGACGAGACAACAAACCCCTCTCAGTCTCGGCCTGTTTTCCTCTCCACTCTTCCCCCAAAGGACTAGAGGAGGCGGGAGTGGGGGCACACAACAGGTGCGCTGGGCTGGCAGGCGGCGCTGGCTGATTGACGGCACCCCGTGTGTGGCGAGGGGGTGAGGAGCAGAGGACATAGGACACAGAACTGTCCTTCCTGACCACGTCTGGTGAGCTGGTCACAAACAATAGTGACAGGCTCCTTGGCCTGGCAACCCCACTGCTAAGAGTACTCAAGGAGACCTCACACAAGCACACAAGGTGAGGTGCCCATGGAATATCACAGGCGGGGAATTTGTCAGGGAAAAATCCAAGTGCCCAGGAGCTTGGGGTCTGAGGTTCCAGGGTTAGGTAGAGGGTGGAGGCAAGCCCAGAACATGAAAATCTATATAAATGAATCAACTACTTGTAAGATATGTCCCCATCCAGGCCCACAATTAGAACCCACAGTTTTGTTAAGTGTAAGACCAAATAAGCTCAATTTTCATGACTTTACAAATCAGTTTTCAAGATAAAAATCCTAACCAACACCCTTTGTCACTCTTTAGTAGGAGGGTGGACACCATTTTAAGTGAAATTGATTTAGGGAGCTTTTCAGCCTGTGTTCGACATCCTTGGAGAACACAACAACAAAGGCTGGGAGACAGCTCTGTGTCCAAGAGCGAGGACTGAAGGAGTCCACCAGGCTACCTCCTCCATCTGATGCAGCTAACAAAGGCCCAAAGAAAAATGGCCACGTTTCGAAAATCTGTCTTTCCCACCAGAATGTAAACCCCACATGAGTGGGACTTTTATTCTGGTGAAATCTGTGAAATGACTCTGAAGACCTGGGATCCTGCTCCCCTGACCTCCTGGGGAGGTAGAAATGGACATGCAGGGAGGGTGATCAGGGGAGGATTCTGGCCTCCTGAGGAAGGCTGAGGAAGGCCAGAGGAGGCCTGGGGGCCACAGTGAGGCTGGAATTGAGCTGCACCCCAAGCAGCAAAAAGGAGCAGGACAGGGGCCTGAGGCCACCCTCAACTCAACATTCCTGACCCTGTCTTCTCACATAATCTCTCTCGTTTCCTATCTCAATGGCTCCAAGAGGCTGTCAGCATCACCTCCATCCTACAGGCGGGGAAATGAGACTTGCAGGTATCTCTGCATTGCAGAGTCCAGGCCAGGGTCAGGACTCCAGCCCTGCCCTGCTCTTTTTGGTCAGGGGCAGAGAATAATAGTGGTCACTGAGTGGGAGTTGTGATCCTTTGGATGTCAAGAGAGAGGCTGGGCACAGAGGAAGCAGGCAGACAGGCAGCTGATAATCTGTCCTGAGGAGGCAGGAAGGTGGGAAAGCCACTTGGGAGCTGAAGTTCCAAGCTCCATTTTCCCCTCAGACTTCACTTCTAAAACACAAGTTCAAAGATAGTAACTATCAAGAATTTCAAGACAGTGACATTATAGCGTGAAACCCTGAGTCTGGGGTGCACCTGAGCACTGGCTCTGAGTGATGGCACTGGTTGCACAGCTGCCTCTCGGACAGGCAGATGACAAAAACTTCCCAGCTAGATAGTGAGGGTGGACTGCGCCCTCTGATCAGACACATGAACTCCCTGGGCCAGTGCGAAGGGACAGGCGCCCAGGGGATGTGTCACTTGTGCCCAGATTGCCTGTGGGCTGAGCAGGAGGCAGGGAGTGGACTCATCTGGGCGTCGTTGCTGAAGGCCTGAAAGGAATCACTTGCTGCCTGAAAAAATGACACCATTTTCTCTTTCTCTTCTGGGCTGAAGAACAACAAAACCCCCAACCCGGTCACCCTTGGAGAGAGATTCCTGGCTCTCCCGTAGACGTATATTTTCGGCAGAGGCAGTGAAGATGAATGGCCTCCTTGCGTGCCTTGGTGGGGGGACGGCTGGCTCGCTTGGCTGGCTCCAGCCTCCCCCTTCCTCCTGTGTTTGAGGTCAACCCTGGGTTGGGGTTGTAACAACTTTCGAGAACATACCCAGAGTCCTGCATTCCAACACTGTTTTTGCAGTCCACATGGAAGGGCCAAACGGCCCCCAGCCTTGCCAGGGAAGCCTCAGGGTGTGAACTTCTAGAGGGGGCTTTTGTGACCCAGGCTTTTGTCCCCGGAGTTTATGGCAATGCTTGGCATTCAGAAGGCGCGCGCCAGCGGCGCGGAGGGGACGGACAAGGGGAGGGGCCGGCAGACGCGGTCAAGTGTCACGCCCGGATGGGGGATGGGAGGTGGGCAGGGCGGGCCCGGCCGGGCGCTGGCAGGCGCGGGGCGCCCTCGGCGCTGCCCTTTGCCAGGTGGGTGGCCTGGCATGTCCCGGCCACCCCTGCCACTCACCCCCTGAGGTCCCAAGTCCTCAGGGGTGAGCGGCAGACACGGGTGTTCCAGGCACAGCAGTGGGGGCTTCAGAACATCCCGATCCCCTGCATGGACCCGCTGGGAGGGGGGAAAACGCCTCCCGCACCCGGTGCCACGGCGGTGGAGACCTTGCCCGGGTTCGAGGGTCGCTGCAGCGGCGCCGGCGGAGGGGCTGGTCTCGGGCGTGGCCTGGACGCCCACAGGCCTCCACACCGAGGGCCCACAGCAGTGTCGGGGTGCGGCCGCTGTCCTCACGCGGTCACCCCGGGGTGGTGAACACATCACGCAGAGAACTGGCCCGTGTCTCCAGCTCACCCCGGCGATGCCAACGCTGAGGCTGGCGCTGGCCCCGGCCCCCGGTGGTGCTCAGGGACGACGGGTGGGGGCAGGGAGGGCGGCGGCTCGCGCCACCTCACACCCAGCCAGTGCCTCATGCGGCGCTGGACCCGCTGGGCCAATCTGAGCCCGGGTGGCATCAAAACGAGACTCTTTCGGCCAATGACAGGACACGGCACATCACTTTCCGCACCCAGCCAATCCGTGCAGCAGCCCGCCGCAAGCCTTCCCCTGCTGCCGCCCAATCAGCAGGTGGGGGGCGGTCGCCACGTCGGCAGCGGCGGGGGCAGTCGGAGCGCTGCCGCAGTCTCCAGGCAGAACGGTCGCCGCGTCGCCTCAGCACGGACCTCCAGGGAGCTCCTCAGCAAGATCCTGCCAGGGCGCCCCTCAGCGCGATTCTGCCGGGGTGCCTCTCAGCGTGGTCCTCCCCGGGGCTCCTCAGCACGATTCTCCCGGTGCGCCCCTCAGCGCGGTCCTCCTCGGTGCGTCAGTCATCGTGGTTCTCCCCGGCGCGCCCCTCGGCGCGGTTCTCCTCGGGGCTCCTCAGCGCGGCGCTCTTCTGGGGGCTCCTCGGCGCAGTTCTCCCCGGGGACTCCTCGGCGCCGTTCTCCTCGGGGCACCCGGGGCTTTTCGGCGCGGTTCTCCCCGGGGGTTCTTCGGCGCGGTTGTCCCCGGGGGTTCTTCGGCGCGGTTCTCTCCGGGGGCCTCTCGCCGCGGTTCTGTTCTCCCCGGGGGCTCCTCAGCATGGTTCTCCTCCGCGCGGTCCTCCCTGGGCCTCCTCAGCGCGGCACTCTCCTGGGGGCTCCTCAGCGCGGCACTCTCCCCGGGGGCTCCTCAGCGCGGCACTCTCCCGGCGGCTCCTCAGTGCGGTTCTCCCAGACTCTCCTCAGCGCGGCCCTCCCCATCTCTCTGGGAGGGTTTGAACACGGTCAGCACGGACCTGGGCGGACGGCGCGGGACGGGTGATCACTGGCGTTGCTGAGGTGAGCTGTGTGCCCCGCGGCCGTCCCAGATCACAGGCGTCAGCAGTGCAGCCTGGCCTGGGCAGTGCGCTCCCATCTGCACCTTATGGACAGCGTGGCCAGGGTCGAGGTCCGAGTTCCTGGCCGCGTCCCAAGGATCGGATTCCGGGTCTATAGTTCTCATGGTGGTTCAGAGTGGGCTGAATTGGGATTGGAGTCTGGAATCCGCATCGTGGTTCTGAGTCCGCGCTATTGGGATGGAAGTTGGGAATCCATGTTGTGGTTTTGAGTCAAAGCCCGAATTGGGACCGGAGTCGGAAATCCACTTAGTGGTTCTGAGTCAGGGCCCGAATTAGGATCGGAGGTGGGAATCCCCGTTGTGGTTCTGAGTTAGGTATCCTAGTTGGGATCAGAATTCGGGTCTAGGGTCCACATCCTGGCTGGGAGTTTGCCTGAGTTGGGATCTGAGTAGTTGGGGTCCCAGTCAGTCCGGGTCTGGAGTCCGCATGGTGGTTTTAGGTAGGGCCTCATTAGGGACAGAGGATCGGGAGTCTGAGTTGGGGACCTGAATCCCGGTCTGGAGTCTGCATCATGGCTCTGAGTTGAGATCCAAGGGAGGTCCGAGTTGGCGACTGGAGTCAGGGTCTGGAGTCTGTCTTTGGGTAGAGGTTCTGAATGGGGGGCTCTGAGTTAAGAGATTGGGATTGGGGTTAGAGGTCTCAGTGGGGTATGGGAGTCAGGAATTGAAGTCGAAGTTCTGCCTCTAGGTGGGGATTCTGAGTCAGGAATTAGGGGGCGAAGTAAAGGTTGCAGTCTGAGTTGGGGGTGGTGATCACCTGCCAGGTGAGAGGTAGTGGTAGAAGTCTCTTGGTCATATTGGAGATGAGAGTTGATCAGATGCAGGTCTCAGTCTGGGTAGTAGGCTTGAAGGGCCACCACTATGTTCAGATCCCAGTACCCCACTGTGGTCCCTGAGCAGGTCAAATAGCCTTTTATATAAAATTGAGAGTAAGAGTGCCTTCCCACAGCACTGTTCTGGTTATGAAAGAGAATAATTCATCCAGGTAGAATAGTTCTGTCTTAGATTATCACAAAGTATAAAAACTTTCCTGATAATATCCACATTTGATGTGCATTTACCAGTTCTTTCTTTACTGTGGTGCCCCTTTTGCTAGACCAAAAGCTCCCAACGAGGAACTCTGTTTTGTTTTCTGCTGCCTGCTCTGTACCCAGCCAAGAGCCTGATACACAGCCTTACTCAGTCAGTACTTGAAGGAAAGCAGGCAGGCAGGATTAACCAGATTTCTATGGTGTCTCAAATGATCCATTTCTGCACCTGTTTTCCAGATACTCAGTAGGAGAAAAATTTAAGGATTGAGTTGCTTGATTATGGGTGTATTTTAATGTGTTTCCTAACATGCTGAGGAGAAAAGTGGGTCTGTTTCAGGATTTATGCTCCAGCTAGAGGGATTTTTTAAAATTGCGAATCAGAGCATGTCCAAATTCAGATAGAAAGCACAAGAAAACTATAAAGAATTTCCCTTATGAATGTAGATGCAGAAGTTCCTTGTACAATGCTAGCTAACTGAATCCAATAATATGTATTAAACAACAATTCTTAAACAAGTGGGATTGCTCTTAGGAATGCAAAGATGATCCAATATCAGAAACTTTATCCATGTAATTCACATTAAGAGGCTACAGGAGAAAAACCATATGGTTCCCTCAATAGAGGCAGAAAAAAATGATGTGATAAAGTTTAACGCCTATGTGTGATTTTGGGGTAGTGGAGTACACCACTTAGCAAGCCAGGACTAGAGAGGAACTTCTTCAACTTGATACAAGTTATAAACCAAAACTTAACTTTTCAGTAAACTTGATAGAGAAATTAAAAGTGTATCATTCTCTTTAAGATAAGGAGTAGGCCAAGGATGTCATCCTGGCCATACCCTAATACAAGAAAAAGAAATGGGGATGTGAGGATCAGGTAGGAAGTGATAAAACTTAGTGTAGCTCATAGGGTTGATGGTCTCCATAAAGATTCTCAAACATTTTGGTGTTACGACTTGTTGTATTCTTAAAAGTTATTGAAACCCCCAAAGGGCTTTTCTTGATAGAGATTCTATCTGTTGATAGTTACCATCTTAGAAGTTAAAACTAAGAAATGTTTAAAGCAGAACTATACAAGCACATATTCCACTGGGGTCATGGTGTGCTGCCTCTGGAAAACTCTTTATCTTTGTGAGAATGAAAGAAAAGGCAAATAATGTCGAGTATTATTATGAAAATGTTTTTGACCTTTCCTGAAAGGGTCTGGGGGGCTCTCTGGAATCCCCAGACTACACTTTGAAAATTACTGGGCTACATGGAAAAAAAAAATTAAGGAACTTAACAACTAAAGAGAGATTTCAGATTTCAGAGAGGTTTTGGATATAAGATCAGTGTACTCAAAACAAAAAACAAAAACAAACCACATTTCTTTATGCCAATAGCAACTGACTAAAAAAAAGCATAATAGAGATTAGGACAGCAATCAGAATAGCAGCAAAATTTATACCAGTCTAGGAATTAACAAAGACGACGACTTTTATGGAAAAAATTTTAAAACTCTATTGGAGGATATAGAGGGAGATCTTTCCATATGCAGAGACATTTTATTTTCTTGAACAGGGCAACTTGGCATTAGAATGACGTCAGGATTTTCCAAATCTGTTAAGTTCAACAGGACTCCACTCAAACTTCCAGTTGGAGGGCTTGAGTAATTTAACAAACATATTCTAAAATGTATGTGGAAGAAAAATATTTGTAAATGCCAACTGAACTTTTGAAAAGGAGAGCAGAGGACTTCTGCTGGCAGATACCAGGGCACACGCCAACTTCAGCAATCAGAGCGGTGTGGTGACAGAGGCCCAGAAGAGAGCTCAGAGGTAACTCCAAGTCTAGAGGAAGGGGACATGTGATAAAGGTGGCACCACATATCAGTGGGGACTGTTCAGAAGATGATGTTGGAAAGCCAGCCCTAAAATGGAGGAATAGGAATATGGATTCCTAACTGAGCCCCTAGGAAAAGTAGACTCCAAATGGACTAAATATTTGAAAGCAAAAGGTAGTTGCCATTTGTTTAATAGGAGAAAAAATGAATAATCTCCAGGGCCAGGGTGGCCGTGGGGTTCTTAAACAGGATCCAGAAAGCACAAACCTCAAGACTAAAATGTATGAACTTGAATGCATTAATGATTATGGATTAAGGATTTCTGTTAAATAAATCCATCATGGCAAGGGTCAAGACTGTTTTCATAATAATACTAAGGAAACAATTTGCGTTTTTCACTTTTACACTCATGAATGTAACTTTGCCATGACTCATTACAAGATATTTGAAACAATTAAAGCTGAGGAGGGAACAACAGCTAAAATATACCAGAAAGCACCACAAATCATTAAGAAAAAGGTAGGAAGATTGCCAGTTTGCAGGAGGGTTAACAAACAGATGAAAATTTGCCCAAGCTAATCAGTTATCAGAGAAATGTAAATGAAAGCAACAGCTATTCTTCATAGGAGAAGCATTAGAAAGTAGGATAAGGCCAAGTGTTGGCAGAAGGCAAGGAACAAGCCTCCCTGTGTGCTGCAGGTGGGGACGGAGACAGGCACAGACGTTCTGAAGAGCTGGCCAACACTTCTTCCTCAAATAAAATATTTTATACCTGTGGCCCAGCAGTTTCCCTCCTAAGTAAACATGCTGGAGCAGTTCTCACCCAGAACAACGAGAGGCTGTGTGTGTGCATGCTCAGGGCAGCATGGCCCATAGGGGTGGGCAGTTGGAGCTGGTCACTGTGGTTAGGAGCAGGGGACTAGATGTACACTTCACAAGATAGAGACGCGTGGAAACACAGTGCTGAGTGACACAAATGCCAAACAGAAAGAGGGCCTCAGTACATGACTGTGTATTTAAATTAAAATTACACACCACCCAGACACGCAGTACTAGGGAGTGCTCGTGAGTGCACACACACACACACAATGATATAAATAAATTACCCTGGAGAAGCTGTTTGTGTAGGGAGGAGAGCAAGGATAGAGGCTAGAGATGAAGTGGAAAAGCATGGAGAGGAAGAGAGCGGTGACTTTATGCAGACCCTTACAGGGTGACAGTGTTTCATAGGCTGAGGGCTGTGATCAACTCTGTGCAGAGTCCCAAAAGCCAAGAACCAACGAATGAATGTGCCTCCATGACTCTCCTGCCAGATACCCTCTAGTGGCTTCTATTTCTAGGAAATAAAATTCAAATTCCATCAGGTTTTTACAAGATCTGCCCTGCTTACCTCTCTGACCACTGTCCTCCCTCACTGAGCTTTGGCTCTGCCAGCCTTCTTCTTCTTTGTTAAATCTGCCAAGTATCCCTCCTGCCCCAAGGCCTTCACCACCTCTGCCTGGCTTGTCTTTTCTGGTGATCTTCCCTTGACAATTCCTTCTTCTTATTTAAATCTCACAGGAAATTTTGCTCTGACCTGCCATATCTGTCATCCCCTTCAGTCACTCACTAGCTGACGACTACCTTTCGAGTCTCTGCAAAGCACAGGCTACGCTTTTCTAGTTCCTTAGACATCTACTTATTTGTTGGCTGCCTATCTCTTCCACCGGAAGAGAGGCCCCAAGAGAGCATATCTGTCTTCCGTATAGGGTCCGCACATGGTGGGTGTGTCACAGATTTCTGTTGAATGGTTTCATTCATTTATTGAACGAAGGAAGAGGCCAGGCCAGGAAAGTGTGCCTCCATTTTCACAACTCAGTGAGAAAGCAAATAGCATGTCAAAATCTGACCCCTTGCAACCAGGGTTTCTTAGCCAGCCACACTGGTAATGCTTGGGACAGGATGTATCTTTGTTGTGAGGGGCTGTCATTTATATTGTAAGATGTTTAGCACCCTGCCTGGTCTCTACCTAGTTGATATTAGTAATTCTCCCATAGTCATGATAGCCAAAAATATCTCCAGACATTGCCATATGTCCCCTGGGGGGCACCGCAGATGACAACCACTTCCTTAGAACAGCTCTTGGGACTGGGATGGTGTCTCTGCTGTGGCTCTTTAAAGGCAGCAGGCCCTGGCTTGCATCCTGCCACATCTAACACCTATAGCCTCACCACCTCGGTGAGAAAGACCCTGGCCCAGGCCTGGCCAATCAGAGTACCCTCTTCCCTGGTCAGCAGTATAATTTGTTTGGCAAGCACTTCCAGTCCCACAACCTATGGGCTGCCACCCAGAGGTTTAGTTGGAACTACGTGTCAGCTGCCGTCCCTCAGCCATCTATGGCATGGGCACCTGTGGCTTGACCAAGTTGGAGGTGGCCTAGAGAGGCCGGGCTGGGCCTGCTCACCTTCTCCAGTTAGTGCAGACTGATGAATGAGTGGTTCTCAGCGGATACCGGATCCAGGTTTGCAGTACACTCCAGGAGGAGGACGAGTAGGGTTTCCCTCAGAGCAGGCCTGGATGGGAGGGCAAGGGGTGGCCTCTAATACTGCCTTTCCTTCCGGTGCCTTTATCAGCCTGTGCCATGCTCCTCTGAACTGGCCGGCCCCAGCATGTCCAGGTTACTGGCAGGAGCCTGTATAACCCAGGGTTCCAGTCACACCAGCCAGGAAGGCCCATGAGGCTGGAGCGCACCCAGTCTCTGGCTGCTCTGTCTGCGGAACTAAAAGCCTTTCTCCCAGAGCCTTTCCTACGGCTGGGCGAAGCTCTTGTTTGCAATTTAAATGTGGCCTCATTTATGGAAGAATCCCTGCTCCTCCGAAAAGCCTTGGGCTCAACCTCCCTAGCAGCCCGGGCCTCAGCCAGGAGAAGAAATGGATCTAAAAGGCCTTTCTCCTGCTAATTGTAGCAATTAGCATTAGAGAATGGGGACTCGATGGGGGGCCAGCGCCTGGCAAAACAAGCTTATTCCCAGCTTAGGCCCAGGCCCAGCTCCACACACTGCTGCTTGGCCAGACTCGGCCCCCACCCAGGGTCTGGTTGGCTTCAGGGCAGGGAGAGAGGGCCCAGGCCTGTGGGTGCTAAGAGCAGTTGTGGAGGGTGTGCATCTGAGTTGTTAAGCCTGGTAGCTGTACAGGTAGCCCTGGGCTATGACTTGTGGTCCTCTCAGAAAAGGGTCTGACTGGAACGCAGAGCCAGACCAGATATTCATGAGTGGATCACAGAGTGTAGACTGAGGGCTATCTGGTGATTGACAGAAAGTAGTCTTGGGGCAAATGACTCTTAAAGAGTAAGGAGCCATTCCCCTCTATGGCTAACTGGATGCCTTTCTCTCCCCCTGCTCCAGAAAGGACTTCCTGTTCCTTCACTGAGCGTGCTTGCTTATGAGGCTTCTGGAAACCAGGAGAGTTCAGTGGGCCTCATTATTGAGCGTATGGGCAGGACAACCTGCTTGGGACATAGGCCATGCTACAGTTGATTTTAGCCAGCTTGCTGCATCTACACAGCACAGTGCCTTCCCAGGCAGTGAATTATGTCTAACAGGCAGGGGAATGATCATTGCCTCATGTTAGGGATGCAGTCATTCAAGAAATATTTGTCAAACACTCAGCAGGTACTAGACCCTGGCCCAGAGGGAGGGATTTGATAGGAGCAGGGACCTGCCTACCCTCCCAGGGTTAGTGGACAAAGGGGAGAAAGACTAACTAATGTTGAAGGACCGTTTGCACCCTGAGGGGAGTGCTGAGGCCTGGGAGCACAGCAGGTGTATAGCAGGAACCCACTGGAACTAGCCTGGGGTCTGAAAAACTCCCTTGGGGAAAGTGGCAGGGGCAGGCCAAGGGCCCTCTGGTGGTAGGGAGCCTGTGAGCACCTGGGATGGAAAGAAGCCAAGCATCTGAACTACCAGAAAGGCAGCTGCAGGATTAAGCAAGACCCACAGGTCTCTAAACTTTGAAAGGATGTCTGTCCACTGAGTAGATAATTGATTGGAATGGGGCAGGGGATGTGAGAATGCCAGTTAGGAGATGCCTGCAGTACAGAGAAATGGTGGCCTATCAGGACAGTGGCAATAGGGATGGAGGGAAGCAGGGAACCTCTAGAACTATGGATGGGTGAAGTAAGCCTGGCTTGGTGATGGGCTTGAGGTGATGGGCAGGTGGTGAGGAAGCGGGTGTATCGGAAATGACCCCAGAACTTCTGACTTGTGCCACTGAAAGGATGGGTGACACTGAAAGGACAGGGGCCTTCAGTAGAGTGGGCTATAAAATGATGGAGGCTGTGGAGAGGAGGTGGGGGCAGGTGACTGGAATGTGGGTCTGGCTGGGTTGGAGAGACATTTGGGGGGTCAGGGCCTCACAGGTGGTCTGGAAGCCCTTGGTGCTGAGGGAACAGCTTAGGGAAATGGTTTGCATAGAGAAAGGCACTGGCATTTAGTGGCCATGCCAGAAGGGAAAACCTGCCAAGGAGACTGAGGATAGAGCCAGAAAGATGGCAAGAAAGCCAGGAGAACTGGAGGGATGGAAAAGAGGACCTAGGGGTCATGGTCCTGGCAGAGGTCACATTGGATCCAGTGCTTGTGATTCTCTGATTGCTGGCAGTGGATGGCCACTGGCCTGCAAATGGCCCTAGTGGAATGTCCCCTGCCTGTGTGGCTCCCTGTGGGCTGCCTCTCCCCTGGACAGATGGGGAGAGACCCCTTCCCCACCTGGTTCTCTGTTTCACCCTTGGAACTGTGGCGGTAAAGAGGACCTCCCCACAGTACGTGCAGGGAACAAGCTAGGTTGACTCCCTCAGGGAGGCCTCGTCCTTGCTGAGGTATTTCATAACCTCAGGATAGAGAAATCCCCCCAACTTTAATGCAAAGCCAAGCAAGCTGAAAAATGGCCTTGAATAGGCTGAGATGAAAAAACAAAGAGGCTGTCAACATCAGAGACTCAGTGGGGGCAGGGAGCTTCAGTGGACTCCCCACAGACAGCAGTTCCTGGGCTTCTATGCCCAGACCCAGAGGCCTGAGCCCAAGATGTCAGGATGGGTGGTCACTGTAAGTGCAGTGGATTGTAGCTCAGGGGTGAGACATCGCCTTTTTCTTGTCAGCTCTCCTTCCTGATTAGTGGCTCAAACAGCCTTCCGAGACTCAAGGGGTTAACTGCAGATCCTCTAACTCCTCCACTTGCTAATTTTTAAACACAGCTGAGCTCTGAGCACCCCTCCCAAGGCTGTGAGAGGCCAGAGGCCAGCACAGACTCTGCACCAGGTCTGCACAGCCTCCACCCCTACTGTTGTCAGGAATCTGCAGGCATCTAGAACAAAGGTGCCTCCATTATTTCCCTCACCCAGCATATCCTGATACCTGAGCCAAGAGTTCACCCAGAGCTTTTGCCCACTTCATTGATGGTCTGGTGGGCTTTTGTTGACACATACCCGTGACTCCCAAATGAACCTTTCAGGTTGGCTTAAAGCCGCTGGGACCTACACATGACAAAACCCAGACGGAAACAGTGGCTTACACTCCTGTGTCCCTAAAGGTACCTGTTCCTAACAGTGGGAGTGCCAGAGCCTGGAAGCTGGAAGCCAAGGAGACAGGGACCTCCCTCCTGCTGACCCCCTGCCAGGCCACATCCACCTAAGGGATTTGGGATCATACTCCATCTTCAACCACTGGGATCAAATGGAAAGCCCTCAGGAATTCTGAGAGACAGCCCCTATACCTATGTGCACTGACACACATACACTGACAAATACGCATTCTGACACATATATGAACATGCACATATGTGTGCCCCACTCCCTGCCAGGAGGTGGGTTCTGTCCCATCTTTGACATGTTACTTCTTGTCCTTCCCTAGGCCCAGTGGCACTTTCTTTGTGATAGGTGCTGAGACCCCCCCGACTGGGCCCAGTGGCTGTTCCCAGGACCCAGTCTCTGCTCTTATCTTAACCCAGCTCTAGCTCCCAGGACCCCAGCCTTTCGCAGGGAGAGAGATAGCTCTTTTGGTCTGGCACATGTTCCATGCCAAGTAGTGGAAACAGCAGCTGCAGGGCAGCCTCAGACTTGACATCATTTAATCCTTGTGACAATCCTACAGGGAGGAAGACACTACACATATGTGCAGATGCAGCAAGGAGCAGCTCAGCCACATGGAATGACTTGCTTGAGGTCACCAGGCACTTGACACAGCAGAGTTTAGCCCAGTCTCTGGAGAGACCAGCCTTCCACATCCTGTCATGCTGGGGAGGGCTGCCCGCTTTTTGTCCCTGCTCCCCCAGTTCTAACCCCGGAAGAGCGATTGTCCCTGCTGTGCCTTCAGCCCAGACAGAAGCAGGCTAGGAGAGGGGAGGAGAGGCAGGGCTGGCCCTCGGAAGGCTCACCTTCCTCAACAGTTCTCTGCTTGGGCAAAGGTCTTCCAAGCAGCCAGGCTCTGAGGCTAGTCACTGTCATCGTTGGGTGAGGCAGCCTGGGAGTACCAGAAGTTGGAGCAGGTGGGAACCTTCCCCAGGGATGGGGCTGGATAGGCAGGGGTGGGTGCTAAGTGGCAGGCCACAACCAGGCACCTGGGAGGGCCAAGCACCACACTGAGAACGCAGTGCTTCCCCTCCCCTCCTAGGCTGCTCAGGAACCCATCAGTCTCCTGTAAACAAATGAGACTAAGTCTCTGGCACTCTAGGCCCAGGTGCAAAGGACAGCTGCCCCTGCAGCTACTCACTCTGCCCTGGCCCTCTCAGGAGGCTTGTGACCTCTGCACCTGCTGGCTTGTTTTGTTCCTAAAATACCCGGATCCTTGAGAATCTAGAAGACACCACTGCTAACAGATTTCCACATCATTCATTCTGTTCTTCCTGTGCAAGCTTCATGCTGGGACAGGGACCATAAAACAAGGTGACCCAAAACCTTCAGCAGAATGCAGGTAGGCAGAGCAGAGGTCTCTGGGAGTGTCATTCCAAGGCAGTGTCTTCCTCCTCCCCTATGCTCCCCATTTCCCAAGAGTGGGCTTCTTCCACCCCACTCAAGCACCTCTTCCCAAGGCTGACCTAAAGGCCTCAAGCTCTGCGGATAGGGGCAGTCCTGAGGTGGCATTGAGTCTTAGGGTTGGAGTGGGAGATATCTGTGCAAAGGCTGATAGGAACGTCCTCCAAGGGCTGACTTCAAAGCTTGGCCTAAACCACTGCATCAAAGTCAGCAAGCTGAGCTGTTTGCACAGAAAAGGAGGAGGAGCAGGCCCTTGAGCCACCTGTAGCTCTCCTTAGGGTCTCAGGCTTTCACACCAGGGCAGGCCTTGGGCCAGACTACCCAACTTCCAGGCCGGATGTGCCACCGGGGAGGAGGAGGTAACTGCCCCTCAAAACCCTGCAGCCCAGGGCTCCAGGATTCCAACCCAGGGACCTGCAGGCTCCCCTGCTCTCCAGATCAGACCCCTACTCTCAGAGCCCTAGGCCCAGTGGGTGACAGCCTGTGAGACAGGCCTGTGTGGGGTGGCCCTAGCCCCACCTCAGCTTCCAACCTGACCTTGCTGCATGACCTCTGGCCCAGCCCTCTCCACCTGGAGTGCCATCTCTCTTTGTGGGATGGGCCAGGTGGGCTGTGTGTGGGGGAGGGCAAGTATATAGGTGTGGTATAGGTGGAAACTGCCACAGTAACCAGCAGCAGCTCAGAGCCGGGCCACCCAATTTGTATGCCAGCCCCAGCTGGGCCTAGGCACGTGGTGTGTGGAAATGAACGAAGCAGGCAGCCCTATGTTTAGGAGGCAGGTCCAGAGCTCACCCAGGCACAGCACAAGATGAGTGCCTGGCCTCAGTGAGCGAGCACTGGCTGCTATGAGGCTGTGGTGTGGAACCTTGACACTAGGGCCACTGGCCTGGCTGTGTGACCTCTACCTCATCACCCAGAGCAGGGCAACCAGAGGCAGAGCCTCAGTGTGGTGTTCTCCTGTGAAATAGTGATGGCACAGGCAGGGGCTGGGGCCCAGTGCCTACACAGAGGATCAGCAAAGGATGGCAGTTATTGAAACCTCTACGGGGAAGTTCCCCAGACACGAGAGGAAGACCCCCATGGAAGCTGTGTGTGTGACGTGCTTAGATTTTCCAGAGTCTTCATTTTCCTTGTCTAAACAGAGGTCATGGCGCCTCCCTCTCAGATCAAACAGCCCTGTATGAGTGGCTACAACCTTTGGTGGGCTCAGTGCAGCCCCTCCTGCCCCCTTGCTTGGGAGCTGTCTGCAGAGGCCTAGGGAGCTGCGTGGGGTCTCTCCACCTCAGCCTGTATCCCCACCCCCACCAGGTCCCCTGCCTGACTCCAGCATACCCAGGCCCTAGAAGCACCAACTCCATGGCTGCAGCTGAGTGGAGTGTGTGCCTGCCCAAGCCTAGAGGGGTGCTGACCCCTCCCTCGCACGAGGAGACATCAAAGGGAAGCAGGAAGCAGCGGCCTGGCTGACCCACAGCGGGTGGGAGAAGTGCAGCCTCACAACTGCTGGGGATTTTCCATCCCACCAGGATTTCCGCGGGACACCCCAAGTCCAGCCTTTGAGGCTCCTCAGGAACCAGAGTTTGGCCTGGAGCCAGTTGGGGCAGAGGAGGGGGGCCAGGCTGGGTGGCTTAGGGGTGTGGTTAGGCCTGCTAAGGGGCTCCTCTTCTCAGTCTCCCCATGATTTGCTGGTTACTGGCTTGAAATCTGGGCCCAGACCCATTCCAACACTGAACCCTGAGCTCCCTGAGACCTGGCTGGCAAGGACAGGTCCCAATTTTTACAGGGGCCTGAGAGGAATGGAGAAGGGATCTCTGCCCCTTCCTTTCTCAGTCACACCTCCTTGACAGGGGGTCATCAGAGTGGGCTGTGGTAGGTGCACCAGGGAAGGGACCATACAGAGGAGGCTGGTCTCAAGTCCTAGGGTGCCTGGGATGGCCCTATTGAAATGCTGCAGCAGCTCTTGTGCAGGCAGGGATCTGTATGGACAGCTGGGTGGACACAGGTGCCTACTGACCTCCCAGATCCTTCAGCAGAGCTCAGCCCTGAGTGACAGCCCAAGGCAGACCTGGCTACCTCAGCCTCTGGCTCACAGCCCTCAGCCAGAGCCCTGAGAGGCCTGGGATCTCAAAGCTGCAAGGTGGGAGGCCAGAGGAGAGAAGCCCGGAGCTGGTAGTGATGCTGGCTGAGTGAAAATTGCACATTTCCCAACAGTGTGATGCTCCCTATCCAGCCTGGGCTTTTGGCAGACTTCTGTGCTTTGTGGAGGAAGCTGGCTCAGATTCCTCCCCTCCCTGTGCAGTTTGTGTGTCAAGGTGTACTTGTCACACCCAACTCAGGATATCTTGCATCACTTTGTGGGTCCTTGTCCCCCAGAGCTGGGACTGCTGAGTTTTAGCCCTAAGCTCTTGCTCCCATCTTAGCAAGTCAGGGCCCAGTGTTGTCCTTGCCTCTGCATCAGGATGGTAAGCTGGGCATGCTCCGCATCACGGAGACCTGCATGGACCTGGATTGGGTTGCCTCTATCTTCAGGCTGGTCACTGGGCAGACACAAACCAGGGCCTCTGGCCAGAGGGGACAGTGGCTCTGAGTTACTTGTGCTGCTCTTTAGGGGTGAGCAGGGGCTGCTTGTGCATCATAGTGTATCACAGGGGATGCACATTTACAATTGAAAGCTACTGGTCCTGGGTAGAAGTGGGGCCGAGTAGGACTTCCCAGCCTTGAACATGGGTTTGTCATCCAACTGGGACCCACACTTGATCCAGCGGCCATGCTCTGTGCAGCCTGGGCCTGAGGGCAGCCACGCTCATGTGAAAAGTGCTAGTAGCCAAGCTGCCATTCTAGTCACCACAGCTGTCCTTGCAGGAGCACATTGCCCAGGGCTGGGAGCTGTCATTTCCGTGACGGGAGTGAGACTCAACACTGGGTGAGGGTGGGGGTATCTGTTGGGAATTATTTCAAAACAATTGTGGAAACTTGGCAGTGGAGGGGCTCTGGGCATAGGTATCCACAATATCCTAGTCAGGGGTTGGGGTACCCTGGCTCTGCTGATAAGCCCAAGTGAGCATACTCCTCCCCCAGCTTGGAACAGGTGGGACGGGCCAGGTGACACTAGTGTGGTCTGTGGTCTGGCCTCCCAAGCCAGTGGCAGTACTGGGGTGGCAGACATTTGCTGTGTGCTATCCCAAGGCCTAAAGGTCACACAGCTAGGTTGGAGCAGGGTTTTGGGCAGGATGAGTAGGCATTGCTGTGCTCTCAGAAAGGCGAAGCAAACCCCAGAAGCAAGGGGGCGAGACAGGGCAAAGGCCTACACTTTGCCATCAACTCAGGCCTACTCAATGCTGGCCCTGTCCTTCCCCTGCCCCTGCCCCATCAGATGGTGCGAGCTGGCGGGGCTTAGAGTGAGCCCCCCTGACTCTTCTTGGTGTGGAGTCTGAGGCCCAGAGTGTACAGGCCTCATCCGTGTGACCCAGCAGGAGGATGGGAGAGTGGGCCCAGAACTTGGTCAGGCTCATCCGTGGAGAACAAGTTCTTCCCTAGTCTAGTTGTGGTCTGAGTCCTGGGTGAAGCAGGAGGCAGCCTGGGAAACAGCCTCGTTCTAGTAGGAATCGCATTCTCAGGAACGCTGACTGTGCAGGGCCCTTTCTCACTGCCACCTGGGAGGATGCCTGCCTGCTGGCCATTTCGGCGGACTGTCAGAGCACCCTCCCTGGGGTCCCAGACCGAAGGCCTGAAGTCCACATGGGACCCCTGAACTTCTGGTACCTGTGTGGGCTTGTCCCCTCAACCCTGAGTGGAATGGCAACAGCCAGCTGCAACCCTCCTAGCTTCCTGTCATGTGCTGTATGGAAGGGCCAAGAGCTGTAGTCATCTGCAGATCCTCCCACTGCACCTGTAGGACTAGCGTCTCCTGTCTGGATGTGAGCAACTTGCTGGTGGCCTGTGAGATGGGAGTTGCACTGGGCTTCTGGATAAGGGCTTCTCGTTCAGGTGACAATTCTATGTGAAGGAGACCCATGGAAACACATCTATCCCCTGCCCATGTACCAGGCAGAGATGGTACCTGCCCATGTACCCTCCATGACATGGCTGGGTCCCTGAAACATCAGACAGATCGATACTCTGTGTGCATGTTTGTGGGCAAGACACAGTGGCACGTGTGCCCTGGAGTTTGGTAATGGGAGGACTGAAGTAGTGCCTCCGTGTGTGAGCTGTGCCAGCCATCCCCACGAAGGGGGCATTCCATGCAGATGGGGATCCTCTCCAGGCAGCTTCTTCCACACCTGATTAGCTCTGACCATCAGACCCCCCGTGCCAAAAGGGCCCCTTCCCTGGAATCTGTAATTCTCACAGGCTGTCCCATACATTTTAAATCCAGGAAATGTGCTCACCCATGAGACAGGGATGGCAAGAAGATATGAATGAAAAGCAACCAGTCCGTAAAATTGGAAGCCATTTCACTCCTTACCAGGTACAAAGATAACATGCTGCATGGATCAGGGACACAAACTTACCTACCTTATGATGTAGTGAAAGAATCTAAAACTTTTGTCTCAGCAGACTCCCTGGAGGAAGCCAATAACAGGAGGCCTTGACTAGGAGACCTCAAGCCTTGGAATGTGCCCAGACCAGTGGGGAGGGAAGGCTGGGAGGCAGTCCTCCCTTACCCCTTTTCTCCCAGGCAGACCTACCCTGGGTTCTCTCCAGGCCCCTCCGCCTGAGCAAGTGCTCAGTTGGCCACTAGCTCCCTGCACATCCAACAAGCCTTTCTTTCCTGTTCCTTCTTCAAGGAAGGCTTAGCCTCAAATCCAGGGCCACAGACAAAGGACAGTCACTCTCCTCTGCCAGAAAGTCATTTATGGGACATGGAGAAAGCATCAAATATATTGCTTTTCCAACACCTAACAGTGGAATAGGAGGAATAGAAGGAGAACTCAGCCAGAAAGTTCTGGAGCATAGTCTTTTTGCCAAAAGAACACGTTTTCAAATGAAAGAGGTGGTGCTGGGGCACTGAGGAATCAGGGGGATGGACCCCACTGGAGCTTGTCTCATGCTGGCAGCAAGTCCCAGGCCTCAAACACATACCTGGGCCACCTCAGGAGAGAGACTGCAGGGAAGAAATGAGTTGCAATGCTCCAGCCTAACCAACTCCCCTTTTGTTAATCCAATCCCAGAAGGTACTGGGTAGGGTCAGTTAACAGACAGCTGCCTGTCTCCTGGCAGAGTCTGACCAAGCCCCAGTGGGCGCTTCTCTTCCTAAGTCCTCTGGTGTACCCCATTCTTCAAGGGAAACGGTCCCCTTAAGAATCTATGTGAAAGGGTTCTGAAATTGCTGTACCAGTTAATGAATTATTTACTCTAAACAATGTCTTGATAAAGGGGGAGGATGAAGTTAGCTGATGTTGACTAAGGAGAGACGGAGTTGCCAAGGAAATTCTTCTAAATGAAAAAAAAAAAAAAGTAAAAGCAGTCAGCTGGTTTTGTCTGACTATGAAACGTGTCACAGAGCATGCACCTTTGGCCATCTTTTGCATTTATGATTTGGAAGAGAGATGTAGCAGTGAGTGTGGGGCCAGGGAGGGGAATCCAACAAAGCCATTCTGCAAGCTAGTGGCTGGGATTTTGGGGTATAGAGTAAGAGCAGCCAGCCTTAGAGGCCCATGTCATCTGGGCTGCCTCAGAGCTAAAGCTAGGTAACCAGAGGGAGTAAGGAAAGGCCTGAGTCCCAGGCTAGGCTTTTCACAGTTGTATTGAGATGGGAAAGTAAGGGATGTTCCTTGCAGCAGATGCAGGGCCCAGTTGTCTAGAGCAGTATTTGAAATGAGTTGGCATTTCAGGGCAGTGTTTGTGATGCCAGTCAGTAGGTAGGGGCTTCTACCTCTTTTTTAGAAATGTTTACTCTGAACTAAGCTCTATGCTTTAACAAGTTATGTTTTAATAGGAAAACTGTCATTGATGGAATCATATGTAATTCCTACATTTTTCCAGTTACCCATTCCTGGGGAAAGCTTAGCCATTGGACAAACCACCCAGAGCCCCAGGAACCTGCATTTGCAGACAGCAGTGGCAGGCACAGTGGCCTAGTGTTGAGCGGGGGAAACCTGGCCTCTATGTGTCTGGTTTTGCAAACTAAAACGCCATTGCCCATACTCAGGCTGACAGGTTCTGGAGGTGCCATGGACTCCTGCTCTGTATCTCACCTCTAGTTCCATCACAATGCATGAGCTGTCAGTGGGAGCCTTTTAATGCAGATGCTAATACCCATTCCTAATGCTAGCCCATCCCCACACCCTCCTGAGTTGGTGCGATATATCCTGGGAACAAGAAAATCTGAAGGCTCCTGGTCCTCAGGCTAGCAAGAGCCTTGCCTGTAAGAAGTGGGAGAAGGTCACCTCTCTCAGGAGGCAGAACTAAGGCTGCACAGCACAAGGGAGATGTCTGAATGCACAGTCTGGGTGGCAGAAGGACTCCTGTCCTTTCTTCCACACAGACCTGAGCACCTCTCCAGGTGCCACCATTTTCTGTCTGGGAACATCTGCTATCCCCAAGCCTCAGTTTCCTGGTCTACAAAACTGAGATGGTCTCTTCTATACAAGGCCCCAGGAGGATCACTGCAAGTCACTGCATTTCATGGTGCCCAGATTTCCCTGCATTTCTAGAATGTCAACAGAGATGAGTGGGCTCAAGGGGAAGAGATTCTTTATGACTAGAGATATTCTGGTCAACTTTGGACCCCAGCTTCTATGGACAATAGCATGTGGACATGAGCCCTGGGGAAGCAGGGATGACTGAGCCTGAAGAAGAGCTCTCAAGCCTTACACTCTCCAGACCAGCCTTGGGTTGCCTGAACCCCAGCATAGCCTTATGGAACCCCTGCCAGGGTCCTAGCACCTGGTTTGACCTGGGCACAAGTACTCACTCACTCACTCACTCACTCACTCACTCGTCAAACATTCACTGAGGGTCCGTGACAGGCTCCATATGGATTAAGCACTGAAGATAAAACACTGAATAGAAACAGCCAGCCTATACCCTCATGCTCCTTGAATGTGATAGAAGGAGCCAGCCAGTAAACCCTTTACCACAAATAAACACACAGTTACACATTAAGAATGGGAGGGGAGGTATGTGATTTTTTACAGCCCAGTCTTAAGCTTTAGAAATTGGCTCCTCTGAGGAAGGGACATTTCAGCTAAGAACCACAGGATAAGACAGTCCTGGCCTGGGGAAGGGGAGAGAAGGTCAGGAGAGAGCTTGATATGTTTAATACTGAAAGAATATTTGATGAGCTGGGACATCTCCTGCAGATCCACGGCTCCCTAGCTTTGTGACCCTGGGCCCTAGACTCAATCCCTCAACCCTTAGGAGATTATCTATAAAACAGGAGTGATAATATTCTTGTGTTAAAAGCTGCTGTGAGGATTAGTGAAATGATGTCTATATTTGCCTGGCAAACAGGAAGTGTAAGTAGTAGTATCATTTGAAGATTATTCTTCAGCCTAAACGTGTGTTCATTATGGCCGGTGTGTTTTCTCCCCACCTAGATGGTAGTGCTGGGCCTCCTTTGGAGTACCTTGATGTTTGGGGAGCATGGATGATATGACCATAACCTGAGAAGGCAGGGACTGTACCCATTCTGGTCCTCCCAGGTCCCAGGGCCCCCACAGTGCCCTGGTGTGTGATCAGTGCCCACAATACTGAATAGAGGAACAGACACATGGGAAGCAACGGCAGCCTGGTCTTTAAGGGTGAGGGAGCACCTTCTCCTGAGAGAGGGAGAGATAGGTTGGGGGAGGTTGGGTGGGGGTGGGGAGAGCGAGTGAGCAAGCAAGCTAGAAACTTCCTGAAAAGGGAAGTTACTCTAGAAAAGGGTAAGTTCCTTCCAGGCATCATGGGCTGGCTTAACCTGGACCAGTTTGACTTTACTAAGTCCCATTTCTCATCTAGGGAGCCTGAGGCCATTAAGGTTATCTGGTCCCAAAATCCCCTAGAGCTGTCACAGGGATCCCCATTCTTTGCCTTTAGTCACCCCAGCCCCAAGAGCCATCCTCCACATGGAGTGAGCAGGGAGCTACAAGGAAAAGACGGTCACAGTTGGAGAGAGACAGAGAACCAGGTGGGCTGGTAGGACAGGAAGGTATAGGGAGAAAGTGAAGCTCTCTCCTGGGGAGGCAGGAATACTCTCCTGCTTCCTTCTACCCACTCTTCATAGAACACAAACACTGCAAAAATGACTTTTTCCAAACCCTCTTAGCATTCAGAAGTAGAATTGCTATGTAAGAATTTTTTCATAGGTGCTTTTTTGGGGGGCATCTATTTAAAAAATAACCACATCATTAGTGAAATCTTCCAAAGTCTCTTTTTGGAGCCCACATTTCACTAATGTCCACATCTGAGGAGGCTTTCATAATAAAAGAACACATACCTATTTCACCTATGATGGTCAGTGCAATCTTGAAAACACTAGTAAATAGTGTCCATCAGCTTTAAAAATACAAACCCAAATTGGGTCATACCAAAATGCAAGGATACACACAATAACCTGGGTGAATCTTCAGGGAATTGTGCTGAGTGAAAAGAGCCGATCCCAAAAAGGTGATTTGCTATGTGGTTCCATTTATATAATTTTCTTGGAATGATAAAGAAATGAAGAATAGGTTAGTAGTTGTCAGGGGCTAAGGACAGGGTAGGGTGGGAGGGAATTGGGGGTAGCTATAAAAGGGGGACATGAGGGATTCTTGAAGAGTTAGAAATGTCCTGTAGTGAGACTATCAATGCAATATCCTGGTCAGAATATTGTACTACAGTTTTGCAAGATGTTACTATCGGGGGAGACTAGGTAAAGGAGTATGTAAGATTTCTCTGTGTTGTTTCTTAGAACTGCATGAGAAATGTACAATTATCTCAAAATAAAAATTTATTTTAAAAAATGCCCAAATTAAAAAAAAATCAGTAGTCCTCCTAAAAATACCCAGAAATGAATTTTAGAATGTCCAAAATCCATACAAAGATCTAAAAAAATATGGAAGGATGTTGCAATGGATTTGAACATGTGGGTAAACTGCTTCTATTTGTGGCTGGAAAGACTTTTTTTTTGAGGTGGGGAAGGCAATTCTTCATCAGTTAATCTAAATTGAATGAAGTTTCAATAACAAATGCCAATGGGATATGAATATACACACAGATAGACAACTTTTTTTTTTTTTTTTTTTTTAATTAGGCAAGCTGAGGCCAGGTGCATTGGCTCACGCCCGTAATCCCAGCACTTTAGGAGGCTGAGGCGGGCAGATCACTTGAGGTCAGGAGTTTGAGACCAGCCTGGCCAACATGGTGAAACCCTGTCTCTAATAAAAAAAAAAATTAGCCAGTCATGGTGGCAGATGTCTGTAGTCCCAGCTACTAGGGAGGCTAAGGCAGGAGAATTGCTTGAACCCAGGAGGTAGAGGTTGCAGTAAGCCGAGACTGTGCCACTGCATTCCCGCCTAGGTGACAAAGTGAGACTCTGCCTCAAAAAAAATAAAAATAAAAAAAAAATTAGGCGTGCTAGTTCTAAGTTTATATGAAAAAAATGCATGTCCTATAAAATTCAGAAGTAGCAGCAGTCTGGCCCCTTGTGCTCCTCTAGCCCTCAACTGGCCTAACAGGCCCTAGTGTGCAGCAGGGACTATTTTCCCATCATCACTGTCCACAGCATCTGGACAAGAATACAGAGAACGGCTGATTTAAAAAAAATCTAATCTGGGATCCTATGCATCCTAAATAATCTTATGAGGATGCACTTGTATTTTTTCTGATGCTGATACTATTCATTCCAACTCGCCTCCCCATCAGCTTTGTCAGGCACTGTGAATTGCATGGTACACATGATTACAATGGATGGAATGGCCATCATGAGGTATAGCAATACATTTAAGTAACACTGTGTCACTACTATAGGACAGGCACTTTTCTGCATACTTTATATTATTAATTTGTGTAATCCTCCTAACAACCCTCTGAGGAAGGTACTCTTATGATTCCCATTTTACAAATAAAGAAACTGAGACTAAGTGACTCACTCAAGGTGTAGCAGGTAGAAAGTAGTGGAATTAGGATATGAGTTCAGACTCCAGACCCTGTTATTAGCCCCTGTCTTTGGCTATGGATTAGTAAAGGAGAGCACAGCCAAGGGTGGGACAGGCAGCTGTAGTCCTCTGGACCAGCTTCACATGGATGGGGCTGCATTGTTACAGGTGGCCTAACTCAGACATGGAAACTGAGTCGCTGCTGCCCAACTCATGCCATGAAACCATTTTGGCCTGCACAGCTTATAACAGCACTCTAGCTCTAGCTATGACACTTTATGGTGTTAGTGGGTTTTTTTGGTGGTTGGTATGGAGGAGGGGCTGGGCTACAAGTTTTAGATTATGTTTCTTATTGCGGGTTTTTAAAAATTCTTGAATTAGGCCTATTTGCTCTTTTGTTCTCTATTGAGTTAGCAAATTCAGTTTTTCCAAGATGCCCTGAAAGTATGATCATACATGTATACGAAATGGTCCTTGGGTCCAGCTGGCAACTCCTGTGCACCCCCGACCTGGATTCTGCCTTCCTTGAAGTGAGCCTTGGAAGAAACAAGTGCTCATGCTCCCTGACATTATTAGCTGCCACGATGAAGCCTCAGTCCCAAACACCCCAGCTTCCTGTCTAACTCAAGAGCTAATCCTGTGTTTAAATCTTAAGAGTGTTTAGATCTTAGGCCATGCCATGAATTCCCCTGGTTGACTGCATTTGTGAAAATGAGCTTCCCATTATTGGCTCTTAAGTAATGGAGATGAGGGGGAGTCCTGCTACACAGATAAGTGCATCATAAAGTTACATAATTAAAATAACTGAGCTCTGGCCTATCAACAGGCCCATCAGCAGTCCAGAATAGAGTCTAGAAATGGACACAAATTAAATGAGAGTTTGAAATATGATAAAGGTAGCAGTTGAAATTAGTAGAGAGATGATGATGTACTCAAATAAATAGTGTTGGACAACTGGACAAATATATGGGAAACCAAATTGGATTTAATTACTCTGTCAAAATCCCGATAAAGCAAGGATTTAAATGTAAAAAATGAAATAAAAAATGATAGAAGAAAACATGGAAGAATTTATTAAAACAATTTCAGGATGAGAGGTTATTTCAGAATTTAAGATAAGGACCTCAAACCATAAAAGACTGACACAGCTGACTATGTGAAATTAAAAAAATTCTGCCACCAGAAAAATATTATAGAAAAAGCCAAAACACCTAAGGAAAATGAGGATAAAATATTTTCAATGAATATGACAAAGCAAGTTTCTACAAATCAGTAAGACAAGGTATTTTACAAAGTCCAAAGGGTATGAAGAAATAGTTCACAAGAAAGAAAAACAAATGATTTTAAGCATTTGGAAAGATAAAAACCTCATTTCCAACAAAAGAAATGTAAATTAAAGCTCCAGTGTACCATTTCTCATCTATGAAATGAATGAAGATAAAAACCTGAGTATACACTTGGTAAGGGTGGGGGAAGAAAGTGCATTTGTGCAGTCAAAGTGATGTAAATGGTACAGCCCTTATTTGGCAGTATCTATCACAACATAAATGAACATTTTAATCCTGCTGGAAATGGGGGGAAAGGGAGGATCTCTTAAAGTAAATCCACTGAAAACGGAGACCAAAATTTTACAATAGAGATATTTGATTGGGAAGTTAATTTGAAAAATAACAGTAGTTAAAATATTATTTTATCTCATATGCAATAACAGTTGTTAGAGTTACAATTATGTACACGTTTTAGAAAAAAACAAATCCAGAGGGGATTTTGGTTTGTCTTTTGTAAAGCATTATATGGTAACATCTGAGGGCATCTTTTATACTTGGCAGAGGATGTTGGCAGCACTTCCACAGAGAGGATCATTTTTTGTAGAAGTATGGCATGGTTTCACTGCTTGACCAAGAGGCCACCTGCATCAATTATCATCTCCCCTGCTGTCCTCTGAAATGCTTATCTAGGCATCGATCTTGGTTTCCTCTTCAACTGATTAACTAACTGGTCTACTCTGCCCAGTCTCTATTTGAGAAATCATTTGACATCATTTTCTTTAACTTGATGAAATCTCCTATTTTGACAAGATTTACAGTTCCTCTTTATAAGTTCCTCTTTACTTTGTGTGTGCTTTATATTGTCTTTGGTTGACAAGAGACAGCCAAAGAGGTCAGTCAGCAGAGATACAAGTAGGGATAAGATGGATAGGGAGAAACAACAGTGTTCAATAGGGAGGGATGTTTCAGGGAAACTAATTTCATAAGTGGTCATTTCAGTAGTGAATATATTTGAATGGTTAATGGCTGCTGTTTTTTAGCTGCCCTACATATCCATCAACAGAGGATCTGTTCCATAAATCATGGCACAATGAAACTCTGCAGCTGTTAATGAAAAGGAGATTTGCTAGATGTCTTAATACAGATCCATCTCCAGAACATACCAGTGTCTTCCTTTTAAGTGGTGCACACTGGGGCTGAACACTTACTAAGAAATGAAAGGGCTCCCCAGTCAAAGCTGACAGGTGTCATTACAACATGACCCCTGTGGTAGATCCCAGCACAATACACTGGCCATCACTCCATTCTCTTCAAATGTCCTAGGGTTGCTTCATACAGCAGACCATCGTACCCAAAGCCACTATGCATATGACTTGGTTATCTCCTGCCAGGCTGTAGTCCAGTTAGTGCTCCCTTGGAAATACTCAAGACCTTAATGAACTATCTATCTGTGAATCTGTGAAGCTACCCATTTCTTAGAGGCCTCTTTGGAGAGCTGGCTGTTGAATACCCAGTATGATGGTCCTTAGCCTTCTTAGACCTTTCCTGTACCACTACCTCTATGCCTTTTGCCAAGTCCAAGTGTTCACCAGAAATGGAACTGATGCCAGAAAGACTACAGCTAACAATCTGAGCAGAACAGTGAGCATGTCCTATCTGGGAAAAGCCCAGCCCATTGGGCTAAATCTCTAGCTGAACACAGAGACTATGCTCCTTCCAATTATACTGGAAGCCCAACCATGAGAAAACAGCACTTCAACTACACTGTTCAGAGCCATCACCTGTTCACACGTGTGTCTGTATACATGTAAACACACATTTTGCAATAAAAATGCTTCTCAGATGTACTGCACCATAATAAATCAGCATTGTATGTACAGCTCAAAAAGAAGTATGGCATACCTATGGAAGAAGTCAAAGGCAAAGTGTAGAAAAATACATACAGTATGCTACCATTTGTATAAAAAGGAGCCGTATCTACTAAGTACATGCACACACAGACACACGTATATTTGTTTATATAAAATACGTCTGGAAAGATGCAATAGGAAAGTGTTGAGTGGTAACCTTTAGGGAAGGAAACTTGGGAATTAGGGTTGGGTGGGGAGAGTGTTATTTTTCACCCCTTTTGTACTCTGAATTGGTTTTACCATGTGTGTAAAGACTGTTGTATGATTTTTGTAGCACAACCCTTGAATACATAAAGCACGATTGGCTCCCCAGAAGGCAGGTGTTGGCCAGGCAGTGGATGCACGGTAGGGCAGTGTGCAGCCCTGCATGCACGTGGCTGGTATGCCCTGCGGGCAGCAGCTCCCCGCACACAGTGCTGTGAGTCTCTGGTTCATGTCACTCTGTGGAGCAGGGGCTGCTCCAGCACAAAGAGGTTTTTGACAGGGAAAGGCAGAGCCAGAGTCAGGGCAGGCCCTGGGCGGGCTCCTAGAGAGCCCAACCACCCTCTAATAAGGGGTGCTCTCCACCCTATCTGAGGAGCAATTGGGATCTCCTAGGAAGTGAAACTGTTACGTATGTCTTATTACAGAATTTCCAGTGGAGTGATTCTGGAAGAAATGTGTATGGCATGTTGTGACTGCTATGTCTCATGAAATATTTACGTTTTTATGTAACTTTTTTCCATTTTCAGATCATCTTTTATTTTAACGCAAAATGACAATATATTTTTCAATTAATTTGCCCAATATCTGTGTTTAAATGTTTTCTAATGCACACACGTGTTTTAAACTCATTAAAAAAATATGACTTAGATCCCATCCCACTTTCATGTTTTATATTGCCAAAACTCTGCTTTTGGGAGAGGTGAGTTATCTTCACTTCTGAAACAGTACTGCTTGGGAGCTGGTTTGGCCCTGGCTATTCTGGGGAAATGACACAATATTGACCTAGAGGGGCCCTAATCTTTCCCCGCTAGAGCACTACCTCTAATAGGGTGAAGGATGGGAGAAAGAGGCTAGTGAACCCACCTTCAGGTCTGTCCACTCAGGACATGCCCACACTAGCCTCTCCAGGGGCTCTGCCCTTGGCATCCCCGTCCCCCACCTGGGCTCTGGCAGAGAAGTCAGGCGGGAAGAAGCCGGCTGAGTGCCCGCCACTGTAAGAGGAAACGAAGAGAAACAGCTCCAGTCAGCCCCAGAAGCGAGGCCTGGAAAAACTCTGCAGCTGGAGCTAACACAAAGGACTTTTCAGACCCTGCAGCCAAGGTGCCCAGTGAGCTTTTTTTTTTTTTTTTTTTTTTTTTTTTAAAAAACAGCTATTAGGGTGACAAGCCTTTCCAAAGGCCAGCAGTTGGCGAGAGTTTCCAGGAAGCTGGTCTGGCACTGGGCTGGGATTGGAGCAACTTTAACGAGTTAAGTTCAGAAGGAAGGAGTCATCAGGAAAGGTTTAAGGTTCAACAAACTTTTCAAATTATTTTGCAAAAAGTTCTGGCTTTCCAATTCAAAGGCATGTTTCGCTGTGACTGTTTTAAGCCAGAGCCTATTTAAAAGGCAACACAACTAGCATGCTTCAGATTCACTCACTCGAGGTATTTGTCTAAATCCTCCGAATGGGCTTTGCAAGTGCCATCTAGTGCCTAGTAACACTGGGGCCATCTTACACATCTCGACAGGCAGCCCTCCTCCCCACGTGCCTCCCCCCAGCCTCTGTGGTCGTGTGCGCGCGGGCGCGCACACACACACGCACGCATGCACCTTCCCTAAGCAGGAAGCTGCTCTTTGCCAAGAGCGAATGGAATTCAGATTTCCAGAGGGTGTCCTTGGCCTCCAGCTCTACGGCTGCATGATGAAGAAAGGTCCTAGTGTGTGTGCCGGGGGCTGGGAGAGAGGGGCCTCCAGCTCTGCTCACATCTATCTGGGCCCCAAGAAAAACCCACAACTGGCTGTGCTCTCCCCAGCCACACCCAGCCTTGGTCACATTCCTTCCCTTCCTGAGCCCACACTGGGTGGCCCCGGCAAACCAGCTTCCACACCTCCCTCCCCACCGGCAGGGAGACCTAGCCCAAGCCCCCATGGGGCAGCCAGCAAGTACAAATGAGGGGCTGCACCCCAGGCCCAAAGAGCCAGAAAGCACGGAGGGCCCTCCCCCCACCCCACCCCCAATGCTGGGCATCCCCTTGTGGCTGCTGTCACTCATGGGGAAAGAGACACACTCCCTTGTCTAGCACCCGGTGAGCTGAGCTCCCATCCCTTCCTGTGCCTGCTTTCAGGAAGTCCCTCTTCATATCCAACCTTGACTCTCCTGGCTGTGGTGCTTGTGGGCCTGGGATTGAAGGGCCATCACTGCCCTTTGCACCAGAGCTTCCCAACATACCAGCAAGAAGGGACTGTACCCCTTCCCCTGTCCAGTCTGGGCCTTCCAAGCCCTGAGATTCAGCAACCTCAGGAATTAAACATTTATAGGAAAACACCTATGCAGACAAGGGACATGAGTCAGGGTGGTCATCAGCAGTAGCAAGGTGGGTAGGCTGGTCACGTTTAGCTTCTCTTTAGCCCAAGTAATAGGGTCTTCCACCTGCATGGCCAGGGAGGGGATAGGCTGAGAGCAATCTTTCTACAGGCTGTCAGCATCAACAAGTGGTTGTGATGAGCAGGAGTCTGTATGGCTTTTCAGGTGTTCCGGCTCAAGGAGGCCCAACACCAAGTTGGAACCTCCAGGCCTGGTGCCTAGGCAGAAGGTGGGCTAAACAAAGGCCAAGGGGAGCTCTGCTCTGTCACTTCCCTTTGTTTGCTAATGAGACTGTTTCCAAAAGCTGGCCTGGTAGCCTGTGGGATTGTTTCTCTCAAGATTTCTTCTAGGGGAGAAGGTGGCTGAGGCTTTGCAGTCTGCATCACCCAGTCCCCAGAATCTACAGGGGACTCAGCTTGCCTAGTCACAGTTCGGCTTTTGGCCTTGGCTCCAGGGCCCATTCTGATCCTCGTGCTTGGGTCAGGGATGGTCAGCACCCCTGCCCTGATGCTGCCTGCTGGGGTCTCCTGCTGAGTACCGTGAAGGCCTACTGTGGCCTGAGAAGCCAACTTCACTGTCCCTTTTGGCCAGCCCTAGACCCTATATTTGTTCAAGTAACACATTGATTCACTGGCTTCTCCTTTAGGCAAGGCCTGCAGGGGACTCAGCTGGGGTTCATGATTCCTTGCCACCTGTGGTGGGCCTGCATGGCCAGCCCAAGGCCTCAAGTGCCACATACTGCTCCCCTGACAGTCAGGTGGCTAGGGTATGACACTCAAGAAAATGCCCAGGCAGAACCCAGAGTTGGGGTCACTTGGTCCAGCCCTTCTGAAGGGGACTGGTTGGATCTGTTGCGGGGAGGAGACAGGCCATGCTGGACCAGCAAAAAAGCATAGAACTTGGAGTCTGGAACCTGACATCTGGCCTTGGCTCTGCCATCAGCTGGCTGTGTCCACTGGGCAAGGTCCTATCATATCTGGTCTCAGTGCTTCCATTTACCCAGAGTCCTTCCATCACCTGACACCTACAGGGATGCTTTCCCAATCAAAATTCAGGCCATGTGGTTTGATAAGGCCACCTTCCAATGTGGAAGACAGGCTGGTAATGGAGAGGCCTGGGAGCACAGAGCTCCTAGGCACTGCCATGGAATGTGGGGACCTTAGGGAAGGATATCTCAATTGAAGCTCTTCAGAGCCCCTGGGGTGGACTGTTCTGTACTCTCATCCCCTAACCCATACCAGCCTGAGCTCAATCATATCAGCCTGTGAAGGCTGCCCCACCACACTGCTTCTGCACCCACCACACCAGGCCCCCTTGAGCTCCCACCTGGAGCCCACACACCCAGCTGGTGGGGTTCGTGGGGCAGTTCAAAAAGAAAAGCAGAAAAAAGCATTTGAGTATTTTGGACTGGAAGGAATTCAATTTAACTTAACAAATCAGGACATGAACCTAAAGAAAACACTGAAAAACAAGCCCAACTTTGAAAGGCCCAAAGAGGGAGGATTAGGTGGGAGAAGAAAGGTCCCCTGTGGGCAGAAGACAGCTGCTCAGTCCAGACCAGGGACCAGGGGAGGATACTGGGCTTGAGTGCAGACCGGGCCAGGGTAGGGAGACAAGCCCAACATACACTCGAGGACTTGAAGTCAGGGGTGCTAGCTGACTTTTTAGCCCACTCTTTCTACCCCAGATACAGAGACTAGCTGCCTGAGGAAGCATAGCGGGGCCCACAGGCTGGCTGCCTGGTGCTGCCCACCTCCTCTCCAGGGCTTGGCTCCCTGGGGCAGAAGGCTCAGACCTATAACCACAGTGGGGTTGCAGGGATTTATTTGGGGGAAGAACCCTGACTGGGTCAGAATGATTATGTGCATGCATGTATGTGTATGTAGCTCCTTGTTCTCTGAAAAGCCTTGCCTACCACCCTACTTCCCAAGTACCCTCTATTGCCTTGCAAAGTCACCCCTGCTCTCTGCCTCAGTTTCCCCAGCAGGGCACCACAGGACACTGCTGTGGCAAGGTTTATACTTAGGGTGCAGTGCAGTCTGATCTTGTATAAATGCTCAGTGCCAAAGACTTAGGAGATAAGTCAGGCAGAGTCAAAATTAACCTTTGAAAAATCCCTTGAATTGGCCCTAAAAATAATCCCTTTCTCAGATCTTTGTGTATATCCCCTGCTGGGTTGCTCTTCTGCCTGCTAAAGTGGGAGAATCTCTGGGTGCACATCCAGAGTACCCTGGGAGAGGCATGCCAGGTGTTCCTGTACCTTTTTCAGGATATTCCCAGTGTCATCTTCAGAGGGAGCCTCTGAGGCTGCAGCCACACATGGGAAAAGATTACTTATGGAGAAGATCAGAGGCTAAGGGGCTGGGGATGGTGGGGACATCGGATTTTGAGGTCAGACCTGGACTCCTGTCTACCTCTGTCTCTCTACCTTTTATTTTTCTTTCCTTTTCTCCTAACAAGGCCCTATTTCTAAGATGGCACCTCAGGCCTCCCATGGGACCAACCAGGCCTGACAGACTAACTGCTCAGACTAACTGCCAGACTTCCTCCTGCTAGCCAGTCACTACCAAGGATGTGTGCCTCAGATACAGCCCCTGCCCAGGACACCTACGTTGTCCCTAACAGGGCCCACATATCTAAAGCATGAATGCCTAGCCAGGGGCTCTGGGGCACCATAAGAAGGCATGAAGCTGGGCCTGCCAATTTGCATCCTGGGAGGGCAGGTCAGCCTTGTCCAGGCAATCCAGGAGGCTTCCCAGTGGCCCACTGGCCAGTGAGGACCTTTGACCTCCTTGGCTGGTGGCACCAGGTTTATGATGCACATAGAGGCTGAACTTGAAGAATTCTTATTGCAGAGGGCAGCCACAAGAGCCACTGGCCAGTGCCCAGATAATATCTGCAGACTGTTCCCTCCTGCTCCATGGGCCACAGAATCCCTTTGTCTTGTTACTGCTACACTGCCTTCCTACCAATCTTCAGGGTTCATCCTGGCCTCTGCCATGCATATCCAGGCTCCCCCAGAGATTGTGTGTCTGGGAATGAGCCCTGGCTTCTGCTCCTATCTCCCAGTGATACTGGCAAGTCCCTATCCTTCTTGAGGCTTCAATTTCCCCTTCTGTGAGCTGGGAGGACAGGCCCACTAGATGCTCTCTGAGGGACCTACCAAGGATGTGGGCTGTGTGTCTCAGCCAACAGCAGTATCTCCTAACCCCAACACAAGAAATACACATAGTAGGTGTCTGGTTAATGCTCTTGGAATTTCAGCCTATACTAACCATCTGAAAGCCACTGAGTCTGAACTCTGCTACCATATTTGAGATTATCTCTCCATTGGGCACCTATGGGTTGCCTAGAGACAAGCTACCATGGTCCTCTTCCCTCGCCCGTCATGTGCAGGGTCAAAGGCAGGTGAGCTACACAGCTCGCCCTGCTCTTCACTCTGCTTTAATGTGGGTGCTTGCCTTGGCAGATGGGCCCGACAGTGATAAGAACAAATGACAGATGCATACTGGGGCACCTGTGACTGCCATGAGACACAGTCCACTGATTCTGCCTCCAACCCCCTCCCCAGAGCAGAATAGTGAGTGCTAGGTTTCCGCCTGTACCTCCACGGGACCCCAACAGCTCCTGAACCCCATTCCGAGATTTGAGGTTGTGACTTGGGGACCTCTAGACTTCCCTTCCCTCCACCTGACTCCAGACTGTCCTGGAGCTTGGGACTCTCAGGCCTCTAGGCACATCTTATTAAGGACAGCAGCTGACAGCCATATGTTGTGACCCCATTTGTATCCCATGGTAACTCATGACCTGGCAGTCTCAAAAGCTCTCAGGCCAAATAAGGAATGTCCCCACAGGATCTCCCATCACAAAGAGACATTCTATGCTGGCTAATATTTTCAGGCATTTCCCCGAGTCAGGTATGTGGCTGGATGCCTAACACCATCTCCTCAAGGCCTTACACTAATACTGTGAGATATACTCCCAATGTATACAAGAGGAAACTGAGGCTGATAGAGATTAGGTGACTGCCCCAGTGTCCTGTGGGCAGGATGAAATGACCCAAGCTGGCCAGGGCTCCCTGACAGACCTTGTCCCTGGATTCAGCGAACATACATCAAACCATTAGCTGACAAGGAATGAATCTGACAAGCTGTTCATGACCACCACACTGAAAACTACAGGGCAAGGTAAAAGATATGAAAGTCAACCTAAATAAACAAGGGACACATGATGCCATGTTTCAGGAGCCCCAAAACTATAAGGATACCCATTCTCCCATGCCCATCTAGAGGCTGCTGCGCCTAGAGGAGGCTTTCCATGGCAACTGGCATATGTATGGTGAGGAGAAACCCTGCAAAGACAGCAAAGCCAGTGATGGGGAAGGAGAAGCAGCCAGAGCCAGCAGGACCAGCTGTCAAAACCTGTTAGCAAACTACAGTGAGAAGGAAGCAAGGTCCTGGCCACAAAGAACAACTTGAATCTGACCAGTGGCACCCAATAGGGTCCAGAAACAGAGCCACACGTAGCCAGTGAGCTGATTGTAAAGACACTGATACGGCAGGGTAGTTGGGAGAGGACGGGCCTTCCCATGCCGGGTGCTGAGCTAGACTGGATATCCAAGTAGGGGAAGAGTGGACCTTGACCTCGGCCTCACATTGGACACAAAAATCAATCCCAGATGGAGTGCAGATCTACATGGGAAAGGTGAGCTAATAAAGCTTTAGAATAAACCAGAATATCTTTATGACCTTGGAGTAGTCAAAGTTTCTTAAATAGGACACAAACAGCCCTATCCAGAGAGGAAATGTTTGATTAACTGGACCACATGAAAATTAAGACCTTCTGTTCATCAAAAGACACCATCAAGAGAGGAAGAAGGCAGCCTGCAGAGGGGGAGGCGATATTTGCAATGTGTGTGTCTGTGAGAGAGTGTGAGTGTGTGTATCTCTCTCTCTGACAAATGACTCCAGAATATCTAAAGATATATAGGACCATAAATAAACATAAAACAGGCAGAAGATGTAGGCAATTTATACAGAATGATGTATCTGACTAAATGATAACATGGAAAGGGACTCAACTTCATTAGTCAACAGGTTACTGCAAATTAAAATCACCATTTGATGCTGCTAGACATTCACCATCATGGCTGAAAAGGAAACGACGGAAAATGCCAAGTGTTAGGATGTGGAGCAGCCAGAATGCTGCCTGTGGGAATGAAAATTGGAATGACTCCTTTGGTAGACTGCTGGGTAGTATTCACTAAGAGTAAACATATGCCCACCCAGGACCCTGCAGCTCCACACATAGGCATATATTCCCCAGAAACGCAACCTGATGCTCACCAAAAGCATGTACAGAATATTCTTAAACAGCAACCTACACCAGAAACTGCCTGCTGGCCACAGGTGGTAGAATGGATGAATGATGTAGGCCATGCACACAATGGAGCACCAGTCAGCAAGGAGCATGAGGGAGCACTCTCCCTTCAGCCCCATAGAGAGGCTGCCAGACATCAAATTGAGTGAGGGACATTGGACACAAAGGTGTATGAGTTGCATCATTCCCACCGCATAAAGTTCAAATGTGGGCAAAGCTGGTCCTTGCTGCTAGCAGTTAGGCCTGTGGTTAATCTCAAGGTCAGTGACAGGAAATGGGAGCCTGAGAGGCTTTCTGGGGGTTCTGTTGCTTCCTCCGGGTGCTGCACACATGGGTCCCAGGGACTGAAGATGCCTCAAGCTGCGCACTTGAGACCTGTGTACTAATCTGTGTGCATGCACATTACCCTTTAACTAAAAGTTTAACACCACCACCCTATACCAGGGTAGCCCAGGTGAGCCTAATTAGGTGGATAGCCCTGGCCTTCAGGGCCGCTAGGCCCAGCCCCATCCCACTCCCTCACTTAAGGGGACACGGCTTCCAGACTTCCTGACTAGGTCACCTCCGTGCTTCAGCCTCCAGAGGCTCTGCAGTTCAATCTCCCCTTTCAGGTATCAGCAGAGCACACAAGAGATCTATATGGGATGTGCCCCCCGCCCAACCCCGCCCCGACCCCCTGCCCCAACTGCCAGAAGTGTCTCCATGACAATATCAGTGCAGTTGTGAAGTCCTTTGCCCTCCAGCCACCTCTGTGGCGTGAATGTTCTCTCTGTCACATCCTCCAACACCATCTGCTTGGCTGAGGACCTGAGCAGCATCATGGCTGGGAGTTCACAAGTGGAGAGGGCTGAGCCTGGCCAGAGTGCACTGGGGCAGGGTGATTTGGATGGCCTTTCCCTTGCAGAGGAAATGAGAAGCCTCACTGCTTTCTTCTGGGCCATCCACCTAGACAGTGCGGCCCTCTCCCCATAGCAGCAGCCCTAGGCCAGCCGCTTCTTCCTCACGTGCTCAGACGGAGGAAGTGAAGTTTGGAAAGGTTAGGGGGCCACGGGGGGCCGCCACAGCTGGGCTGATGGCAGGCTGGAAGCCAGATTGAGGGCATCTGATTCCCAATCCCATCTCTTTCCCACTGAGCCATTACGCCTCGGTTTTAATTTAATTAGAAGAACATTTAATCCCCCCGTGCATTTCAGAGACGGGTTTGAGCCTGGCTGGGGCTATGTGGGGCTCTGACGGGGATCCTATGACTCATGCAGCCCTGTACAGCCCTCCCGGGCGGGCCCCCAGAGGGCTTCCTTGGCATCTCGTGCAGACAGAGGTGGTCTGGAGCTTTGCAGAAGACAGGACACTGGTCTAGAAAGACAAAATGGTCTCATCTGTTCTTGACAAGCCCCTCACTCATCCTTCTGGACACTGGTTCCCAGAATGTCCTTTCTGTCCTTTCCCACCAAAGTTTACAGGGAGAGAAATATGGTGAGGAGCTTAGACACTCACAGAGCTGCAGTGCCTGGTACCCTGGGGTCTGTGGGAGTAGGTCACAGTGGACCTGGATGTCTCCAAAATGTCCCAGGCCAAGCTGGTCCCATCAAAAGAGCTAGCCCCTTGGTCCATGAAGCCAAATTTGGGGCCACCCTTGTGACGTTTGCCCTTATTTCCAGACAGCACAGACTGGCCCTGTCCTTGCTGACAAATGCAGAATTCAGGAGACATTAGTAGTGATGTGGATGAAAGCCAGGCCACAGCGGCCTTGCTGGAAAAGAGCAACTCGAATGTCTTGGCGTGAGATTCTGCAGGGTCCAGGAGAAAGTTGAAGACATGGAAATTCTAATTAACGCACACGGGGCTGTTTTTGCTCAAGGATTTGCGAAGCTGTCATGTCACAAGAGGCCAGGCAAGCACATGCTTGCCAGGGAGGTGCTCACAGTCACCTGGTGGGGGTCTCTGCAGCTTTCCCTCTGCCTTCTTTCCACCCCCTCTGCCCAGCCTCGGGGGTCCTGGTCCTCCCCCATGCCCATCTCAATGGGCCGGGTGCTCCCTGAGTGTCCCTCTGGAGAGTGGGACTGAGGGCGGTATCTGTTAACCTCGAGCTGGGGCTTGCCCATCTAAGATGCCAAAACAGAAGAGACAGGGGCCCTTCAGAGAAACCACATGACTGGGCTGGGCAGAGCCATAGGCTGCAGGGCTTATGGGCCTGTCCTCTTGGGCCGTCTATCTCAGGTATCCATGTGCAACCAATGGGGCAGACGTGTGAATTCCAGGCCAGTCCTGGCTGGCTTGGCAGTTGGGGATGCAGTGTGAGGGAGGATTTCACAAAAATGATTTCAGCCTCCCAGGGTTGCTTGGAGAAGCTCACCCAGGCCACACCTGCACACAGCCCCCAAGTTCAGAGCCGCAGATCCTCAGGCCCCTAGCCCTGTGCCTCAGCACTGGCACAATGTGTCTGCAGTCCTTGCTTCATCTTAGGCAGGGTTGAGTGAGCAGCAATCCTAGGGCTTCTCCATGCCTGGGGCTTTGGGGGTTCTGGGGAGGAAGAGACCAAGAGGGCTATACATGCCCTTCTCCCTCCTGGCACCATTCGAAAGGCTTAGGGAACTGGTACTGAGGGCTTTGAGAGCCAAAGGAGGACACAGCCGTACAGCCTAAGTGTGTCCTGGGGGGTTTACTGAGCAGACGTTGGAAAGATGAATGGAAATCTGGTGGCTGCAGATGGGTGACAAGGGCATTCTAGATGGCAGGTTACCACACGCAAGGCACAGGGATGCACACAGGCATGGCACCGTCCCCACCCACTGTCGTGCCAGTGACCCTTGGTGAGCAGAGGATAGTGAGTGGGTCAGAATCCCAGGAACTCATCCTGGCTCTTGGGGTACAGGGCTCCTCTTGTCATGGGGGTGCTCCCCAACTGCCCATGCAGGCCTACAGTCTCTACTTCCCACCTTTCTCTCAGAAGCCCTGTCATATGGTTCTGGGTGGGAGACACAGGCTCAGGGAGTTTGAGGCTGGCAGGGACTCTCTTGTGCCCCATTCAACCTAGGAAGACAGCTTCTGCCTGAAAGGTGTGTTCGAGGCTGAGTCCTGGCCGCCCAGAGCTGGTTGAGGGTCCTGAGGCTGAGCAGTAGGGCCCACCTATAGGCTGGGGTGCAGCGACGCCACTCTTTATCTCCTGGGTACCCCGTGCCTCAGCTTGTCATGACTCCCTAGCTTGCATCAGGCCTGCTCACCCCCCACCCCACCTCTGGCTAACAGGCCCCGGAAAGAGGAGCTTCGCCCAGCCCCAGGGACCTTCCCGTAATCAAGGCTATAGTGACCTCACCTCTCTGGGGCCCTGCGGGCGGGGAGAGCTCGAGATGGAAACAAAATGTGTCTTTATTTATGTTTTTAATTTGAATTCTGGAACTGGCCCAGCATGGTAATACATTTAACATCAGTAGAATGCTGAAGAAAAATGGAAATGTTTTTTGGTAACTGCCTCCCACCCACTCTGCCCCCTGTGAGACCCCAGCACACATCCCTGTCCCTCACACACACCAGGGCGTGTGCCTCTCTTCCCAGTTCAGGGTCCATGGGGCCAGGCTGCCCACAGGAGCTTCGCTGCATCCCTGAGCAGCTGGAGCCGAATTTAATTATGGGCATCACTGGGCGGGCTGTGCAGGAGGTGGAGGAATGCAGCCCCAATGCGGGCAGAAGACCTGCACGGCCCCCACACCCCTGCCGCCAGGCGGTTTGGGCCCTGAGGAAACAGGGTGCCCACTGCTGCCAGCCTTCTCCCCCAGATGGAGTGGGGCCTCTACCCAGCCTGTATCCCAGAGGAGCCTGGGTTCCTAGGCCCTGACACTGTACGTGCCCACTCTCCCCTTCAGGCCTCTCTGGAGGGACCGTACCCTGACTTCTGAGGATGCAGGAACCCAGCTCCCCTGAAGCCTCAGCCCTGAGTCTTCCCTGACCAGAACACAATGCCTCAAGGTGGCCCCTTTGCAGCAACCTCCTTGTTTTTCCCTCTCCCAGTCCCCTCTTCAGATCCCTCACCCCAAGCCCCATGCCTGGGCTCCTTCCTGCCTTCCCAGGCTGGCTCATATCTAGCAGCCACTTTTGGAACAGCCTGCTCTGAGAGAGGCCTTGGTAAGTTACAGGGCAGGGACCTGGTTGGGTAATGACTGGAGTCTCTGACCTGCCTGGGCCCACTTATCACTGGAGGCCATGGGAGTGCCAACCTGAAAAGGCTGCAGGATCTTGCAGAATGGTAATGTGCCAGACCCAAAGTGGGCAGAGAGCTTGGGGATGGATGTTCAGGTCTCTCAGGCCCTGTCATCCTGGAGTGGAACAAGAAACAGCCCAGTGTCCTAGATGACACAGCCACACTGGCTTGGGGTCACCCTTGGGCAGGTGGGTAACCTCTGGCTCCAGGGAGCTTGGCATGTGCTGATACCAGCACTGGCAGCCCTCACCCCCATAGTGGTGATTTACTGGGCAGCTGCAAGTTTGGCTGTGATCCACATAAGTGCCTGGTCTCTCACCACCTTCACCTGCAGGGGCCTTGCAAGACCCAAGAGTTGGTAAGGCCTGGCTGCCCAGCTAGATGGACTGTGGGTGATGGCCCTCTCCTCCCAGTAGGACTTTTTGCATGTCTGGATGCTGGTCCGTGACCAAGAGAACCAAGGTGAGCGAGAGCTCCAACAGGAGAAGCAAGCAGCCAGAAGGATGAGAAGGGACAGTCCCCTCTCTGAGGGGACAGCCAAGAGGCAATACAGGCACTGCCACCTGTATTGCACACAACATGAGCCACTAAACTAACACTGATCACTTTGGAGGTCCATCATATCCAGGACTTGGTACAGGCCTTGGCCACAGTGTAAGCCATCATTCTGCCTTCTGGTGCTGACCTGTACCTGGGCAGCCCATCTGGCTACCAGCCTGCTCACACCTCTGCTCCTGCCTTTTTACCCAGCCAGGAGGGGCCCAGAAGCTCAGAGCCCTATTCTCAGGGTGTCCATGACTAGTCACCCCTGCTTTCCAGTGATCTGCTGGCTCCCTTGGAGCCTCTTCACACCCTACCCACCATGAGGTACTGCCAACCTCTCTGTGAACTGGGGGGGCCTGGAAAGACAGTGGGCAGGTCCTGTCTGATCATAATTACCCCTTAAGATAGCCACTCCTTCCCTGGAGGTGGCCTCATTCTGGCTACCCAACCCTGCCAGTTCTCTGGTTACACCTGCAGCCCCCAGCACCATGGGTCCCGATTTCCTCAGTGATTTGCAAGGCCAGGCCTTGCACCTGGCTGGCTGCAAAGGCAGGAGGCCCAGGGCCTCACTACGACAAAGACACACATGGCTCAGGACAACCTCCTGACCCCCAGAGAGTCCAAAGAACAAAACACCCTTTAGAAAAATGTTGGTAGAGAGAAGGAGAGTTTCCACAAGTGACCCTCAGAAGGGCCGCGAGTGTCACTCACAGATCTTGACACAAAGACATTTATCAAGGGGAATCCCCAACGGGTTAGCAGCCAGAATGGGACTGTGGCCAGAATGGACTTGGGTGCCCCACTGACCCCGCTGCACGGCTGTCACCGCTGGGCACCCCAGCGGGGAGTCACATGTCGCAGGGGAATCACACCGTGGCCGGGCACCGGGGATTGGCCTGGCCATGCCGTGACGGCGGGGGAGGACGGGCATGCATCCCAGGCCAGCTGTGCCTCAGGGGAAGGCCAACTGGAAGGCGTGGAAAATCAGCCATTTCCTCCACCTGAAGGAGCCCCTGAGGACAGCAGCAGCAACTGGCAGACTGCACCCGGCATCTGCCCCATGGCTTTGGCCAGGGTTCCATGGGGAAATGCTAAAAAACAAAGTCGTCTCTTTTTTGGGGGGCAGGGGAGGGGGCTGGGGGAGAGAAAAACAATCTCAGACTCTCAAAGCATGAAAACAAGTGGAAAATGATCAGTCTGGTTTTCCATAAGTCAAAACAAGAGGATCATGTTCCCAGGCTCAGTGGGAAGTGCCCTTGCTCTCCTCTCTTGCCTGGTGCCTCCGTGTTGGGGCCAGGCAGACGGCAAGTGGTGGGCACTAGGCGAGTAGATAGCACTCTGGCCAGAGAGCAAGGCTTCCCCAGCACCAAGTCTGACTCCTTGAGCTCCAGTCCCCTCCAGCCCAGCCCTTCACGCACATGTAGGCACTCACTGTGAGATGTGGGTGATGGGTGTCAGCAGAGTCTCCCCTTCCAGGTCCAGGTCCTCGGCGAAGCTGTTGGTTCTCATGAAATGGGGCATGCTCACTTCCAGCAGTGTTGGGCTCTTCCTTACTGAGGAGAAAGTGTGGGGACAGCACGTTAGGCCTCCCACCCAACCTGCCAGTGCTGTGGAGCCAGGCCTGTGAGCTCCCAGGGCCAGGTGAGGAGTGGAGCTTGTGCCTGGAAGCTCCAGCCCTGACAATCAGTTTTATAGTTGGGTGTTGGGGTGGGTGGGTGTTTAAGATGGCCCCAAAGTGCCTGACACCTCAGTGTCTGAGGAGAATAAAGGCCAGTGAATCATCTTCGGAGTGGTAACTGTGCCTGGGGCTGTGCTCAGGTGTCCAAGACTCTCCCCACCTCAGGTTCTGGGCCTCTTCCCATGTTCACAACTGACACTTGGGTCAAGAATAAAACAGAGGTGACAGGCACAGGCCTGGTAAGGGACAACAGCTCCCACCACCATACATTGTCACACTCATACATTGACAGAGTAGTGGGTCAGGAAAGATGGGGTGATAGGACCTCTGACCCATGAGGAATGGCAAGCCTGGGAGGTGGGGGCAGCCACAGAACTCCTTCCTCAAAACACGATGCTACATCAACCAGTTGTACCCCCAATGAGGCACAGGAGTCCCTCCAACAGCTGGCTTCACATTATGATTCCTGGGCCCACCTCTGCAACTTTGACACAGGAGCTCAGGATACTGATCCTTATCACTCCCCACTCTCTGTTGACACTATCAGTATTTGCTCTTGGCTTATATTTGTCTTCATTTAAATATTTTATTGCAAAAGGATTAAGTACTCATCTGTGAGAAGTGGAATAATTCAAAGATTCACAATGGCTTTCCTCCCCCAAGGTCATCAGTGTTAACTGCCAACTAGATCCCTAGCCCACCCTCTCTGCTCATCCGAGCAGCAGATGCCAGGTGGGAGTTGCTTTTATGCACATGGGATGTCACTGTGACTCTGTTCCTGTCACTCTGTAACATAAGCTCATTTCATTTTTCTCTAGGTATATAGGCATGGATTTAATTATTTTAGTCATTACATAATAGTCCACAGTTTAGATTGGCCACAGCTAACCATTCTGTATATCATGGACATTCAGGCTCTTATAGTTTTAAGCTGCTTAATTATTCAGACTATGATGCCATATTCATCTTTATTCTTAAAAGCTGACATACTGGAGCAGGGTGAGAGGGTGTGTCCTTAGTAATTTTAATAAATGTTGCTAGATTGCTTTCCCAAGAAGTTGTAGCAATTCAGGCTCCCCCAGCTTTCCCACATCCATGCCTGAATGAAGTGTTGAATGAAGCCCGAATGAAGGTTGTCAGCACCTTTTGCAGGGACTATCAAGCATGGATGAAAACTGAGGCATTGCTGTTATTTCCATCTGTGTTGAATACCTTTTATGGGCTTGGCATCTGTTTGGGTTTCCTCTTGCAGAATTGCCTGTTCATGTCCTTTGCTCACTTTTGCTTATCACTTTGTAGGAATTTTCTATACATTACAGACATTAACTCCTTGTTATATGAGGCATAGATAGCTTCCCCAGTCTGTTTTTTCACCTGAATTATGTTGCTTTTATCCTAGAAAATGTTTTATGTTTTTAAAGTGATACATCTTTTGCTTTATAAAAAAGGAAGGTTTTCCCACATCAGCGTAATACAATTCTCTCTTAAATTTATTCCTAATTTCACTATTTGAATGTGTTGTATGTATACATATGTATGTGTGTAAAAGTTTTAATGCATTTAGTATCTATGCCTGATAGGACAGATGATCAACAATTAGAAAATGAAAATTTAAAGGGTACTACATACAAACTTACTGAAAAAAAATCTAAAATAAAACATAAAACCATAAAATATCTTGAAGAAAACATAAGAGAAAATCTCCAGGACCTTGGATTTGGCAGTGAATTCTGAAATACGAAACCAAAAGTTTAACTCGTAAGAGAAAAAGAATCAACAAATTGGACTTTATCAAAATTAAAAGCTTTTGCTGTGCAACAGACACTGCTAATGGAATGAAAAGACAAAGCACAGACTTGGAAAGAATATTTGCATATCACCTATCAGGTCAAGGACTTGCACTCAGAATATATAAAGAATGCTTACAACTTGACAATAAAGTGAACAATCCAATTTTAAAAATGGATTATAAATAAGCACATGAAAAGATACATAATTAACATAAATATGGAAATGCAAATTAGAATCACAATGAAATTCCATAAATTAAAAAAAAAATTCAAAACCTGACAATACCAACCACTCTTGAGGATGTGGAACATGTAGAACTCTCATATGTTACTGGTGGGAATGCAAAATGGCACAGTGACTTTAGGAAATAGTTTAGCAATTTCTTATTAAGTTAAACATACACATACCACATGACCTATCGGTTCCTTTCCCACCCAAGTGAATTGAATTTTTATGTTCGCAAAAACCTGTACATAAATGTGTATAGTAACTCTGCTCATAATTACCAAATACTGGAAACAATGAAGATGTCCTTCAACAGGTGAATGCATAAACAAAATGTATATATTCATGCAATGGAATACCACCCAGCAATAAAAAGAAATTAACTAATGATTTATGCAACAACATGGATGAATCTCAAATGCATTTTGCTAAGCAGTGAAAGAAGCCAGATGCAAAAGAATACATATTATAGGATCCCATTTATAGGACATTCTAGAAAAACAAAACTACAGGGACATAAAACAGATCAATAGCTGCCAGTGGTTAGGGGAGAAGTACTTGACTTCAAAAGACTCACCCCAGGGTATTTTTAGGGGTATGGAACTTCTGTGAATGATACTGGATTGTGGACACATGACTCCAGACATCTGTCAAAACCCACAGAACTGAATCTCAAAGAGTGGATTTTACTGTATGCAAATTTAAAAAATTAACCCGGATGTTGGAGGACCCTACGATGAAAAGCAGACTATGATGAGCGTGTTACAAACAAATGACATAGCAGTGAAAGGAAAGGAGGAGGAGGAGCTGGCATATGTTGCTTTCAAAAACACTGTTTTGACTGGACACTCTATGGTTAAAGCAAAAGTCTGTCCTAAACACTCTAATCTAGTAGGTAAATTTGCTTCACATAGGGTACTACGTGTACAATAGGGTTACACAAATAAGTAAATGAACTGTAGGTAATGGGAGCCAGGTTTCTAGCTGTCAGAGAAAAAGCTATAAATAAGTTGTGGGGGAGGGGGCAAGGATGAACTCTGGTCAGAAATGTCAGTATGAACTCATGGTTAGCTTTATATAGATACAGATATGTAAAGATGTATGTGTACTCAGGTTACATACATACATATATTTCCTAGCTCTGTCCACTGAGAGGAGACTGAAGCAATGATACCCTAGTAGCCACGAGCATACCCCGTGCCTAGATCCAGGTTTTCTATTCATTCTCCAGGGAGCCAGGGCTCTCTGGATGAATGGATGATTCTAGGGCTAGGGTAGGGAAAATAAAAGATGAGCCTGAAGTATTGTCAAGTGCTAGAAAAGAAATGCTTAAAAATAAATGAAAAGGATGGCGGGGGGCACATCAAAAGGACACATGAACCCACCAGTGGCCACAGCTTGAACAATTTGAGCAACAAAATAAATAATATTGGACTATAACTCAAAAAATAAATACTCCCAAATCCACACTGATAAAATTAAATAAACAATTGGAGGAGAGGGACAAATCTTCCTTATAAAGGAATTCCAAATAAAAAATGTAGAAGGAATGAGGAAAATAGAAGTACATCACGGTAATATTTGCTGCAGGAAAACGATCCATGAATGAATGCTGAAATTAGTTAGTGAAACTCAGAAACTTCACAGTTTCTTCCTTGAAATGTATTTTAATTGCTGTGGTAGTTTTAACATATTTGCAGATTTTTTTTGATACTCTCCTGCAGGAGGTAGAGTTGAACCCCTCCCTTCCCCACCTTGAGTGTGGGCTATACTTAGTGACTCGCTTCTAAAGACTAAGCTATGGAAAGGGAAAAACAGCTATTCACTTACAGTGGAGGAGCCTGGCCGACACCACTTTAAACGAGTGGCTCAAGGTTAATATTACCAGTGATAAACCATGTTGATGTCATGTTCCACAATGAGGAAAGCATCTCACCTCACTGGCCTCCTTCCCCTAAACCTATAACCCTGGTCTAGTCCTGAGAAAACACCAGACAAATCCAAACTGAGGGACAATGACACCTGACTGGTATTCTTCAAAAGTGTCAAGTTAATGAAGAACAAGACTGAGAAGCCCGTCACCGATCAGAGATGACAATAAATGTAATGATCGATCCTAGATGGGATCTTGGAACAGAAAAAGGACATTAGTAGTTAAACTGGGGAAATCCAAATAAATTTATAACTCTAGCTTAATAGTGTACCAATGTTAATTTTTTAGTTTTGGTCAATGTACCATGGTTATATAAGATGCTAACATTAGGGGAAGCTGGTGAAAGGGATGTGGGTACTCGGTACTATTTTTGTTTCTCTTCTGTAAATAAAAAATGTGAGGTAACAAGAGAAAACAGAACCTGTATACAATAGCACAAAAGAATATTAATTATCTAACTAAGTATATGCAAGAACTCTGGAGAAAATTGTAAAACTTTAGTAAGAGACAATGAAGAAGATATAAATGGAGAAATATGCCTTCATTCCAATGACTAGAAGACTCAATACTGAAAAGATTATCTCAAAATCTGAATAAATCTCTCCAAATCTTAATAAAAATCTCAAGGCTTCTGTGTGAGAACTTTGGCAAGCTGATTCTAACTGCGACTTGGAAGTGCAAAAAGCCAAGAATTGGCAATATTCTTGAAGAAGAACAAGGTGGGAGAACTTGCTGTACCAAACATCAGTACTTCTTCCAAGGCAGTGGTCATTAGGGCAATGTGGTATTGACACAGGGAGAGACAAATAGGCCAATGGGACAGGATTGAGCATTGGGAAACAGCCCACACAAATATGGAAGCTTGCTGTGTATCAGAGGTGGCCTGCACATCCTGGGAAGAGCATGGACTTTTCAATCAAATGTTCAGGAGCAGTTGGATACCCACACTGGAAAAACATTAAGTTGGACCCTTAATTACCTCACATCATATACCAAAAATTCATTCTTGTCATTCTAGGGGATTGAAGACCTAACTATGAAAAGCATAACTATAAAGGTCACATGACTGAATATAGAAGAATATCTTAATGACATCAGCATTAGGATGGTTTTTTTTAAAAGAAGCAATAACCATGAGAGAGAAGACTGAGTAATTTGACATTAGAGTTAAGACCCAATCATCAAAATACACCTTAAAGAGTGAAAAGACAGTGCCCACAAAATGCAAAGGACTCCTACAAATCAATAGGAAAAATATAAATGACTTAATAGAAAATGGGCAATAGACAAAGTAGCACATCACAAAAGAGGAATCCAAAAGGCTGATGAGCATGTGGAAAGGTGTTGCGCCTGACTAGCAATCAGGGAAATGTAAATAAACTCAGGAGCTCATGGCCCGTGGGGGCGAGTGGCAGACTTCCAGCAGGAAACCACACAGACATTACTTAGTCACAGCCAGGAGAAGGGCTCAGAGTGAAAGGGCTCTGTGCCCATGACATCCTTAGAGAGACCAGGGAAGGACCTGTAAGGCTTGAAGAATGTGCAGATTTGGAGACCCACAGGTCTGGGACCTGGCAGAAGCATGTTACTGCCCCCATTTTAGAGATTTGGGGCTGAGATTCAAGTACCCTAGGTTATATAATGCAGTTGTCAAGTGACAGAGCTAAAACTTCATCCAGGATTCAATTTTTTTTAAAGGAAGGAAGAAAGAAAAAACATATTTTGATGTTTGCATCACTTGTATGTAGAAGGAACGATGGAGCACAGGCTAGAACGTAGAGTTGCTTTCCAAACACCCATGATGACAAGTGCCCATCTCCAAAGCCTGAGGGCCAAGGGTGAGCCACCTGACCCCTGAGGAAGGTTCTGTCCTGGTGTTTTAGGAAATTAAAATGTGCACATCAGTTGGCTGCCCAGAGTGGGTGGGACCTGCACCTGCCAGAGAGGAATGTGTGCTTTTTGGTTTAATCCTGGGAACGGCATATGGGGCCCCTATAACAAGGGGCAGAGAAGGCCTCCACAGATTTGTTTTTCCAATTCAAGAGGAGAGGTTATTGTCTGCTGGCTTGTGTGTTGGAGACTGTGGGGCGTGCTTTCTCCACCACAGGGAGGCAGTGACCAGAGCTGCCACCTCTTCCCTGTTTTCACCTGTGGTCGTAGCCAGGTCAGGCATCTAGGAGAGCATGGAGGGGAGCTGGGGGTGGGTGGGTGGGGATTCAGCTCTTTCCAGACACACTGGTGCTGCCTCTTTCAGGCCAGGGCTTGAGGGCAAGTGCTGTGCCCTAACAGGTCTTGCTTGTCACCCCCACCTCTGAAGTGGGTATTTCACAGCCTGAACTCACAGCTGCAGAGAAGGTTGAGCCCATGGTGTACTTGAAAGGGCAGTTCATCTGGATATCCAGGCTCTGCAGGAGGTACCGGAGCAATGCCAGGTGCCCTTTGCTGAACTGCCTAGAGTGGCTGGCCCTGGGGACAAAGAGCACAGCATCCTGGTGACAATGAAGTCACACTTTCCTAAGACAGTCCTGGTTTTTGATGCTTTAATTCTTTGGCTGCCTTTGCTTTGTCAAGGCCAGGATCTGGGCCTAAATTTTCAGGGCAGAACAAAACAATTTTGTTTTCTAGGAAAGTGGGAGGTCTGGGATGGCAAAGGCAGCCTCGGGCGTGGCGACTACCCCAGCTGGGGACGCTGGCTGCCAAGTCTCACCCTCTCAAGAGAACAGGAATCAAACTCAGCACAGCATCCTCCTTTCTAGTCAGTGGTCCTGCTCGATAGGGGGATTTGAATTTTATTTTTTTAAAAATACAGGCACAGAAAAAAGACTAGAAGGAAACAGATCCAAATGTTAACTTTGTCTTTGGGTGATTTTCATTTCCTTCCTTATTGTGTCTGTGTTTTCTATTTTGCATGATACTTTTCCAAGTCAAGAAACAATAATTTGTGGAAGTCTCCTGTATCTGTGCCTTGCTCTCTGGCCCACGACCTTGCACATCTTATCCTAGAGTTGCCAGAATATGTCCCTCCACCTGGCCTGGAGCTGCCCATGAGGCTACATAGAGCTCTCCTATCATGAAAGTCTTTGAGGCTTTCTGTTCCCAAGAAATTCTGGTCTCACTTCCTCTGCCTTCTCATCGAGCCCCAGACCCCTCCCTGCCCAGATTAGGTCAGCATTCAAGCCCCAAGTCCAGCCTATGACAAAGCTCAAAGCTCCAGCCCATCTCTGCTGCCCTCTGCCCTCAAGAGACTCTCGCCAGTGTCTGGGCCCTTCCTAGTAACTTCACCCAACCACTCACCCCCTGCCCTTCCCCTCCTGATTGATTAAAATCCGGCCTAATCTCCCAGGTGTAACCCAAGCCCTCTTCCACAAGCTTTCCAGGGCTCCGGAGATTGCCCCCTCCCCTGTACGGCTGCAGGGCTTATGTGTGCCTGGCGCTCAGCACGGGAACCTTGCCTTCTGCCTCACCCATGTCTCCCCAGGGTTTGGCACAGGCGAGTTCCCTGAGCCAGCCTACTTCACAAGGATGAACAGAAGCTCTCCCTATCCTTTGCAAGTAGAAGCCCCCTCCCTGGCCCCCTCAAGAAATCTCCCCCTCTCAGTGGATTCACCAAAGCCCTGCGGATCCTGCACTGTGAAGGAGAAGCCCTCCCCAGGGGCATCCGGACAGCTGCAGCCAGGCCCTGCGTGACATTGCTGAGCCGCAGCCCCACAGCCTGTGCCAGCTGCCCATGCCCGGCTCATAGACCCTGAGCCAGAGTGGCCCCGCCACCACCTGTGTCTCCACTCAGAGGCGAGAAGTAAGGGACATGGATGGAAAGTGTAAAAGCCATTCCCACAACAGCTGCCAGGAACAAGGCGAGGAATGGAGTGAAAATGTATATTCACAGCTGGCACCCAGTTCCGCTTAGGAAAATACCTTGCTTGAGTGGACACCTGTTGTTTTTGCCTGCCAGCAGCCAGGCCTGGCTTCTGGGAACAGCTTCTCAAATCTTCCTTAGGGGGCTCTTCCTTTCCCACTCCTAGTGTGCAGTGTTTAGGTACCCTCTGGCCATCCCCAAAGGGGTCCCTGTGGACCTTGCCTCAGCCATCGGAGGTACAGCTGCAGGTCCAAGGATGGCTTGTACCCCAGCTGAGGCCAATAAGAACCTGGCCTTAGATTCTGGCAGGAATCCTGGAAGAGATGACCTCGTTCTGCTGGGCTTCCTGAGCTGTTGAATGCAAGCTGGTGGCCATTTTGCCCCTTTTAGAAAGTAGCTGCCTAAGGATACAGCCATCCCATGGGGCCAATGGATAGAGAGCAAGGGAAAGGGAGAACAAAAGAGGGAACGGGAAGGGAGAAGGGGAGTGCAAGAGGGGAGAGTGAGAGCAAGTGAGCAAGATCATCTCAGCTCTGGGGTCCAGCTGTGTCTGAAACAGCTGGGTCCAGCTGTGTGAGCCAAAAAATGTCCCTTTTGTGCTTAAGCTTGTTTGAGTTGGGGTTCCATCATTTGTTACCAAGAGAGTCTTCAGGAATGTGCATGACAAAGTTGGGGGTGAGGTGTGAGCCTACGGACATGGGCCTGGGGGCAGTCAAGGTTACAAAATAGCTAAACTGGTCTGCACTGCCCCCACTAGTTTTCAGGGCAGAGGGCAGGGAGAAGGCTTGTGGGAAAGAAGCTGGCCTGAGGCCAAGGCCCTGGCCCTAGCCCTGCAACAGCACAGGGAACTCTTGGAAAGGGATTTCCTAAGGTGGGACATTGGCTTTCTACTGCTGTGATGCAAGTCCTCATCTCCCCAAACCTTCAGTGAGCCTCTCTCCACACCCTGCTGTATGAGGATGTTTGATGCAAATTATGGAACATGTTGGATCTCACATTGGATCAAAGGTGTGCAGAATAGATTTGCCTCAAGCATGACAGTGATGTGACACAGTCAAAGATGACTTCCGGAATCCTGAGAAGTCCCAGGGAGGATGCTGGGCTTTCCAAAACCTAAGTTTAGGATACTGAGGACCACACCCCACACCCCAAACACTTCTCCTTAGAATAAGTATAGCAAGCCTCAGCATACACAAATCTCAGAGTGAACGGAAATGTCTCTGCAGGCCCAAGGGTGGGGTCTGAGTAGCGGGGGCGCTGAGGAAGACAGGCAGTGACAGAGCCAGGACAGGGTCAACCCTGAGCGTGAGTGAGCCCAGGAAACGGAAAGAGAGCAACACAGCCACCCACACAACTAAAATCGACCCACCCGGGTCTCCATGCTGCAGGAAGTCACTGTCTAGGTCTCCCAAGACACATTTTCAGGGGAAGGTTCCAGGCAGCAAGAGCAGCCCTAGGAAACTTTAATATACAATGGAATCTGGGTTAAGCACTATCTTCTCCAAGAGTTGAGCTCACAGGACATTCCCCAGAAACCTCTGGAGAGGTGGGGAGGAAAGTTTCTGGAGGTCTTTGGATGGAGAAAACAAAAAAGTGGCCTTGATTTTCAAGACAAAATTACACAGGAAGAAAAAAATGTTTTTAATCTAATTAAGAGCGATCTTTTCACCTTCATCACAACATCGCGGAAATGTGCCAGTTCTTAACTTCACACAATAATCAAAGCAATTAGTGAGGGAGAAGCCTTGGAAACCGGTGCAGATGTTCTCAGAATGTTTAATGGGGAAATGAGTTGCAGGCCTCATTCTCAGCATCCGGCTCCAGGCCCTGGCTACCAAATCCAGACATCTGCTGGGGCCCCACCCCCAGGCCCCGAGGGCGCGGGCTTGAGAAACACAGGTCCCTTCCCAGGCCACCTCCCAGCCAGGCCAGAACTGGGGCCGAGAGGCTCCCCATAGCTTCTCAAATTGGAGCCTGGACACAGTCAGAGCCACCCCAGAACTGGGGGGAGGCTCAACATCAAAATTATGTTAACAACTGATGTCAAAAGTAATCAACTCAGCTTGGCTCCCCCACTGCTGCTGGCTGCAGGAGGGCTGTGAGTAGGAGGAGAGCAAGCGGCCCCAGAGGGACCCTCGGCTATGACCCCCTCAGCCTGAACACTACTTCAAGAAAAGATGTGGTGGCATCTGTCTGGTATGGTCCTGTGGGCTCCATTCCAATGCTAATGGACTCTTAAGGGGCCCAGGAATCAAAATGGTCAACACTTGAGGAATTTCCAGTAATCAGAGAAAACGTATAGAAATGAGGATGATGCTTACTTAGGAAATGGCCTATTACAGGAAACAGAGGGCCACGTGGCTAATGTCAGTGAGCTGTGGGAGAGACAGAGACCCCAGGTGGGGCAGGCAGATCAGCAAATCTTGGAGGACCTGCTATGTGGCAGGCACTGGAGACATGGAGGTAAAGAACACAATATCCATGTTCTCAGGGACACACTCATATGCCCTTAGCATTCACGTTCTTCACACTGACAGCTTCTTAATGCAAGCCCACCAGATACTTTCATAAGCACTACCTCTGACTTCAGGCACTTGCTGAGCTGCACACAGGGCAGGCCAAAAGGAATGGAAAGTGAGCCACCACCGGGGCAGCACTCACTAGTGAAAGATAAATACCCCAGCTCTCTCAGCCGCTTGTAGAACTCTGAGGAGTGTTCTGTGCAGCTTCCCAGCTGCCCACCATGAAGCTCTTTCTCAATAAGTGACCAGCACAGCTTAATTCCTGAATTAAGCTGTGTGTGCTGTGAGACTGACACAAGACAGGGTGACAGGAAGCTGTCGGAACATTTGAGTAGGGAAGCAGCAAGATCCACTGTACATTTAAAGAACTCCCTTGAGCTGTTATGTGAAGAATGGAGTACAGGAAGCAAGAGTGGAAATCAAGAGACCAGTAATGAGGTATGGACAACAATGTAGGCAGAGAAATGGTGGTGGTTTTAACCAGGGAGATAGCTGGAGAGACTAGGTGTGGGCAAATCCAGAGAGTTGATAAGACATACTGATAGATTAGAAAGGGGTACTAAGAAAAAAGGATAATTTAAAAAAGACTTTCAGCCAGGCTTGGAGAAAAATAGCATGCTGCTCCTCATCCCCTCTGACTATAAATCATCTCACTCATCCTCCCCTAAAAGCATAAAATCAGTAAGTGCAAATAAAACCACATGACCCATGCTGTTAGCAGTATTAGGAGAAAGAATACCTTCAAATTGCCTGTGGGTAGCAAAGTGAGCCAAATTCCAATAGCATTCTAGTCCCCTGCCCAGCACTGCAAAACTGCATACAGAATCAGAGAAGAGGCTTAAAATGCTTTGTCAAAAAGTTTGAAGGTAGTTAGCAACATCAGCAAAAATAGAGGAGTAAGTACCTCTAAGGAGCCTTCTTGCCTTCACAGACATCCTAAGCACCAAGCAGCCTAAGCCACTGATGAACTTGCAGATACCACTGATGTGGATTATAGTCTAATTAATTGTAGAGACACCACACTTCTGCACTGAACCAGAACCAAAGCCAAAGCACCCTACCCAAATGATACTACAGACGCGTGTACAGGAAAAGTCCTTACTAAGGCTACTCCATAAAATTGGAAGTCTCTGTTATTCCAGATATGCAGATATCAACTTGGGGACACAAAAAACTTGGGGGGAAAAAAACAAGAAAACATGACTTGCCAAAAGAACACAATAATTCTCCAATAATAGACTCCAAAGTAAAGGAAATCTTAAGGAAACCCAATGAGATACAAGAGAACACAAATAGACAATACAAACATATCAGGAAAACAATTCATTATCTAAATGGGAAATCCAGCAGAGTTAGATATGAAAAAGAACCAAACAAAAATCCTGGAGGTGATAAATTAAATGAATGAAATAAAAAATACAATTGAAAGCTTCAAAAGCCGGCTAAGTCAAGCAGAAGAAATAATTTCTAAATTTGAAGACAGGTGTTTTGCAATAAACCAGACAGATTTAAAAAATAACAATAAAAAAGAATGAAGAATGCCTGCGTGACATATGAGACACTATTAAGCTAACAATATTTCACATTTTGGGAGTTCCAGAAGAAGTGTTGGGATAAGGACCAGAAAATCTATTTAAGAAGATAATACCTGAAAACTGCCAAAGTTTGGGAGAGAAAGAGACTAACAGATAAAGGAAGCTCACAAATCCCTAAATAGATTCAACCCTAAAAGGGCCTCTCTGAGGCACATTTTCATCAAACTGTCAAAAATCAAAGAGAGAATTTAAAAAACAAGAGAGAAGCATGAAGTCACATATAAGGGAATCAACAGCAGATTAACAGATTTTTCAGCAGAAACCTTCTAGGCCAGGAAAGAATTGAATGCCATATTAAAAGTGCTGCAAGGTGGGGAAAAGCTCACAAAATTGCTAGCCACAAATACTATACCCAGCAAAGCTATCCTTCAGAAATGAAGCAGAATGAGGGAAGAAATTTTGCCTCCCTCAGACAAGCAAAAACTGAGGGAATTCATTACTACTAAATCAGCCCCACAAGAAATGCTTAAGGGAGTACTACATCTGGAAGTAGGAGGATGATATCTACCATCATGAAACTACAAAAGCATAAAACACTAGTAGAGCAGATACACAAATGAGAAAGGAAAAGGAATAAAAGATTATCACTACAGAAAACCAAAAAATTGCAAAGAAAAACAATGAGAGGAAACAAAAGTATACAAATCAGTCAGAAAACAATAAAATGACAGGAGTAAGTCCTCACCTATTGATAACAATCTTGAATGTAGGTAATTTAAATTTCCCAAATGAAAGATAGATACTGGCTAAATGAATTAAAAAAATAAAACCCAATTACATGCTGCCTATAAGAAACTGACTTCACCTGTAAAGACACCCATAGACTGTAAGGGAATGGATAGAAAAAGATATTCCACACAAACAGACACCAAAAGCATGCAGGAGTAGACAGACAAAAAATACTGAGTCAAAAAAAAAAAAAAAAAAAAAAAGAAAAAGAAAAAAGAGACAAAGGAGGTCATTATATAATTATAAATGGATCAATTCAGCAAGAAGATATAACAATTATATATGCAACCAACAACACTGGAGTACCCAGGTATATTAAACAAATATTATTAGTGCTAAAGAGATAGACCCCAATACAATAATAGTTAGGGATGGCAACATTTCATACTCAGCATTGGACAATTCATTTGGATGGAAAAATATCAACAAGGAAATATTAGATTTGAACTGCTGCTTCGTTAGCACACAGCACATTCTCCAGGATATACCATATGTTAGGACACAAAACGGGTCTCAATAAATTTTTAAAAGTCAAAATCTTATCAAGTATCTTCTCAGACCACAATGGAATAAAACTGGAAATCAATAACAAGAGGAACTTCTGAAATTGAACAGATACACGGAAATCAAACTACATGTTCCTGAATGACCACTGTGTCTATGAAGAAATTGATTTTAAAAATTTAAAAATTCTTTGAAACAAATGAAAATAGAAACACAGCATACAAAAATGTATAGGGTACAACAAAAGAAGTGCTATGAGGGACATTTATTTCAATAAACACCCACATCAATAAGGTAGAAAGTTTTTAAACAAATAACCTAATAAACGCATCTCAAGGAACTAGAAAAGCAAGAACAAATCAAACCTAAAATTAGAAGGAAATAAATAGTAAAGATCAGAGCAGATCTAAATGAAATAGAGATAAAAGGTAAAAAAGACAAAAGATCAATGAAATGAGGCCTCCCCCCCACCCCCCGAGACACGGTCTCACTCTGTCACCCAGGCTAGAGCGCAGTGGTGTGATCTTGGCTCACTGTAACCTCTGCTTCCTGGGCTCAAGCAATCCTCCTGCCTCAGCTTCTGAGTAGATGTGCAGCACCACACCTCGCTAATTTTTTTTTTTTTTTTTGGTAGAGATGGGGGTTTGCCATGTTGCTCAGGCTGGTCTCAAACTCCTGGACTCAAGCGATCGGCCTGCCTTGGCCTTCCAAAGTACTGGGTTTACAGGTGTGAGCCAACAAACCCAGCCAAAAAACTGATTTTTTGAAAAGAGAAAATCAATAAACCATTAGCTAGACTAACCAAGAAGACCCAATAAATAAAATCAGAAATGAAAAAGGAGACTTACAATGGACACCACAGAAATACAAAAGATTATTAGAGACCATTATGAACAACTATATGTCAACAATTAGAAAACCTAGAGGAAAGAGATAAATTCCTGGACATATATAACCTCCCAAGATTGAACCAGGAAGAAAAAAAATCTGAACAGAGCAATAACAAGGAATGAGATTGTATCAGTAATAAAGTCTCCCAGTAAAGAAAACCTCAGGATTGCACGGGTTTTCTACTGAATTCTACCAAACCTTTAAAGAACTAACATGAATTCTTCTCAGACAATTCCAAAAGACTGAAGAGAAAGGAATTCTCCCTAACTCATTCTGTGAGGCAAGCAGTATCTTGATACCAAAACCAGATAAGGACACAATAACAGCAAAAAAGAAAACTACAGGCCAATCTCCCTGATGAACATAGATGCAGAATCCTCAGAAACAAAACACACACACAGACACACAAACTAGCAATCTGAATCCAATCGCACATCAAAAAGATAATACACCATAATCAAGTGGGATTTATCCCAGGGATTCAAGGATGGTTCAACATATACAAATCAATAAATGTGATACATCACATTAACAGAAGGAAGGACAAAAAAATACATGATCATCTCAATAGATGCAGAAAAAGCATCTGATAAAATTCAAAATCTCTTCATGATAAAAAAAAAAGCTCATCACATAATGTCTAGAAGGAACATAACTCAATGAAGGTCATATATGACAAACCCACAGCCACCTGGGGAAAAGCTAAACACCTTCTCTCTTAGAACTAGAACAAGACAAGGATGCCCACTTTCACTATTCTTATTCAGCAGAGTAAGAAAAGTCCTCACCAGAACAATTAGGCAAGTAAAAGAAAAAGGGTATCCAAATTGGAAAAGAGAATGTCATATTGTCCTTTGCAGATGGCATAATCTTATACATAGAAAAACCTAAAGATTCCACCAAAATCTTTTAGAACTGGTAAAGGAATTCAATAAAGTTGCAGGATAAAAAAATCAACAAACAAAAATTAGTAGGTGTGGACATGATGGCTCATGCTTGTAATTTCAGCACTTTGAAAGGATGAGGCGGGTGGATTGCTTGAGCCCAGGAGTTTGAGACTGTCCTGGGCAACATGGCAAAACCTCATCAGTACAAAAATGAGCTGGGCGTGGTGGCCTGCACCTGAAGTTCAGCTACTCAGGAGGCTGAGATGGGAGGATCACTTGAACCTCGGAGGTGAAGGTTGCAGTGAGCAGAAATTGCACCATTGCACCCCAGCCTGGGCAACAGAGTGAGACCCTGTCTGCACTCCCCTGCCTCCCCCAAAAAATCAGTAGCATTTCTGTGAAACAGCAAATTAGCCAAAAGAGAAATGAAGAAAGCAATCCCATTTGCAATAGCTACAAAAAAAAGCAAAGCTTAACCAAGGAGGTGAAAGATTTCCACAATGAAAACTATAAAATACTGATAACAGTAATTGAAGAGGCTACAAAATTTTTTGAGACATCCCATGCTCATGGATTGAAAGAAAAATGTTAAAATGATCATATTTACCTATAGCAATATACAGATGCTATGAAATCCCTATCCAGATATCAGCAGGGGCTTCAAGATGGCTGACTAGAGGCATCTGGCACTCACCTCCTCCACAAAATATAGCAAGTAGGTAACCACAGTTTATATAGATCGCCTCTGAGAGAATGCTGGAATTCAACTGAGAAGTAATAAGAAAAACCCAATGCAAGGGATAAGAGGGGAGTCAGGCAGTCTGCTTCTATGGGACTGGCTGGGATCATGAAGAGACTCCTCGATGTGCAGAAAGGTAAGTAAGTGAGCCCCTAGTGGTCCACATTCCCACAGCAGACTCCTGAAATCCTAGTCAGAGAACCCCCTGACCCATAGATGCCTTGAGACTAACAAGAGGCTACCTACAGACTGTGAAATGGCAATGAACAGCTCCCAGAGAGGGAGATCACCCTGAATCCTCAGGCAATTCACACATCCCCTGAATCCTCAGGCAACTTCAGGAAAGTCCCATTTTGATAGCCCAACCCCCACCAGACTGCATCTGCTGTGGGCCCCACATCCCTCTATCTCATCCCTGGAGCCCCATGGACATCCCTTACACAAAGCTGGTTGCCACTCCTGACTGCTCCCTCCAGGCCAAAGCATGAGCCATTGGCAATACTCTGCTACCTCCGAAGCAAGGCTGCCATGAGGAAAGGTGACCCTGCCCATAGTCACCACCTGGGGCCGAAGCATGCATTGCCCAACTGCCTGTTTATAGCTGCTGCCACTGAAAGCAATCCCACTCAACTTCCCCAGGAGTAGGGCTGCAATAGAGTTGCTGCTGCCCCAACATGAGCATTCAGCAGGGTATACAGGGATCTTCCTGTGCCTGCCTACCACAGTCAGTACATTCTTGCATTACTGGAGGGCCTCAGGACAGGCCCACCTGGCCTGGTCCCACCCTCTTTTCTCCCAGTGCCAGCGCATACCATCTCTGGGCCTAGGGATCACCCTGCCCTATCCAGTATTGTTGGCACCTGAGCACTCCTGGGGGCTTGAGGACTGCCCTACCCAACTGACCATTACCACCACAACTGGCATTCACTTGAATTTGCCACCTGTGGGCCTTGGGACAAGCTCATCCAGCTTATCCCAGCCATCCCAATACCAGCATGGACACCTTGGGAGGCAGAAGATTGTTCTGCCACTGCTACTGCCATTGCCCAAGCCATATCTGCTGCTCAGAGCTCAAGGACCTACCCACCCTGTGGCCCAGCTCTGTCATCATTGGCACCTGAGCAAGTTGCCTGGAGGCCCAAAATTGGTTTCCCTGGACTTGCTAACACTGGTACCAGCATACACTACCATTGGGCCCAAGGATAAGCATTCGGGGCCAGCCACTGCTGCCACTGGGGCCTGAGGACTGGCCCAGCTGGTGTCCCTATCCCCAGCCAGACTTTACCACAGCCTCCACCAACAACTGCATCCTAAACTACAGAGGAACTCCCAGACACTACTGGTGCTGTTTACAGCTGAAAAAAATTCCATGGAGATCACACTACTGCAGGCACCCAGAATCAAAACCAAAGTGCCCTGCCCAAAGAACACCATAGATATATCTTCAGGAACAAGACTCTCTTAGGAAAGACAGATCAAAAAATTGGAAGAAACTACTGTTACACCAGATGTGCAGATACCAGTGTAAGCACACAAGAAACATGAAAAGGCAAAACATGACAACTCCTAAGGAATGCAATAATTCTCCAACAGATTCCAGTGAAAAAGAAATTGATGAAACCTTGAAAAATTCAATATAATATTAAAGAAGATCTGATAGACTATACAAAGAAATCAGAAAAAACAATTCGGGGTATGAATGAGAAATTTGCCCAAGAGATAGATATAAAAAGAACCAAACAGATATTCTGGAATTGAATAATAGATTGAATGAAATAAAAAACATATTTGAAAGCTTCAATAACAGACCACAACAAGCAGAAGAAAGAATTTCACACCTTGAAGATAAGTCTTTTGAAATGACTCAGACAAAAATATAGAAAAAATAGAAAAGAATGAACAAAGGCTATGTGACTATAGGATGCCATAAGGTGACACCTTCAGTGTCCCAGAAGGTGAAGAGCAAACCAAAAGATTATAAAACCTATTTAATGAAATAATACCTGAACACTTCCCAATCTCCCAAGAGATTTAGATCCAAATATAGGAATCTCAGAACCCTAAATAGATACAATTCAGAAAGGTCTTTTCCACAGCACATTATAGCAAATTGCCCATCCCAAGACAAAGAGAGAATCATAAAACCAGCGATAAAAGAGGTTGTAGACACTTACAAGGGAACAACCTGCAGACTAACAGATTTTTCAGCAGAAACTTTACAGGCCAGGAGGATGGGATTATATACGCAGAGTGCTGAAAGAAAAAACAAAACCAAAAACCTGCCAGCCAGGAATACTGTACTTAGCAAAGTTATATTCGTCAGAAATGAAGGAGAAATAAAGTATTTCCCTTAAAAGTAAAAGCTCAGGGAATTAATTGCCACTACACTGGCACTACAAAAAATGCTTAAGGGAGTCTTACAGGAAGAAGTGAAAGGACAACTTCATGAAAGCACACAAAATAATCAGAAATCAATTAATGACAGGAATAAGCCCTCACATATCAACAATAACCTTGCATATAAATAGATTAAACTTTCTACTTAAAAGACAGACTGGCTGAATGGACTTAAAAACATGACCCATCTAAATGCTATCTACAAGAAACGCATCTCACCTGTAAAGACACATAGTTGAAAGAAAGGAATGGGAAAAGATATTACATGCAAAAGGAAACAAAAACCAAACAGGAGTAGCTATACTTTCATCAGATAAAACAAAGGTTAAGCTAAAAACACTAAAAAGAGACGAAGTCATTATATAGTGACAGAGGGATCAATTGACCAAGAGGATATAACAATTCTAAACATATATGCACCCAACACCAAAGCACCCAGATATATAAGGCAAACATCAAATCTGAAGGGAAAGGTAGACTTCAACACAATAATCTTGGGAACTTCAATTCTCCATTTCCAGTATTAGACAGATCATCTAGACAAAAAATTAACAAAGAAACATTGGATTTAAACTGCACTTTATACCAAATGGACCTAACAGACATTTACAGACCAGTTCATAAAACAGCTGCAGAATATACACTCTTCTCATCAGTACATGGAACACTCTCCAGGATACATTATATGTTAGGACACTAAGTATGATTTTAAATATATATATATTTTAAATTGGATTCATATCACATATCTTCTCAGACCACAATAGCATAAAACTATAAATAAATAAGAGGAGCATTCAAAACTGTATAAATAAATGGAAATTAACATGTTCCTGAATGACCAATGGGTCAAAGAAGAAATTAAGGCAGAAATAAAAAATTTACTGAAACAAGTGAAAATAGAAGCACAACATTCTGAAACTTAAGGGATACTGCAAAAGCAATGCTAAGAGGAAAGTTTATTGTAATAAATGCCTCCATTAAAAAAGGTAGAAAAGATCTTAAATAATCTAATGATACACCTGAAGGAACCAGAAAAGCAAGAACAAACCATACTAAACATAAAATTAGTAGAAGGAAAGAAATAACGAAGATCAGAGCAGAACTAAACAAGAAACTAAATAAATATAAAGGATCAATGAAATGCAAAATCGGTTTTTGAAAAGAAACAAAATAACCAGTGGCTAAACTATCCAAGAAGAAAAGAGAGAAGACCTACATGAATAAAATCAAAAATGAAAAAGGGGATATTACAACTCATACCATGAAATACAAAAATCAAAACTCTTCAGTCTGATCAATAAATTGATTACAGTTACAGGATTTAAAAATCAGGCTTATTTCTATATACCAATAAAGAACCAGCTGAGAAAGAAATCAAGAAGGCATTATCTTTTACAACCACTACAAAAAATCTAGGAATGAGTTTAACCAAAGAGGTGAGAAACCTCTAACAAGGAAAACTACAAAAGTCTGATGAAAGAAATTGAAAAGAACACACAAAAAACATCCCATTCTCATGGATTGGGAGAATTAACAAAATTAAAATGACCATACTACCCAAAGCAATCTACAGATTCAATGCAGTCTCTCTCAAAATACCAATGCCATTTTTCATGGAAATAGAAAAAATCCTAAAATTCAGATGGAACCAAAAAAGAGCTGGAATAGCCACAGCAATTCTGAGCAAAAATAACAAAGTTGGATGCATCACACTGCCTGATTTAAAAATATAAGGCTATAGCATTAAAAGCAGCATGGTATTGGAATAAAAACTGATAGACCAATGGAACAGAGTAGAACCTGGAAGTAAATCCATGTATTTACAGCCAACTGATTTTTGACAAAGATGCCAAGAACATACACTGGGAAAAGAGCACCCTCTTCACTTAATGGAGCTGGGAAAATAAGATATCCATGTGAAAAATGAAACCGTTTCTATCTCTTGCTATACTAAAATCAACTCAAGATGGGTTAAAGACTTAAACATGAGGCATGAAACTATAACATCACTATTAATGAAGGAGACATTGGGGAAACACTTTAGGACATTGGTCTAGGGAAAGATTTTATGGATAAGACCTCAAAAACACAGACAAAAACAAAAATAGACAAATGGGACTATATTAAATGATAAAGCTTGTACACAACAAGGGAAACAATCACCAGAGTGAAGAGACAGCCTGTTGAATGGGAGAAAATATTTGCAAACTACTCATCTGACAAGGTACTAATACCAGAATATACTAGGAACTCCAATAACTCAATAGTAAACAACAAATTAATTCCAATAAAAAGTGAGCAAAAGACATGGATAGATATTTCTCAAAAGAAAACATACAAGTAGCCAACAGGTATATTTAAAAAAAAAAGCCCAACATCAGTAATTATAAGGGAAATGCAAGCCAAAACCATAGTGAGAATGGCTATTTTAAAAAGACAAAAATTAACCAATGCTGGAGAGGATGTGGAGGGAACTCTTATACACTGTTGGTGGGAATGTAAATTAATACTATAGAAAACAGTTTGATTTCTGAAAAACCTAAAAAGAGAAATATGACATAATCCAGCAATCTCACTACTGGATATTTATCTAAAGGAAAAGATATCAGTATACTAAAAATGTACCTGCATCCCCGTGTTTATTGCAGCACTATTCACAACAGCAAAGATATGGACTCAGGAACCTAAGTGTACATCAGTGGATAAATGGAAAAAGAAAATGAGGTAAATATATACAATGGAATACTAATTGACCAAAGAAGAATGAAATCATGTCCTTTGCAGCAACATGAATGGAGCTGGAGGTCATTATTTTAAGCCAGGCACAGAAAGATAATTATCTTATGTTATTATCATATGTGGGAGCTATAAAAGTTGATCTCATGGAGGTAGAGAGTAGAAGGATAGATACCAAAGGCTGTGAAAGGTATGTCTGGAGGGTGAAGAGAGGTTGGTTAGTGGGTAAAAATACACAGCTAGTTAGAATAAATAATTTATAATGTTTGATAAGAGTTGGTTGACTATATTTAACAATATAATGTATATTTCAAAATAAAAAAGAGGACTTGAAATGTTCCTAACTATAGAGATGATAAATTGAGGGTGATGGATACCCTGACTTGATCATTACACATTCGATGCATGTAACAATAGCACATGTACCCCATAAGTATTATGTATCGGTCAAAAAAAAAAAAAAAAGGAAATCCCAGTGCTTTGGGGGGCCAAGGCAGAAGGATCGCTTGAGCCCAGGAATTCAAGACCAGCCTGGGCAACAATGCACGACCCTGTCTCTACAAAAAATTAAGAAGTTATCCAGGCATGGTGGTGCATGCCTGTAGTCCCAGCTACTTGAGGGGTCAAGGATGGAGAATGACTTGAGCCTGGGAGTTAAAGATTGCAGTAAGTGGGGTGGTTCCAAGATGGCCGAATAGGAGGAGCTCCAGTCTATAGCTCCCAGCGTGAGTGACGCAGAAGATGGGTGATTTCTGCATTTCCAACTGAGGTAGTGGGTTCATCTCACTGGGGCTCGTCAAGACAGTGGGTACAGGACAGTGGGTGCAGCCCACTGAGTGTGAGACGAAGTAGGGCGAGGCATCGCCTCACCTGGGAAGCACAAGGGGTCAGGGAATTCCCTTTCCTAGCCAACGGAAGGGGTGACAGACGGCACCTGGAAAACTGGATCACTCCCACCCTAATACTGTGCTTTTCCAATGGTCTTAGCAAACGGCACACCAGGAGATTATATCCCGCGCCTGGCTCGGAGGGTCCCACGCCCATGGAGCCTCGCTCATTGCTAGCACAGCAGTCTGAGATCGAACTGCAAGGCGGCAGCGAGGCTGGGGGAGCCTGCCATTGCTGAGGCTTGAGTAGGTAAACAAAGTGGCCAGGAAGCTCGAACTGGGTGGAGTCCACCACAGCTCAAGGAGGCCTGCCTGCCTCTGTAGACTCCACCTCTGGGGACAGAGCATAGCCGAACAAAAGGCAGCAGAAACCTCTGCAGACTTAAATGTCCCTGTCTCACAGCTTTGAAAAGAGTAGTGGTTCTCCCAGCACGGAGTTTGAGATCTAAGAATGGATAGACTGCCTCCTCAAGTGGGTCCCTGACCCCCGAGTAGCCTAACTGGGAGGCACTCCCCAGTAGGGGCAGACTGACACCTCACACGGCTGGGTACTCCTCTGAGACGAAGCTTCCAGAGGAACAATCAGGCAGCAACATTTGGTGTTCAGCAGTATTCGCTGTTCTGCAGCCTCTGCTGCTGATACCCAGGCAAACAGGGTCTGGAGTGGACCTCCAGCAAACTCCAACAGACCTGCAGCTGAGGGTCCTGACTGTTAGAAGGAAAACTAACAAACAGAAAGGACATCCACACCAAAACTCCATCTATACGTCACCATCATCAAAGACCAAAGGTAGATAAAACCACAAAGATGGGGAAAAAACAGCAGAAAAGCAGAAAATTCTAAAACTCAGAGCACCTCTCCCCATCCAAAGGAACGCAGCCACTCGCCAGCAATGGAACAAAGCTGGACGGAGAATGACTTTGACAAGTTGAGAGAGGAAGGCTTCAGACAATCAAACTTCTCCGAGCTAAAGGAGGAAGTTCGAACCCAAAGCAAAGAAGCTAAAAACCTTGAAAAAAGATTAGACGAATGGCTAACTAGAATAACCAGTGTAGAGAAGTCCTTAAATGACATGATGGAGCAGAAAACCATGGCACAAGAACTACGTGACAAATGCACAAGCTTCAGTAGCCGATTTGATCAACTGGAAGAAAGGATATCGGTGATTGAAGATCAAATGAATGAAATGAAGTGAGAAGAGAAGTTCAGAGAAAAAAGAGTAAAAACAAACGAACAAAGCCTCCAAGAAATATGGGACTATGTGAAAAGACCAAATCTACATCTGACTGGTGTACATGAAAATGACAGGGAGAATGGAACCAAGTTGGAAAACACTCTTCAGGATATTATCCAGGAGAACTTCCCCAACCTAGCAAGGCAGGATATTATCCAGGAGAACTTCCCCAACCTAGCAAGGCAGGCCAACATTCAAATTCAGGAAATACAGAGAATGCCACAAAGATACTCCTCAAGAAGAGCAACTCCAAGACACATAATTGTCAGATTCACCAAAGTTGAAATGAAGGAAAAAATGTTAAGGGCAGCCAGAGAGAAAGGTTGGGTTACCCACAAAGGGAAACCCATCAGACTAACGGCGGATCTCTCAGCAGAAACTCTACAAGCCAGAAGAGAGTGGGGGCCAATATTCAACATTCTTAAAGAAAAGAATTTTCAACCCAGAATTTCATATCCAGCCAAACTAAGCTTCATAAGTGAAGGAGAAATAAAATCCTTTATAGACAAGCAAATGCTGAGAGATGTTATAACCACCAGGCCTGCCCTACAAGAGCTCCTGAAGGAAGCACTAAACATGGAAAGGAACAATTGGTACCAGCCACTGCAAAAACATGACAAATTGTAAAGACCATAGATGCTAGGAAGAAACTGCATCAACTAACGAGCAAAATAACCAGCTAACATCATAATGGATCAAATTCACACATAACAATATTAACCTTAAATGTAAATAGGCTAAAGGCTCCAATTAAAAGACACAGACTGGCAAATTGGATAAAGAGTCAAGACCCATCAGTGTGCTGTATTCAGGAGACCCATCTCACGTGCAGAGACACACATAGGCTCAAAATAAAGGGATGGAGGAAGATCTACCAAGCAAATGGAAAATAAAAAAAGGCAGGGGTTGCAATCCTAGTCTCTGATAAAACAGACTTTAAACCAATAAAGATCAAAAGAGACAAGGTCATTACATAATGGTAAAGGGATCAATTCAACAAGAAGAGCTAACTATCTTAAATATATATGCACCCAATACAGGAGCACCCAGATTCATAAAGCAAGTCCTTAGAGATCTACAAAGAGACAGACTCCCACACAATAATAATGGGAGACTTTAACACCCCACTGTTAACATTAGACAAATCAACAAGACCGGAAGTTAACAAGGATATCCAGGAATTGAACTCAGCTCTGCACCAAGTGGACCTAATAGACATCTACAGAACATTCCAACCCAAATCAACAGAATATACATTCTTCTCAGCATCACATCGCACTTATTCCAAAATTGACCACATAATTGGAAGTAAAGCACTCCTCAGCAAATGTAAAAGAACAGAAACTATAACAAACTGTCTCTCAGACCACAGTGCAATCAAACTAGAACTCAGGATTAAGAAACTCACTCAAAACCGCTCAACGACATGGAAACTGAACCACCTGCTCCTGAATGACTACTGGGTACATAACGAAATGAAGGCAGAGAAATAAAGATGTTCTTTGAAACCAATGAGAACAAAGACACAACATACCAGAATCTCTGGGACACATTTAAAGCAGTGTGTAGAGGGAAATTTATAGCACTAAATGCCCACAAGAGAAAGCAGGAAAAATCTAAAATTGATGCCCTAACATCACAATTAAAAGAACTAGAGAAGCAAGAGCAAACACATTCAAAAGCTAGCAGAAGGCAAGAAATAACTAAGATCAGAGAAGAATTGAAGGAGATAGAGACACAAAAAACCCTTCAAAAAATCAATGAATCCAGGAGGTGGTTTTTTTGAAAAGATCAACAAAATTGATAGGCCTCTAGCAAGACTAATAAAGAAGAGAGAAGAATCAAATAGATGCAATAAAAAATGATAAAGGGGATATCACCACCGATCCCACAGAAATACAAACTACCATCAGAGAATACTATAAACACCTCTATGCAAATAAACTAGAAAATCTAGAAGAAATGGATAAATTCCTGGAGACATACACCCTTCCAAGACTAAACCAGGAAGAAGTTGAATCCCTGAAAAGACCAATAACAGGCTCTGAAATTTAGGCAATAATTAATAGTCTACCAACCAAAAAAAGTCCAGGACCAGACGGATTCACAGCCGAATTCTACCAGAGGTACAAGGAGGAGCTGGTACTATGCCTTCTGAAACTATTCCAAACAATAGAAAAAGAGGGAATCCTCCCTAACTCATTTTATGAGGCCAGCATCATCCTGATACCAAAGCCTGGCAGAGACACAACAAAAAAAGAGAATTTTAGACCAATATCCCTGATGAACATTGATGCAAAAATCCTCAATAAAATACTGGCAAACCGAATCCAGCAGCACATCAAAAAGCTTATCCACCATGATCAAGTGGGCTTCATCCCTGGGATGCAAGGCTGGTTCAACATATGCAAATCAATAAACATTATCCAGCATATAAACAGAACCAAAGACAAAAACCACATGATTATCTCAATAGATGCAGAAAAGGCCTTTGACAAAATTCAACAGCCCTTCATGCTAAAAACTCTCAATAAATTAGGTATTGATGGGATGTATCTCAAAATAATAAGAGCTATTTATGACAAACCCACAGCCAATATCATACTGAATGAGCAAAAACTGGAAGCATTCCCTTTGAAAACTGGCACAAGACAGGGATGCCCTCTCTCACCACTCCTATTCAACATAGTGTTGGAAGTTCTGGCCAAGGCAATCAGGCGGGAGAAAGAAAGAAAGGATATTCAATTAGGAAAAGAGGAAGTCAAATTGTCCCTGTTTGCAGATGACATGATTGTATATTTAGAAAACCCCATCATCTCAGCCCAAAATCTCCTTAAGCTGATAAGCAACTTCAACAAAGTCTCAGGATACAAAATCAATGTGCAAAACATCACAAGCATTCTTATACACCAATAACAGACAAACAGAGAGCCAAATCATGAGTGAACTCCCATTCACAATTGCTTCAAAGAGAATAAAATACCTAGGAATCCAACTTACAAGGGATGTGAAGGACCTCTTCAAGGAGAAGTACAAACCACTGCTGAACAAAATAAAAGAGGATACAAACAAATGGAAGAACATTCCATGCTCATGGATAGGGAGAATCAGTATCATGAAAATGGCCATACTGCCCAAGGTAATTTATAAATTCAATGCCATCCCCATCAAGCTACCAATGACTTTCTTCACAGAATTGGAAAAAAACTACTTTAAAGTTCATATGGAACCAAAAAAGAGCCCGCATTGCCAAGACAATCCTAAGCCAAAAGAACAAAGCTGGAGGCATCACGCTACCTGACTTCAAACTATACTACAAGGCTACAGTCACCAAAACAGCATGGTACTGGTACCAAAACAGAGATATAGACCAATGGAACAGAACAGAGCCCTCAGAAATAATACCACACATCTACAATCATCTGATCTTTGACAAAGCTGACAGAAACAAGAAATGGGGAAAGGATTCCCTATTTAATAAATGGTGCTGGGAAAACTGGCTAGCCATATGTAGAAAGCTGAAACTGGATCCCTTCCTTACACCTTATACAAAAATTAATTCAAGATGGATTAAAGACTTACATGTTAGACCTAAAACCGTAAAAACCCTAGAAGAAAACCTAGGCAATACCATTCAGGACATAGGCATGGGCAAGGACTTCATGTCTAAAACACCAAAAGCAATGGCAACAAAAGCCAAAATTGACAAATGGGATCTAATTAAACTAAAGAGCTTCTGCACAGCAAAAGAAACTACCGTCAGAGTGAATAGGCAACCTACAGAATGGGAGAAATTTTTTGCAATCTACTCATCTGATAAAAGGCTAATATCCAGAATCTACAAAGAACTCAAACAAATTTACAAGAAAAAACAAACAACCCTATCAAAAAGTGGGCAAAGGTTATGAACAGACACTTCTCAAAAGAAGACATTTATGCAGCCAAAAGACACATGAAAAAATGCTCATCATCACTGGCCATCAGAGAAAGGCAAATCAAAAAACCACAATGAGATACCATCTCACACCAGTTAGAATGGCAATCATTAAAAATTCAGGAAACAACAGGTGCTGGAGAAGATGTGGAGAAATAGGAACGCTTTTACACTGTTGGTGGGACTGTAAACTAGTTCAACCATTGTAGAAGACAGTGTGGTGATTCCTCAAGGATCTAGAACTAGAAATACCATTTGATCCAGCCATCCCCTTACTGGGTATATACCCAAAGGACTATAAGTCATGCTGCTATAAAGACACATGCACACGTATGTTTATTGCAGCACTATTCACGATAGCAAAGACTTGGAACCAACCCAAATGTCCATCAATGATAGACTGGATTAAGAAAATGTGGCACATACACACCATGGAATACTATGCAGCCATAAAAAAAGGATGAGTTCACGTCCTTTGTAGGGACATGGATGAAGCTGGAAACCATCATTCTCAGCAAACTATAGCAAGAATGAAAAACCAAACACCGCATGTTCTCACTCGTAGGTGGGAACTGAACAATGAGAACACTTGGACGTAGGAAGGGGAACATCACCCACCAGGGCCTGTTGTGGGGTGGGGGGGGAGGGGGGAGGGGGGAGGGAAAGCATTAGGAGATATACCTAAGGTAAATGACAAGGTAATCAGTGCAGCACACCAACATGGCACATGTATACATATGTAACAAACCTGCACGTTGTGCACATGTACCCTAGAACTTAAAGTATAATAAAAAAAAGGGAGAGAGAGAGAAAAGAGAAATCTAAAAAAAAAAAAATACCAAAGACAATCTTCACCGAAATAGCAAAAACACAATCCTTAAACTTGCATGGAACCACAAAAGACCACAAATAGGACAAACAATACTGAGCAGGCAGAATGAAGCTGGAGGCACTACACTGCCTGACATCAAAATACAGTCGACTCTTCAACAACATAGATTTGAACTGTATAGGTTCATTTATACGTGGATTTTCCCCATAATCTAACAAGGATAGAATGCAATATTCACAAAAGTGAAAACTATGTATACAGATGACTGACATTTTGTATATGCGCATTACACAGGGCTGACTCTGGGACTTGAATATACATGGCTTTTGGTATATACAGGGGGTCTCGGAAGCAATCCCCCTTGTATACAAAACAATGGTAACCAAATTAGCATGCAATGGGCATAAAACAGACATATAGACCAATGGAACAGAATAGAGAACCCAGAAGTAAATAAATTTATTTACAGACAACTGGTTTTTGACAAAGGTGCCAAGAACACACTCTGGGGAAAGGACACCATGTTGAACACATCATGTTGGGAAAACAGGATATCATATGCAGAAGAATGAAACTATACTATCTCTCAGCATATAAAAAAATCAACTCAAAATTGATTAGAGACTTAAACATGAGACCTGAAGCAAACAGTACTAGAAGAAAACAGAAGGGAAACCCTTCAGGATATGGGTCTAGCGAAGATTTTATGGGTAAGACTTTATAAGCACAGGCAACAAAAACAAAAATAGACAAATGGGACTGTATCAAACTAAAAACCTACACATAAAAGGAAATAATAAACTATTAAGAGATATCCTGTAGAATGGGAGAAAATATTCATCTGACAAGGGATTAATATCCGGAATATACAAGGAATTCAAACAATTCAACAGCAAAAAACACCAGATTATCTGATTTAGAAATGTGCAAAATAGAACAACTGGCCAACAGGTATGTGAAAAAATGCTCAACATCTCTCATCACAGAAATGCAAGTCAAAGCCACAGTGAGACATTATTTCACCTCAGTTAGAATGGCTGTTTTCAAAAAGACAAAACATAACAAATGCTGGCAAGGATGCAGAGAAAAGGGAAATAATACACTATTTGTGGGACTATAAATTAGTGAGTCATTATGGAAAATACTGTGGTGTTTTGTCAAAAAAACTAAAAGTAGACTATCATACAGTTTGACAATCCACTACCGGGTATTGACTCAAAGGAAAGGAAATCAGTATATAAAAAAGATATTTGCATTCTCATGTTTATTGCAGTACTGTTCACAACAGTTAAGATATGGAATCAACTTAAATCTCCATCAGCAGATGCAGAGAAAGAATGTGGTATGTATACACAATGGAATATTATTCAGTCATAATAAAGCATTAAGTCCTGTCATTCACAGCAACATGGATGAACTTGGATAATATGTTAAATGAAATTAGGCACAGAAAGATGGAGGATTTTGACTGCTCACAAAACAGAGAAATGATATTTGAGTTGATGAATATGCTAATTACCCTGATTTGATTATGACACATTATATACATGTATCACAATATCACTGTGTATATCCCATAAATATCTACAATTATTACATGTTGACTAAAAATAAAAGGACAAAGAAAAAGACTCCTAGAAGAAAAACCCACAAGGAGCATCATAATGGTGAAAAGACTAAGAGCTTTTCCTCTAAGATCAGGAATAAAGCAAGATGCGCATTTTAGCCATTATATTAAACATAGTAGTGGCTTTCTAGCCAAAGAATATGGAAAAGAAATAAAGGCATCATTTAGAAAGGAAGAATTAAAATTATGTTTGTTCATAGATATGATCATATTTGTAGAAATCCCTGAAAACTCACCACAAAAACTGAATAAATTAATTCAGCAAAGTAGCAGGATAGTAAGTCAGTACACAAAATTCAGTTGCATTTCTTTTTTTTTTTTTTTTTTTTTGAGGCAGAGTCTTGGTCTGTCGCCCAGGCTAGAGTGTAGTGGCGCGATCTCGGCTCACTGCAAGCTCTGCCTCCCGAGTTCACGCCATTCTCCTGCTTCAGCCTCCCAAGTAGCTGGGACTACAGGCACACGCTGCTATGCCTGGCTAATGTTTTTGTATTTTTAGTAGAGATGGGGTTTCACCATGTTAGCCAGGATGGTCTCGATCTCCTGACCTTGTGATCTGCCCTCCTCAGCCTCCCAAAGTGCTGGGATTACAGGCGTGAGCCACTGCGCCCAGCTTTCAGTTGCATTTCTATACATTAATCACAAACAATCTGAAAGGGATATTATTAACACAACTCTATTTACACGACAGCATCAGGACACTCAGCCTTGGCCACCAAGGACCTTTGTAATGTTTGCCACTGCTGACCTCAGCTGATGGAGCTGCAAGAAGAGTATTCCATTATATCCTCATCTGGGCTACAGCTGCTGCACCCTACCTACTTAACACTCCATCAAGTGAGCAGATTTCAATTCATTGTAACAAGAAACAGAAAAACCAAGGAAACATAGCACCCACCTGAGAAATACAATAATTTTCAGGGACTGACTCCCAAGAAATTGGGATACATTAATTGCCTTACAGAAAATTAAAAACGACTGATTTAAGGAAGTTCAGTGTGCTACCAGAGAACAGAGAGACAACCTAATGAAATCATTAATACACAAAAGGAGACATTCAATAAAGAAATAGAAATCCTAAAAAAAAAACAAACATTTTGGAGGTGAAGAATATAGTGCATGAAATGAAAAGTGAAATAGAAAGCATCAGCAGCAGACTTGATCAAATAGAAGGAGGAATTCATCAACTGGAGGATAAATTATTTGAAAATAACCAGTAGAGGAGAAAAATAAAGAATGAAAAGGTAACAAGGGAAGTTTACAGGATTTATGGGACACCATCAGGAGAGTTAATGTTCACACAGGATTTATAGAAGGAAAGTAGAGAGGTAAAGGGTAGAAAGTTAATTCAGAGAAATAATGGCTGAAAACTTCCCATATCTGGGGCTCTTCCCAGATTGATGGACATCTAGGTACATGAAGCTCAAAGAATTACAATTAGTTTCCATCTAAAAGAGGTTTCACCTAGATATATTGCCATCAAAATGTAAAAAATGGAAGACAAGATAATTTTGAAAGCGGCAAGATAAATAAAGTTCTTACATCTGCAGGAACCTCCATAAGGCTATCAGTGGATTTCTGAGCAAAAACTTTCCAGGCCAGGAAACAATAGGATTATATATTCAAAGTTCTGAAAGATAAAAAACTGCCATCTAAGAATACTTTACACAGCAAAGCTGTCCTTCAGATATGAAACAGATACAAGACTTCCTCAGGTAAACAAAAGTTGAAGGAGTTTATCAGCAACTACTCTTGCCTTACAAGATATGCCAGAGGGAGTTATTCAGGCTTAAATGGAAGGATGATAATTAGTAACATGAAAACATATGAAAGTACAAAATTCACTGATAAATAAATATACGGGCAACTTAAGAATACTCTAATAGTGTAATGGTAGTATATAAATCACATAACTCTAGTATAAAGGTTAAAAGAAAAATAATTAAAAATTACTATTGTTTTCATAATTTCTCAATGGATATGCAATATTAAAAGGTGTACCTTGGGGCATCAAAAATAAAATGTAGCGGGGGAAGTATAAGATCAAAATATTCCCCCCAAACAAAGAGGGAACAATCCCAACTTATTTTACAAGGCTAGCATTGCCCTCATACTAAGGCCAGACAAGGACAATATAAGAAAAGAAAATAACTGGCTGATATTTTTTTATGACTATACATTTAAAAATTTTCAACAAAATATGATCAAACTGAATTTAACAGCACATTAAAAAAATCATATATCACAAACATGGGATTTATCCTTAGTACATAAGGACAGTTAAGTGTACATATACAAGAAATGGGATACTTTAATAAAATCAAAGATAAAAATCATACAATCATTTTGATAAGTGCAAATAATGCAGTTCACATAATTCAACATCCTTCCATGATAAAAACTATGAACAAATTAGGTATAGAAGGAATGTACTGCAACACAATAAAGGCCATATATGAATAGCCCACAGCTAACATCATACTCAATGCTGAAAAGCTGAATGCCTCTCCTCTAAGATGAGGAACAAGAAAAAGATATTCTCACCACTTCTATTCAACACAGTACTGGAAGTCCTAGCCAGAGGAATTGGGCAAGAAAAATAAATAAATACACTCAAATCAGAAAGAAGGAAGTAAAATTGTCTCTGTTTGCAGATGACATCATATATGTAGAAAATGCTACAGACTCCACAAAAAAAACCTGTTAGAAGTAATAATCTAACTCAGTAAAGTGGCAGGATACAAAATCAGCATTCAGAAGTCATTTGCGTATCTATACACTAATAATAAACAACCTGAAAAACAAATTAAGAAAACAATTTCATTTAAAATAGCATCAAAAAGAATAGAGAGCTCCCAAATAAATCCTTTCATATATGAACGCATGATTTCTGACAAGCATGCCATGTCCATTCAATGGCAAATGGATTCTCTTTTCAACAAATGGTGCCAGGAAAACTGGATATCCTCACGTGAGAGAATGAAGTCGAGACCTTTACCTAACTCCATATACAAAAATTAACTCAAAGTGGACCACAGACCTAAATGTAAGACCTAAAACTATAAAACTCTTAGAAGAAAACATGGGGCAAAAACTGCATGACATTGGATTTGGTATTGACTTCATTTGGATATAATATGAAAGGCACAGATAAAATAAAAAATAGAGAAATTGGACTGCATAACATTTAGGCATACATTTAACCAAGGAGATAAAAGACCTAGACACTGAAAACTATGAAACATTGAACAAATTCTAAGATGATACAAATAAATGGAAAGATATCTGGTGTTCATAGATCAATAGAATAAATATTGCCGAAATAGCTATACTACTCAAAGTGATCTACAGATTCAAGGCAATGCCTATCAAATTTCCAGTGACTTTTTTTCACAGATATAGACAAAAAAAATCCTAAAATTTGAAAGAAACTACAAAAGACCTTAAAGATCTAAAGCATACTTGAGCAATAAGAACAAAGTGAAAGATATTACACATGCTTATTTTGAATTATATTTCAAAGTTATGGTACTGGTATAGAAATAAACCAATGGAACAGAATAGAAAGCATAGAAATAAACCCACACATTTATGGTCAACTAATCTTTGACAAAGACACCAAGAGTACACAATGGGGAAAGGGTACTCTCTTGAATAAATGGCACTGTGAAACCAGGATATCCACATGCAAAAAAATTAAATTGGAACCTTACCCTACACTGTAGAGAAAAGTGAATAAGATTTAAACATATGACCTGAAACCATAAAACCTATAAAACAGGGAAAAGCTCCTTGCCATTGGTTTTTGTGACAATTTTTTAGATGTGACATCAAAAGCACAAGGAATAAAACGCAAAAATAAATTAGAACTACATCAAACAAAAAAGTGTCTGCACAACAAAGGAAACAACAAAATGAAAAGGCAGCACATGTAGCGGGAGAAAATATTTCCAACCATATATCTGATAAGCTATTAATATCCAATATATATAAGGAACTCATATAACTAGCAAAAAAACTTAATAACCCAATTAATAACCTGTTAAGATGGACAAGGGACTGAATAGACATTTATTCAAAGAAGACATACAGATGGTCAACAGGTATATAAAAAGGTGCTTAACATCACTTATCATCAGGGAAATGCAAATGAAAACCACACTGAGATATCACCTCATAACTGTTAGAATCGCTATTATCAAAAAGTCAAAAGATAGCAAGTGTTGGTGAGGATGTGGAGAAAAGGTGTCCCTTATACATTTTTGTTAGGAATGTAAATTGATACAGTCATTATGGAAAACACGATAGATTTTCTTTAAAAAATTAAAATTGGAACTGCTATATGATCCAGCAGTCTCAGTTCCGGGTATATCTAAGGAAAACAAAGTCAGTATCTTGAAGAGGTATCTGCACTCCCATGTTCATTGTAGTGTTACAGTAGTCAAGAAATGAGCAACATAGTATTCATAGGCATGGTGGCTTGTACCTGTAATCCCAGTACTTGGGGGTGGCCAAGGTGAAGGATAGCTTGAACACAGGAGTTTGAGACCAGCCTAGGAAACATAGTGATACCCTATCTCTACATAAAATTTTAAAAATTAGCTGGGCATGGGGGTGCATGACTGTGGTCCCAGCTACTCAGGAGGCTGAGGCAGGAGGATCACTTGAGCCCATGAGGTTGAGGCTACAGTGAACTGTGATTGTGCCACTGTACTCCTGCCTGGATGACAGATGGAGACCCTGTCTCAAAAAGAAAGGAAGAAAATAGTGTGTGTGTGTGTATCACCAAATTCCCAAATAAACACATCACATACATATACATACAGACACACACACACACATATATACACACACACAATGAAATATTCATCCTTTAAAAAGCAGGAAATCATGCAATTTATGACAACATAGATGAACCTGGAGGATATTATGCTAAGTGAAATAGCCAGACACAGAAAGACAAATACTGCACTATCCCAGTTACATATGGAATTCTAAAAAGCTTGAACTCAGAGAAACGGAGAGTAGAAGGGTGGTTACTAGGGGTCAGGGAGTAGGGGAAATAGGAAATGTTGAAGGGTACAAACATAGAGTTATCAGATGAATAAGTTCTTGACATAACGTCCAGATTGGTGACTATAGTTAATATATTCTATACTTGGAATTTGCTAAGAGAGTATAGCTTAGGTATTCTGACCACACACACGCACACACATGGCAACTATGTAAGGTATATGTTAATTGGCTTGATTGTAGTAATCATTTCACAGTAGGTCAAATATGTTCTTAAATATATGCACTTTTAATTTGTCAATTATACCTCAATAAAAGCTGAAAAAAGCATCAAGAATAACAAACTTAGGAACCAACTTTACCAAGGAGGTGAAAGTCTTGTACAATGAAAATTACAAAACAATGCTGAAAGAAATTAAAGTAGACATAAAGGGAAAACACCTCCTATGTTCATGGATTGGAAGGCCAATATTGTTAAGGTGTCAGTACCACACAAAACAATCTACAAATCCAAGGTAATCCCAATAAAAATCCTAATGATGTTATTTGCAGAAAGAAGAAACCCCATCCTAAAATTCACATGGAATCTCAAGGGACCTTGAATAGCTAAAACATTCTTGAAAATGATGAACAACATTGGAGGACTCACACTTTCTGATTTGAAAACTTACTACAGGCCAGGTACAATGGCCTACACCTGTAATCTCAGCACTTTTGAAGGCTGAGGTGGGAGGACTTCTGAGTCCAGGAGTTTGAGACCAGCCTGGGGAACACAGGGAGACCTCATCTCTACAAAAAATAAAATAATTGGCCAGGTGTAATGGTACACACTTCTATTCCCAGCTACTCAAGAAGCCGAGGTGGGAGGATTGCTTGAGCCTGGGAGATTGAGGTGGCAGTAAGCAGTGATAATGCCACTGTACTCCAGCGTGGGCAACAGAGTAAGAATGTCTGAAAAACAAACAAAAACCCCAACTTATTACGAAGCTACAGTAATCAAAACTATGTGGTATTGACATAAAGATGTAGAGACCAATGGAATTGAATAGAGAGCCCAAAAATAAACCCTTGTATACATGATCAAATGATTCCTGAGAAGAGTGCCAAGACCATTCAATAGGGAAAGTGCTGTATTTTCAACAAATGGTGCCAGGATAACTGAAGTTGAGACCCTTACCTAATACCATACACAAAAATTAACTCAAGAGAATGAAGTTGAGATCCTTACCTAACCATGTATAAAAGAGAATGAAGTTGAGACCCTTACCTAACACTGTGTACAAAAACTTACTCAAAATGGGTCAAAGTCCTAAAACTATGAAGTCTTATAAGGAAACATAGGGGAAAAACTTTACATCATTGGCAGTGCTTCTTGTATGCGACACCAAAGGCACAGGCAATAAAAGTAAAAATAGATAAATTGTACTTGCACAGGCAATAAAAGTAAAACTAGATAAATTTTAAAAATTTACATTGTGTGCATTAAAATAATATCAACTAAGCAATAAGACAACCTACAGAATGGGAGAAAAATTTGCAAATCACATACCTGATAAGGGATTAATGTCCAGATTATACAGAGAACTTCTAAAAGTCATCACCAAAAAACAATGCACCTGAAAAATGGGCAAAAGGGCCAGGCACGGTGGCTCACGCCTGTAATCCCAGTACTTTGGGAGGCTGAGGCGGGAGGATCATGAAGTCAGGAGATTGAGACCATCCTGGCTAACAGGGTGAAACCCCGTCTCTACTAAAAATACAAAAAATTAGCCAGGCGTGGTGGTGGGCGCCTGTAGTCCCAGCTACTCGGGAGGCAGGAGAATGATGTGAACCCAGGAGGCAGAGGTTGCAGTAAGCCGAGATGGCACCACTGCACTCAGCTTGGGCAACAGAGTGAGACTCCATCTCAAAAAAAAAAAAAAAAGGGCAAAGGACTTGGACAGACGTATCTCCAAAGAAGATATACAAATGGATAATAGTACGTGAAAAGTTGTTTAACATCTCTAGTCATTAGGAAATACAAGTCAAAACCACAACCTTACATACACTCAGATGACTACTATTAAAAAAATAAACACAGCCTAGGCAACATAGTGAGACCCATCTCTAGTATCAGCTACGTGGGAGGTTAAGGTGGGAGGATAGCCTAAGCCCAGAGGTCTAGGTTGAGGCTGCAGTGTGCCATGATCATGCCACTGCATTCCAGCCTAAGTGACAGAGCCAGATCTTGTCTCAAAAAAATCCCACATAAACAGAAAATAACCACTGCTGGAAGGGACATGGAGAAATTGGAATCCTTGTGCACTGTTAGTGGGAATGCAAAATGGTACAGCCTCTGTGTTAAACAGTTTGGTGTTCCTTCAAAAATTAAAAACAGAATTATCTGATCCATCAACTCCACCTCTGTGTATACACCCAGAAGGATTAAAAGCAGTCTCAAAGATATATTTGTATACCCACGATTGTAGTGGCATTATTTACAACAGTTAAAACATCAATGCAACCCAAATGTCCATGGAAGAATGGATAAGCAAAATGTGGTATATACATACAATGTAATATTATTCAGCTTTAAAAAAAATAGAAATTTTGACACATGCCACAACATGGATGAACCTCGAGGCCATTATGTTAAATGAAATACAGCAGTCACAAGAAGAGAAGTACTGTATGTTTCCACTTATATGAGGTATGTAGAATAGTCAAATCAGAGACATAGAAAGTACAAGGTGGTTTCCAAGAGATGGCGGTGGTGGGGGGGTTGGGGAATTATTGTTTAATGGATATAGAGTTTCATAATTACAAATGACAAGTGTTATGGAGATGGATGATAGTGATGATTGCACAGCATTGTGAACGTATCTAATACATTCACTGAATTGTACACTAAAATTGGTTAGGATGGTAATTTTTATGTTAAGTGTATTTTGCCACAATAAAAGATTTGGAAATCAACAACAAATAGAAATCCCAGAAGATAACATAGGAAGAAATCTAGATGATCTTTAGTTTGGTGATGGCTTTTTAGATATGACACCAAAGGCATGATTCATGAAAGAAATAATTGATAAGCTAGACTTTGTTAAAAATAAAAGTTTCTGCTCTGTAAAACATACTGTCAAGAGGATGAAAGGACAGGCCACAGAAGGGAGACAATACTTGTAAAAGATATACCTGATAAAGGACTCATCCAAAATATATAAAGAACCTTAAAAACATAACAATTAGAAAACAAACAATCTGATTACAAAATGGACTGAAGACCTTAACAGACATCTCACCAATGAAGATATACAGATGGCAACTAAGTATATGAAAAGATGCCCCACATCTTACGTCATTAGGGAAATGGAAATTAAAACAAGAAATGTGATATATCTACACGCTTATTAGAATGGCCAAAATTCAAAACACTGACAATACCAAATACTTGCCAATATGTGGGGCAACAGGAACACTCATCCATTGCTGGTGGGAATGCAAAATGGTACAGCCACTTTGACATATACCATTAATGGGAATGTAAAGTGGTGCAGCCCTGGTGGAGAAGAGTTTGGTGGTTCTTCAAAGAATTAAAAATGGAATTATCATAGGATCCATCAATTCCACTTCTGAATGTGTATACATATCCCCCGAAGAATCCAGAGTATATCGAAATCAGTGGTTTCTTATAAAATTAAACATATTCTTACCATGCAGTTCAGCAATCACATCCTTGGTATTTACTCAAAGGAGGTGAAGACTTATATTCACATAAAAATCTGCACAGAGATGTTTACAGAAGCTTTATTTGTGATTGTTGAAATTGGAAGCAACCGAGATGTCCTTCCATAGGTGAGTAGACAGATAAACTGTAGTACATCCAGGCAATGAAATATTATTCATCACTAAATAGAAATGAGCTATCAAGCCATGAAAAGATATGGAGGTAATTAAAAAACATATTACTATGTGAAATAAGGCAATCTGAAGAAACTACATACTGTATGATTCCAATCATATTGCATTTTAGAAAAGGCAATGCTATGGAGGCAGTAAAAAGTTCAGTGGTTGCCAAGGGTTGTTGGGGAAGAAGGGTTGAATAGGCAGTGCACAGAGTACTTTTAGGGCAGTGAAAATGTACAAATATATGTAAATATACGTATCTGTATGATACTATAATGGTAGATACATGCATATTAGTCCGTTCTCACAGTGCTATAAAGAACTACCTGAGACTGGGTAATTTGTGAGAAAAGAGGTTTAATTGACTCACAGTTTTGTAGGCTGTACAGTAAGCATGGCTGGCAGGCCTCAGAAACTTAAAATCATGGCGGAAGGCAAAGGAGAAGCAGGCACATCTTTACCATGGCAGAACAGGAGAGGGAAAGAAAGTGAGATGGGAAGTGCCACACACGTTTAAACAACCAGATCTCATGAGAACTCACTATCATGAGAACAGCAAGGGGGAAGTTTGCCCCCCACCAGGCCCCTCCCCTGACACATGGGGATTACAGTTCAAGATGAGATTTGGGTGGGAACACAGAGCCAAACCATATCAACATGTTACACATTTGTAGAAACCCACAGAATGTACACCCCAACAGTGAGCCCTAATGTTAACTAGGGACTTTGATAATAATGTGTAAATGCAGATTCATAAGTTGTAACAAACGTGCCACTCTGGTGGGAGAGTTGGTAATGGGAAAAGCTCTGTATGTATGGGTGCAGTGGGTATACGGGAAATCTCTGTACTTACCTCTCAATTTTGCTGGAACCCTAAAACTGCTCTAAAAATATAAAGTCTTTAAAATACACATACACACATACAGACAATCGAATAGAGAATCATAATGGTACACTATCAGAAAATCATCAAACACAAAAAAAGGCAGTAAGGGAGGAAATGTTGTATTTAAAAAATGTAAGGCAAAAGAAAAGGCACAAAATGTCAGAACTTCTTTTTTATAAGTAAGTACTTTAAATGTAAGTCGATTAAATTCTCCAAAAAGCAGAGGTTGGCAGAATGGATTTAAAAGAAAACCATCAACCTATGCTGTATATAACAAACTCACTTTTGGTCTAAAGACACAAGTAGATTGAAAGTGAAAGAATGAAAAATGATATTTCATACAAATAGTAACCTAAAGAAAGCTGGAGGTAATTATACTAATAAAAGAAATAAACTTGAATTTAAAAATTGTTATAGGAGACAAAGGAGGACATTACATACTGAGAAAATGGAAAATTACTCAAGACTTCGCAATTGGAAACGTATACACACCAAAATATAGAGCCCCAGAATATAAGAAAATATACTGACAGAATTGGAGTGAGAAAGACAGTTCTACAATAATACTTAGGGACTTCAATAACGTACTTTCAGTAATGGGTAGAGTCAAAGAAGAAATGAAAACAGAAACTTAAAAATATCTTCAGACAAATGACAGTGGGAACACAACATACCAAAAGCAAAACATGCAGCAAAAGCAGTTCTAAGAGGGAAGTTTACAGCAATAAATGCCTTGCCTACATTAAAAAAGAAGAGATATTTCAAATAGCCCAAAATTGTACCTCAAGGAATTAGAAAAAGAAGAACAAACTAAAGCCAAAGTTAACAGAAGGAAATAATAAAGATCAGAACAGAGACAAGTTAGAAAGAAAAACCATAGGGGAAAAAAGTCAGTAAAACTAAGACTTCAATTTTTGAAACAAAGAATTGATTTTTGAAAAATAAAATCAACAAACTCTTGGACTAAGAAAGAGGACAAAATCAGAAATGAAAATGGAGAATATATTACAACAGGTACTTCAGAAATAAAAAGGATCATAAGGGACTTTTATGAACAATTATATCCCAACAAATTGGATAACCTAGAGGAAATGGACAAATTCCTAGAAAAAAACCAACCTGCTAAGATTAAATCAGGAATAGAAAGCCTGAACAGACCAATAGCAAAGAGATCACAGTGGTAAACTAAAGAGCTTCTGCATAGCAAAAGAAATTATCAACAGAGTAAACAGACAACATATAGAATGGGAGAAAAAATATTTGCAAACTATTCATCTGGCAAAGGTCCTATGTCCAGAATCCATAAGGAACTTAAACCAATCAACAAGCAAAAAACGAATAATCCAATTGAATTGGCAAAGGACAGGAACATACATTTCTTAAAAGAAAATACAGAAGTAGCCAAACAAAAAAACATTCTCATGATCACTAATAATCAGAAATGCAAATAATGAGGCCAGGCACGGTGGCTCATGCCTGTAGTCCTAGCACTTTGGGAGGCTGAGGTGCGTGGATCATCTGGGGTCAGGTATTCGAGACCATCCTGGCCAACATGGTGAAACCCCGTCTCTACTAAAAACACAAAAATTAGCCAGGTATGGTGGCGGTCACCTGTAATCCCAGCTACTCAGGAGTCTGAGACAGGAGAATTGCTTGAACCCAGGAGGTGGAGGTTGCAGTGAGCCGAGATTGCGCCACTGCACTCCAGCCTGGGAGACAGAGCAAGACTCTTTCTCAAAAAACAAACAAACAAACAAAAAAGCAAAAAACAGACAAAAAAAAACAAAACAAAACAACAACAACAAAAAAACACCAAACCATAATGGGATGCCATCTCACACCAGTCAGAATGGCAATTATTAAAAAGTCAAAAAAATAAAAGTTGCTGGGAAGGCTGCAGAGAAAAGGGAACGCTTATACACTGTTGGCAGGAATACAAATTAGTTCAGCCACTGTGCTAAGCAGTTTGGAGTTTTCTCAAATAACTGAAAACAGAACTACCATCTGACCCAGCAATCCCATTACTGGATATATATTCAAAGGAAAATAAATTGTTCTATCAAAAAGACACATGCATTTGTATGTTCATCACAGCACTATTCACAACAGCAAAGACATGGAATCCACTTAGATGCCCATCAGTGGTGGATTGGATAAAGAAAATGTGGTACATGTACACCATGGAATACTATGCAGCCATAAAAATGAATGAATTCGGCCAGGTGCGGTAGCTCTCACCTGTAATCCCAGCACTTTGGGAGGCCAAGGCGGGTGGATCACCTGAGGTCAGGAGTTCGAGACCAGCCTGACCAACATGGAAAAACCCTGTCTCTACTAAAACTACAAAATTAGCTGGACGTGGTGGCGCATGCCTCTAATCCCAGCTACTCAGGAGGCTGAGGCAGGAGAATCACTTGAACCCGGTAGGCGGAGGCTGCAGTGAGCCGAGATCATGCCATTGCCCTCCAGCCTGGGCAACAAGAGCGAAACTCCGTCTAAAAAAAAAATAAAAAAAAAAAATATATATATATACATGAATGAACTTACGTCCTTTGCAGCAACATGGATGCAGCTAGAGGCCACTATCTTAAGCAAATTAATGCAGGAACAGAAAACCAAATACTGCATGTTACCACTTGCAAGTGGGACCTAAACACTGAGTAAACATGGACATAAAGATGATCAGTAGACACTGGGGACTACTTGGGGGAGGAATGGAGAGGTGGGCTGAAAACCTACCTATTGGGTACTATGCTCACTACCTGGGTGATAGGCTTATCCACACTCCAAACCTCATCATCATGCAGTATACTCCATATACCATGCAACATATAGACCTGTACATATACCCTCTAAATCAAAAATAAAAGTTAAAAAAACCCCAAAACCTCAAACAAAGAAAAGCCCAGGACCAGATAGCTTCATGACTGAATACTACCCAATATTCAAAGAATACCAATACTTCTTAAACTCTTCCAAAAAAATGCAGCTATAGGGAATACTTCCAAAAAAAAAAAAATGCAGCTAAAGGGAATACTTCCTAACACATTTTATGAGGCCAGCATCACCTTGATACCCAGGTGAGCCAAAGGCATCACAAGAAAAGGAAACTACAGGCCAACATAACCCAAGAATACCGATGCAAAAATCCTTAATAAAATATTGGCAGACTAAATTTAACAATACATCAAAAAGATTATATATCATGTCTATGTGGAATTAATTTCTGGCATGCAAATCTTATTTAATATACATGTAGCAATCAATGTGATACTAACAGACTGAAAGATGAAAACCACATGATCATCTCAATTGACACACAAAAAGTATTTGATGAAGTTGAACATCCTTTGTTGATAAATTCTAACAGTTCAGGTATAGAAGGAACACTCCTCAATATAACGAATGCCATTTATGAAAAGCCCACAGCTAACGTTATAATCAATGAGGGAAAACAGAAGCCCTTCTACTATGAACCAGTACAAGGCAAGGATGCCCACTCTAGCTACTACTACTCAACATAGTACTGGAAGTACTAGTACAACCAAACAGACAAGAAAAAGAAATGAAAGACATTCAAATCAGGAAGTAAGAAGTAATATTATCTTTATATGAAGATGACATGATCCTACATATAGAAAACCCCGAAGACTCTGACAAAGCAACCTGTTAGAACTAATAAATGAGTTCAGTAAAGTTGTAGGATATAAAATCAATATAAAACAGTAGTTGCATTTCTATACACAAATAATGACCTGGCCAAAAAAGAAATCAAGAAAACAATCCCATTTATGATAGCATCAAAAAAATTGCTTAGGAATAAATTTAGCCAAAAAGATGAAAGACCTGTACACTGAAAACTATGAATCATTGATGAAAGAAATTAAACAAGATACAAATAAATGGAAAGATATCCCATGCTCATGAATCTGAATAATATTGTTAAAATGTCAATAATATCCAAATCAATATACAGATTGAATAAAATCCCTATCAAAATCCCATGGAAAATTTTTTTAAATTCTAAAGTTCATTTGGAATAGCAAGAACCTTAAGTAGCCAACGAAATTCTGAAAATTCTGTTCTGAAAAACAAAGGGAGACTTCATACTTTCTGGTTTATTTTACAAAACTATTGATCAAACAGTATGGTCCTGGCATAAAAAACAAACATGTAGACCAGTGGAACAGAATAGAGAGCCCAGAAAGAAATTCAAAGATATATGATCAACCAATTTTCCACAAGAACACGAAGAAAACAATGCAGAAAGATAGTCTCTCTCATAAATGACGTTAGGAAACCCAGTTCTGTGGCTTGTCCAACCCATGGCCCACAGACCACATGTAAGCCCAGGATGGCTTTAATGAGGCCCAACACAAATTTGTAAACTTTGTTAAAACATTGAATTTTTTTGCATTTTTTTAGCCCATCAGCTGTTGTTATTGTTAGTGTATTTTATGTGTGGCCTAAGACAATTGTTCTTACAGTGTGGCCCCGGGAAGCCAAAAGATTTGATATCGCTGCCTTACACCATACATAGAAATAAACTCAAAATGGATAAAAGACCTAAACATAAGACCAAAACCCACAACCAGAAGAAAACATAGGGGAAAAGCTCGACATGGCTCTGGCAGTGATTTTTTGGAGATCACACCAAAAGCTCAGGCTACAAAAACAAATAATTGGTATACCATCAAACTAAAAAACTTCTGCACAGGAACGGAAACAGTCAACAAAAGGAAAAGGCAACCTATGGACTAGAAGAAAATATTTGCCAACCATATATCTTATAAGAGGATAATATCCAAAATTTATAAGGAATGCATACAACTCAATAACAAGAAAATAGATAACCCAATTAAAAAATGGGCAGTGGAACTGAGTAGACATTTTTGCAAAGAAGTTATAAAAATGGCAAACACATATATGAAAAGACATTTAACATCACTAATCGTCAGGGAAATGCAAATCAAAATTACTATGCGATATCACCTCACACTCATGAGAATAGCTATTAAGTGTTGGCTAGGGTTAGGGAACTCTTGTACAGTGTTGGTGGGACTGTAGATTGGTGCAGTCATAATGAAAAACAGAATGGTGGCTCCTAAAGAAATTGAAAATATACTATCATCTGACCCACTAATCCCTCTTCTAGGTATATTCCCAAAGAAAATGAAATCTCCACCTCATAAAGATATCTGCGCTCCTATATTCATTGTGGCATTATATGCATGAGTCACGATATGAAAACTTACGTGTCCATTGATGGATGACTAAACTGTGGTGTGTATGTCTACAATGGAATATTATTCCGCATTAAAAAAGGAGATCCTGCCACTTGCCACATGGATGAAACTGGAAGACATTGTGCTAAGTTAAATAAGCCATATACAAATGAAAAGTTTTAAATAATCTCACCTATATGTAGAATCTTAAAAAGAAAAAAGTCAAATATACAGAGATAGAATAAACTAGTGGTTACCATGGGCAAGGTGTGGGGGAAGAAAATGGAAAGATGTAGGTCAAAGGATACCAAGTAGCAGATATATAGGATGAACAAGTCTAGAGATCTCATGTAGAACATGAGAATAGTTAGTATATTGCATTTGGAATTTTTGCCAATTGAGTAGATCATAGCTTTTCTCACTCATACACACAAAAGAATAACTGTGAGATGATGGACATATTAATTTGCATCACTATGTTAACGATTTAACTGTATGTTTTATACACTAAATATGCATATTTTTAAAATTAAAAAAAAAAAACACAACAAGATAATGTACAGCCAGACAGAAGCCCAATAAGAAAAGAGAGGACTTGAACAATACCATAAACCAACTAGACCTACAAACATATATGGACACTCCACCCAACTACACATTCTTCTCAAGTGCACATGGAACATTCCCTAGGAGGGATGATATGTTAGGCCACAAAAGAGTCTCAATAAATTTTAAAATATAGAAATCATACAAAATATCTTCTCTAACTACAATATAGTGAGGCCAGAAATCTGTAACAGAAGAAAAACCTAAAAATTAACAAATTCAGGGAAATAAAACTACACACTCTTTAAAAATTATTGTGTCAAAGAAGACATCAGAAGGGAAATTATAAAATACTTTCAAAAAGTGAAAATGACGACACAACATACTCAGACTTATGGGATGTAGTGAAAGAAGTGCTCAGAGGAAAAATTATAGCTGTGAATGCCCACACTGAAAAAGAAGAAGGATCCATAACCTAATATTATACCTTACGTAACCAGAGAAAGAAGAACGAAGTAAACCTAAAGTTAAAAGAGAGAATGAAATAATATGTATGAGTGGAGATAAAACTGAATTCGAGCTTAAATAAACAACAGAGATAATTTAACAAAACCAAAAGTTGCTTGTTTTTGAAAAGATCAAAGTTGAAAACCTTTAACTAGAATGACTAATAAAAAATTAGAGAAGTTGCACATATCTAAAATCATAAACAAAAGTAGGAACACAACAAAAAAAAACAAAAATAAGAAAAAAAAACAAAAGTGGGAACGATATAACTGATCTTACAGAAATAAAAAGTGTGATAAAAGAATACTATGAATAACTGTATACCAACAAATTATATAACCTAGATAAGATGGACGAATTCACAAAATACTAATACAGACCAAAACAGAAATTGAAATTATGAGCAGACCCATAACAAGTAGAAAGTTTGAATCAGTAACCAAAAACCTTCCAATGAAGAAAATGCTACACAGATGGCGTCACTGTTGAATTATACCAAACACTTGAAGAATTCACACCAATCCCTCTCAAACTCTTCCAAAAAACAGAGGAGAAAAAACTTTGCAATACATTCTATGAGGCCAGTATTACATGGATTCCAAAGCCAGACAAATATACCACAAGAAAAGACAAACTAGATACTAAAATCTTTTATTTAACAAAGTACTAGTAAGCCAAATTCAGCAGCATATTAAAAAGGATTATATATCATGACCACATGGAATTTATCTCAAGAATACAAGGGTGGTTCAGTACAAGAGTATCAATCAATGTAATACACCACATTAATACAATGAAGGATAAAAAATCCATGCAATCATTTCAATTCACTCAGAACAAGCATTTGACAAAATTCTACAACCTTTCAGGATAAAAACATGGAACTTTCAAAATGTGTTAAAGAGGATTTGTGAAAAATCCACAACTAATATACTTAATGAGAAAAAAAACTGAAAAATTTCTCCCATAACAAAGAGTAAGATATGGCTGTATGCTTTACCCAGTGCTATTGAACAATGTACTGAAAGTTTTAACCATGACAATTAGGCAGATAAATAAACAAACAGGTAAATGAATAGCATCCAAATTGGAAAGGAAGCAGTAAAACTCTTTATTCAATAATGACATCTTCTATCTAGAAAATCAAAGAATCCACAAACTAGTAGAGCTAATAAACAAGTCCAGCAAAATTGCAGGGTACATGTTCAACATTTATTTTAAGAAAATCATTTGTGCCTCTATATACCAGGAATGAACAGCCCAAGAAGGAAGTCAATTTTTAAAATTCCACTTACAATAGCATCAAAAAGAGTAAAATAGCTAGGAATAAATTAAAACAAGAAGGTGAAAGACTTCTGCACTAAAGACTACAAAACACTGTTGACAAAAATTAAAGAAGACTTAAATAAATAGAACTATACATCCTGTGTTCACAGATTGGAAGATTAAATATTGTTAAGTTGGCGATATTACCCAGTGATCTACAGATTCAATGCAACCCTTATCAAAATCCCAAGGGCCTTTTTATTTGCAGAAATGTAAAAACTGATTTTAAAATGTAAATGGAATTTTCCCAGGGCCCCAAACAATCTAAAATCATATTGAAAAAGAACAAAGTTGGAAGACTCAGGCCTGCCATTTTCAAAACTTTTACAAAGCTGCAGTAATCAAAACAATGTGGTACTGACACAATGTGGTCTCTAGGACACAAGGATGGACATATAGACCAATGGAATATAATAGAGAATGTAGAAATAAACACTCACATATATGATCAATTCATTTTCAACAAATGTATCAAGAATTCAGTGGGAAGAGTAGTCTTTTAACAAATGGTGCTGGGGCAACTGGATCCTCATATATCAAAGAATGAAGTTGGACCCATAACTCATAGCATATAAAAATTATCTCAAAATGTATCAGAGACCAAAAAATAAGAGTTAAAGGCATAAATTTCTTAGTAGAAAACAGGAGTAAATCTTTATGACTTGAGATTGGAAATAAATTCTTAGAAAAGACACAAAAAACACAATATTGTAAATGTACTAAGTGACACTGAATTGTACATTTTGAAATGGTTTCTGTTACTTAAAAAATTTAAAGGGTGCACAGAAGACTAAAAAGCAGCACAGACAGAATTATCACCAGAAAAAGAAGACTCTATATTAAATGTCAACATGGAGAACACATGTCAGAAATAGGTAGTCCAGAGCAGCAGCTATAGTGGAGGCTCTTGCAAATGACTAAGATTTGAGGTGGCACCCTCAGAGAATCACCTCTTGGGGGTAGATTCGATTTATGGAGTAGATGTATCTCAGAGACATGGTAGGAAAGCCAAAGAATGGTGAGCATAGCTGCCATCTAGAAACCACCTACACATGCAAGCATAAGAGATTGGTTGAAAGGTTATAGCACAGTCACACTAAGGAATACTATGCAACTTTAGCAATGCAATGAGAAAGATCTCTGTGAATGGATGTTGAGTGATTTCTAGGAGATGTTGTTAGGTGAGAAAAGCAAAGTTCAAAAGGGCATATACAGAATAGTACTTTTTTGGGAAATGAGAAAATAATCATGTCTTATAAAGAGCAAACACACACAAACTATAAACTAGAAAACACTGAAACTGGTTACCTATAATGGGTAGGGGGAATTAGGATGGAAGAGATATGGGTGAGAGGAAGATTTCTCTCAGTAGCTCCTTTTGTTTAGTATTGACTTTTGGAAGTATGTTAATGTTATATGTATTCAAAAAATAAAATTAACAAGATAGGGACCACTTCTGAGGTGGTGGAATGAGCACCTTGATATAACCACTCCCTGAAAAGCAATGATAAAACTGGACAAAGAAATATAAAATTGAAAAGTGCTAATTAAAGAAAAAATATTAAGCCTTCCTAAGAATAGCAGGGTTATGATTTAACGTGGGGCTGCCATCTCCCCACCCAAGCTCAGGGGCACGGTAGGCTTGAGGACCAGCAACAAAGAAGGCTCATCTGATTTTGAATTCCATAGAAAACCCTATGCACTATGTTAAGCAACAAGGATTTCAGTGGCAAATAATTGGAGGCAACCCACATCACAGCAACCTAATGTTTCAATACTGGTTGGGCAAGCGACAGATTAAGAAAAATTTTAAAAGGAATTCTGGAGATATGGAAGTTGTACATGCTTGCAGGAGAGATCAGAGAGGTTTCCTGCTATCTACTTATCCTTGGCTGACTGTGAGACCTTTTGCAAGCAGACAGTAAAATACAGGACAGAGTTATAAAGTGCCTGAACTTTGAATGTCCCAACCCACACATAGATCCCCTCAGCAGAGGGTGGAAGATTCACTGGCTCAAGATGTTTAAACAAATGTCTGACTAATCATGGCTTGACCACTAGGTTATGCTGATCCAGGGGTGACACCAATGAAGCCAGGCTTACAAAACAAACATAAGAATTAAAACAAACAAAACTGAGCAAAGACACCAGTGGCTGCACACTGCAGGAGAACACAGACTCTGCAGAATCCATGCAGAGAAGGCATACACAAGCGAGCAAACAAATAAATGAGTAACAGAAATCATCCCTGGTTAGGGAGAAGAACTAGAATCCAGAGTTTCTACGATATATTATCTAAAGTAAGTTTTTAACAAAAAAAATGAGATATGCAAAGAAACAGAAAATTGTGACCCTTGAACAAGAATAATGAGCAATAAATAGGAATTATCTCTGAAGGGCCCCAAATGTTAGGGCGCGATTTCAAAGTAAGTATTATAACTATGTTCAAAGAACCAAAAGAAACCACATTAAAGAATGCAAGTGTGATGACAAAGACTCATCAAATAGATAATATCAATATAGAGATAGAAATTAGAAACCAAATAGAAATTCTGTAGTTGTGAAATATAATAACTTAGGTGAAAAACTCACTAGTGCGGCTAAGCAAATTTGACCTGGCAGAAGAAAGAATCAATGAACTTCAACGCAGATCCATAAAGATGATTCAGACTGAAGAATAGAAAGAAAAATAATGAAGAAAAATGAAGAGATACCCATTGGATACCATAATATAGTGGTCCCCAACCTTTTTGGCATGAGGGACCAGTTTTGTGGAAGACAATTTTTCCACAGCCAGTTGGGGGAGGCTTTAGTTAGATTCTCATACGGAGTGCACAACCTAGATCCCTCACATGCTCAGTTCACAATAGGATTTGCTCTCTGTGAGAATCTAATGCCATCACTGATCAGACAGGAGGCAGAGCTCAGGCAGTAATGCTTGCTTGCCTGCTGCTCACCTCCTGCTGTGTAGCCCAGTTTCTAATAGGCCACAGACTGGTACCAGTCCATGGCCCTGGGGTTGGGAACCCCTGTCCTAACAGGATGTGTAACAATGTATGTGTAATTAAGTTGTAACATATATGTAATTAAGAGTAGAAAACATATGTGGAATTAAGGAGTAACAACATATGTGTTAATAAGAGTACTGAGAAGGAGAGAATAGGGCAGACAAAAATATTTGAGTAGATTATTAACCTGAAGCAGATTGTTTTTGCTTAAGCTGCTTATTGTAACCTCCAGATTACACTTTAAAAATGGGGGAAATAAACTAACAAAGGAATTAGAATGGTACTCTAGAACATATCTATTCAACCTGCAGAAGGCAGTAAAGGAGGAAGAGAGGAACAAAAGTGATATGAGACATATAGAAAATAAATAACAACATGGTAGATATAAATCCTTCCATATCAATAATTATATTACATATAAGTGAATTAAAAACTCAATAAAGAGCAGAGATTGCCAGACTGCCTTAAAAGCAGGATCCAAATATATATGGTCTATAAGAGTCACATTCTAGATTCAAAGACATAGTTGAAAGTAAAATGATGGAAAAAGATGACATGCAAACAGTAATAAGAAAGCTAGAGTGACTGTACTAAAATCAGACAAAATTGGCTGGGTGCAGTGGCTCACACCTGTAATCCCAGCATTTTGGGAGGCTGAGGCAGACAGATCACTCGAGGTCAGGAGTTCAAGACCAGCCTGGTCAACATGGTGAAACTCTGTCTCTACTAAAAATTAGCTGGGTATGGTGGCAAATGCCTGTAGTCCCAGCTACTTGGGATGCTGAGGCAAGAGAACGGCTTGAATCCGGGAGGCAGAGGTTGCAGTGAGCCAAGGTCACGCCACTGCACTCCAGCCTGGGCAACAGAGTGAGACTCCATCCCAAAAATAAAATAAAAATAAATAAAATCAGACAAAATAGACTTTAAAAACAAACCATGTTATTAGAGATACTGAGAAGCATTTTACAATGACAAAAGGGAAAATTTAACAGGAAGAAATAGAAATCATAAACAGAAGTCATAAAGAAATAAAAATTTATAACAGCTAAAAACACAGCCCTGAAGTATATGAAATAAAACTGTCAGAAATGAAGAGAGAAACAGACAACTGAACAATAATAGACAACTCAACAATAATAGTACTAACTCTTGTTGATTTTCTGTCTTGTTGTTCTATCAATTATTCAGAGTGAGTTATTGAACTATTACCCAACTACTATTCTTGGATGAAATGGTGGGAGGTGAGGCTATGTGGCACTCTGCTTAATACCCTCCCCTGTTCTGGTGTCAGGGAGACAAATGTGGAGCTGACTTTTCGTCAGAAACAGTGGTACCCAGAAAGTAGTGGGGTAACAGATCCCAAGTGCTCAAAGTAAAAAAAAAAAAAAAAAAAAAAAAAAAAAGCCAACCAAGAATACTGTGTCCAGAAAAGTTTCTTTCAAAAAGAAGGCAAAATAAAAGCATTCCCAGATAAACAAAAACAGAATTCCTTGTTAGCAGACCAGTTTTGTAAGAACTACTAGAGGAAGTTCTTCAGGCAAAAAGGAAGTGCTCCCAGGAAGTTCACATATATCCAAAAGCAAAGAGCAAGGAGGTAAATAGGAGCAAAGCTGTTCTAGAGTAAGGAAATACCACCAGTTGGTAACTCAAATCCATAAAAACCAAAAAAGTGGATCAAATATATGATATAAGGAGGTTAATAAAACAGAAACTAGAAATATATACTTGCTCTCCTTTCAGCTTCTTTAAAGATATATCATTATATAGTATGATCATTATAATAGCGCATAATAAAGATGTAATATATGTAACAATACCACAAAAAGTGGTAAAACTGAATAAACTCATACAGGAATAACTTCTGTATCTCACCAGGATTAATATAAATATGAAGTAAATTTTGAGACGATACATAAGGTAAGCCCTAGAGCAAACACTAATAACAAATAGAATATTGAAGAATCATAAAAGAAATGAAAATTTATATTAGAAAGTAGTCACTAGATGGAAAAGAAAGCAGCAAAGGAGAAATAGAGGAACAAGAAATAGTACATAGAAAAGACCAAAAGTAAAACTGTGGATATAAATCTAATTATATCAATAATAATATTAAATGTGAATGGATTAAACAATCTAATCAAAGGCAGGAATTATCAGACCAGATTTGAAAAACAGGATCCATCTGTATTCCATCTATATGAGGCACACTTTAGATGATAAATGCCAACTGAAAGTAAAAGGATGGAAAAAGATATATCATGTAAGCAGCAACCATAAGTAACCTGAAGTGCTATAATAAAGTCAAAGGAGATTTTAAATTAAGAATGTTACTGAAGTTAAATATGAATATCTCATAATGATAAAATGTCAATTCATGAGAAGATACAATGATTATAAACATATATTCACCTAACAATAGAGAACTAAAACATAAGAAGCAAAAACTGACAGAACTGAACAGAGAAATAGCCAATTCAACAATAGTAGTTGGAGACTTCAACACTCCACTTTCAATAATGTGTAGTACAAGAAAGAAGATCAATAAGGAAACAGAAGATATGAGCAACACCATAAACCAACTAGACTCAAAAGGTAATTATAGAGCACTTCGCCCAACAACCAACATTGAATATACAGTATTTTCAAGTGCACATGAGACATTCTCCAAGAAGGACCATATGCTAAGTCACGAAACAAACCTGCATAAATTTAAAAGGATTGAAATAATACAAGGTATCTTTTTCTGAATATAATGAAATAAAAGTAGAACTCAGTAGCAAAGAAATTAGGGAAACATACACATGTGGAAATTAAACAACACTACATTCTTAAATAATCAATGGGTGAAAGAATTCACAAGGGAAATGGAACGTACTTTGAGATTAATGAAAATGAAGATACAACATAACAGAACTTATGGGATACATTTAAAGCAGTGTAAAGATGGAATTTTATAGCTATGAATGCCTATATCAAAAAATAAGGCTTCAAATCAGTAAGCCAACTCTCCACCTCAAGAAACTAGAAAAAGAAGAGCAAACTAAACCTAAAGCAAGTAGAAAAAACAAAATAATAAATATTAGAGTAGAAATAAAATATAGAATATAAAAATAATAAAGTCAACAAATCCAAAATTTGGTTCTTTGAAATTAACAAACCTTTGATAGATTGGTAAGAGAGAGGGAGAGGGAGAAGAAAAGAAGGGGAGGAAGAAAGAGGGGGAGGAGGAAAGACAGAGAGGGAAGTGCATGAGGCAAAGGGGGAGAGAGAAAACTCAAATTACTAAAATCAGAAATGAATGACAGTTTTACAAATTAAAGCAAAAAAACGAGGCTAGCTGCAGTGGCTCACACCTGTAATCCCAGCACTTTGGGAGGCCAAGGCAGGAGAATTGCTTGTGGCCAGGAGTTCGAGAATTGCTTGTGGCCAGGAGTTCAAGAATAGCATGCACAACAAAGCAAGACCCTATCTCTACAAAATATTTTTTGAATAACAGCTGGTGTTGTGGTGCACACCTGTCATAGGCTAAGGGGCAAGGATCACTTGAGACTAGGAGATCGAGGTTACAGTGAGCTATGATTACACCACTCTATTCCAGCCTGGGCAACAGAGAGAGACTCTGTTTCTCAAAAAGAAAAGGAAAAAGGAATGAATGAGGGAAGTATACTACCAACCTGACAGAAATAAAAAGGATTATGAAGGAACACTATGAACAATTTTGTGCCAATAAATTATAAAACTTAGATGAAATTGACAAATTCCTAGAAAGATGAAAACTATGAAAACTGACTAAGAAATAAGTAGAAAATGTGAATGGATCTGTAATAAGTTAAAGAGATTGAATTAGTTATGAGAACACTAGTTGAAAAGAAAAGCCCAAGAGGGCCAGATGAGTGAATCTAACAAATATCTAAAGAATATCAATTCTTTATGACCTCTTCCAACAACAAAAAAATAGAAGAGAAGGAAAATTTTTCCAATACATTCTTTCAGTCCAGTATCACCCTGACACCAAAACCAGACAAAAACATGAAAAGAGAACTTATAAAATTTATTTTACCCATTTTAGGTATATAGTTCTGTGGCATTAGGTAAATCCACGCTATTGTGCTTTATGCTTTCTTGATGTTGTAAATAGAATTGTTTTCTTATTTTCAGATTGTTTTTGACAGTGTATAGGAATACTATTGATTTTTGTATTTCATTACAATAACTGTGATGAAAATGATGTAAAACCCTCAAAACCCTCAACAAAATACTAGCAAGTAAAATCAAGCAATGTTTAAAAAGGATTATACATTATAACCAAATGGGACTTATTTCAGGAATGCAAGGTTGAATTAACATCTGAAAATCAATTAATGTAATACACCATTATCAACAGAATAAAAGACAAAACACCACGATTTCTGTCAGTCTGTTCAGACTGTTATAACAAAGTATCACGAACTGGTGGCTTATAAACACAGAAATTTATTTTTTGCAATTTTACAGGCTTGGAAGTCCAAGGTCAAGGCACTGGCAGATTCAGCATCTGGAGAGGACTCGCTTTCTGGTTCATGAACAGTTGTCTTCTTGTGTCCTCATATGACGGAAGAAAAAAAGGAGCTCACTGAGGTCTCTTTTACAAGGGCACTAATCCATTCCATGAGGTCTCCACCCTCATGACCTAACCACTTCCCAAAGGCCTCACCTCCTAATACCAACATTGGGGGTTAGGATTTCAACATATACATTTTGAGGAAACACACACATTCAGTCTATAGCAATTAATGATAGAATAAAAGACACAGAAAAGCATTTGGGTGATAAAATTCAACACCCTTCCATGATGGGAGAAAAAGCCCTACTCAATATACTAGGAATAGAAAGGAACATCCTCAACCTGATAAAGGGCATCTATTAAAAATCACAGTTGGCCGGGTGCAGTGGTTCACACCTGTAATCCCAGCACTTTGGGAGGCCGAGGCGGGTGGATCACGAGGTCAGGAGATCGAGACCATACTGGCTAATATGGTGAAACCCCGTCTTTACTAAAAATACAAAAAAATTAGCCAGGCATGGCAGCATGCGCCTGTAGTCCCAGCTACTCGGGAGGCTGAGGCAGAAGAATGGCGTGAACCTGGGAGGTGGAGCTTGCAGTGAGCCGTGATCACACCACTGCATTCCAGCCTGGGTGACAGAGCGAGACTCTGTCTCAAAAAAAAAAAAAAAAAAAAAAAAAAAATCACAGATAATATCATACTTAACAGTGAATGACTGAATGTTTCCCCGTTAAGATCAGGAATGAGACAAAGAGATCTGCTCTTTCCACTTCTATTCAACATTTATTGAGTGTTCCATCCAGGATAATTTGGGAAGAAAAAGAATCCAGACTGAAAGAAAGAAGTAGAACTATTTGGAGATGACATAAATTTGTGCTGGTCCAGTTTTGTGTTACTATAAAGGAACACCCGAGGCTGGGTAATTTATAAAGAAGATTTTAATTGGCTCACAGTTCTTCAGGCTATACAGGAAATATGGCACCAGCACCTGCTCCTGGTGAGGGCCTCAAGAAGCTTACAATCATGGCGAAAGGCAGAGGGGCAGGCATATCACATGGCAAGAGCAGGAGCAAGGTGGAGGGAGGTAGCAGATTCTTTAAACAACCAGCTCTTAGCATAAACTACCAGAGTAAGAATTCGCTCATTACCACGGGGATGGTACCAAGCCATTCACGAGGGCTCCGTCCATGATCCAGACACCCCCCACCAGACCCCACCTCCAACATTGGGAATCATTTTAATGAGATTTGGAGGGACCAAACATCCAAACCGTATCAATGTTGTATACAGAAAACCCCAAGGAATCCATTGTGAAACAATTACAACGAATGAGTTCAGTAAGGCTGCAGGAGACAAAATCAGTATATAAAAATCAATTGTATTTCTACACACTGTCAAAAAACAATCTGAAAATATAATTAAGAAAACAATTCCATGTATAACATCAAAAAAGAATAAAGCACAACAGTGCGAATTTACCTAATGCCACATAACTATATACTTAAAATGAGTAAAATAGTAGATTTTATGTATATTTTTACCATAATAAAGAAAAAATAAAATACCTTGGGAATAAGTTTAACAAGTACAAAACTTATCCTCTGAAAATTACAAAACATTGTTGAAAGAAAAGAAGATACAAATAAATGGACAGACATTACATGCTCATAGACTGGAAGACTTAATATTGTTAAGATGGCAACACTCCCGGAATCGTGCTGATCTACAAACTCAACACAATCCTTACCAGAATCTCAGCTGGTTTCTTTGTAGAATAATAAGCTGATGTTCAACTTCATATGAAAATGCAAAGGACCCAGAATAGCAACAATTTTGAAAAAGAAAAGTTGGAGGCTTCATACTTCCTGATCTCCAAATTGACTACAAAGTAACAGTATTCGAGAAAATGTGATACTGGCATGAGATAGATATGTAGATCAAGGGAATAGAATCAGAGTGTAAAAACGGAGCCATATATCTATGGTCAATTGATTTTTGACAAGGATGCCAAGAATGTTCAATGCGGAAAGAATAGTCTTTTGAACAAATAGTGTTGAAACAACTGATATCCACATGAGAAAAATCAATTGGTCCACTCCACATCATATATAAAAATTAACTCAAAGTGGATCAAAGACATAAATACGTAACAGATAAAGCTATAAAATTCTTAGGGTAAACATAAGGGTAAATCTTTATGACCTTGGATTTGGCAGAGGTTTCTTAGATATAACACCAAAGAACAAGGAACAAAAGAAAAAAAGTAGATATATTGGACTTCATAAAAATTAAAAGCTTTTGTGCTTCAAAAGACACCTTAAAGAAAGTGAAAAGACAACCTACAGATGGGAGAAAATATTTGCAAATAATCTATCTGATAGGGGACTTGTTACTGGATATATAAATAACTCCTTCAACTCAAAAACAAAAAGACAAATATCCCAACTTAAAGAATGGATGAAAAATCGGAATAGAAATTTCTTCAGGGTTGACATATAGTTAATAAACACATGAAAAGATGCTCAACGTGAGTAGTCACAGGGAAATGCAAATCACACCCAAAAGGAGATACTGCTTAACAACCACTAAGATGGCTATAATTGAAAAAAGATAATAGCAAGTGTTGGTGAGGATATGGAGAACTTGCGCAGTGCTCATATGCTGGTGGTGAGAATGTAAAATGAGGCACCCACTTTGGAAATAATTGGTCAGTTCTTCAAAAAGATAGTTATCGGCCAGGTGCTGTGGCTCACACCTGTAATCCCAGCACTTTGGGAGGCCAAGGCGGGTGGATCACGAGGTCAGGAGATCGAGACCATCTCGGCCAACATGGTAAAACCCTGTCTCTACTAAAATACAAAAAATTAGCTGGGCATGGTGGCATGTGCCTGTAATCCCAGCTACTTGGGAGGCTGAGGCAGAGGAATCGCTTGAACCTGGGAGGTAGAGGTTGCAGTGAGCTCAGATCGCGCCACTGCACTCCAGCCTGGCGACAGAGCAAGACTTCATCTCAAAAAAAAGATAGTGATCATTTGACTCAGCTTTCCACTCCCATGTGTTTTCATATCTCTTTCTTTTCTTCCTTTCTTTTTGTTTTTTTGAAACAGTCTTGCTCTGTTGCCTAAGCTGGAGTGCAGTGGCACAGTCTCGGCTCACTGCAACCTCTTCCTCCCGGGTTCAAGCAATTCTCTTGCCTCAGCCTCCCGAGTAGCTGGAATTACAGGCACCTGCCACCATGCCCAGCTAATTTTTGTATTTTTAGTAGAGATGGGGTTTCACCATGTTGGCCAGGCTGGTCTCGAACTCCTGACCTCAGGTGATCCACCTGCCTTGGCCTCCCAAACTGTTGGGATTACAGGTGTGAGCCACCAACACACCCAGCCTTTCATATCTCTTTCATGCCCAGGAGATATGAAAACACATGTCCACACAAAAACCCACATGTTCTAGAAGCATTATTCATAGTAGTCAAAATGTGGAAACAATCTAAAATGCTTATCAACAAATAAATGGATAAACAAAATGTTTATTCATTGTATATCATACGATGGAAGATTATTCATTCATAAAAGAATGAAGCACAAGGGCCGGGTGCAGTGGCTCACGCCTGTGGTCCCAGCAGGTTAGGAGGCCGAGGTGGGCGGATCACCTGAGGTCAGGAGTTCGAGACCAGCCTGGCTAACATGGCGAAACCCCGTCACTACTAAAAATACAAAAATTAGCCGGGCTTGGTGGTGCGTGCCCGTAATCCCACCTACTTGGGAGGCTGAGGCGGGTGAATTGCTTGAACCCGGGAGGCGGAGGTTGCAGTGAGCCGACATCGCGCCACTGCACTCCAGCCTGGGCGACAGAGGGAGACTCTGTCTCGGGGAAAAAAAAAGAAGCACTGAAGCACAAACCTTGAAAACATGATGCTAAGTGAAAGTAACCAGTCACAAAGGACCATACATTGTATGATTCCACTTATATAAAATGTCCAGAATAGGCAAACCCATAGAGAGAAAGATTAGTTATTGCCTAGGGCTGAGGGGGATGGAATAGTGGGTTTGGGGGTGATATTTAAAAGGCACTGGGTTTCTTTTTGGAATGATAAAAATGTTCTCAAACTGGAGTGGCAGTTGCACAGCTCTGGGGATACACAGGCACACTTCACTTTTTTGCACTTTGTGGATATTGTGTTTTTAAAAAATTAAATGTGTGTGGTAAGCCTGCACTGAGCAAGTCTATCAGTGCCATTTTTCCAACAACATGTGCTCACTTCATTCTGGGTCAGCATTTTTTAGCAATAAAGTGTCTTTCAATTAAGGTAGGCACATTGTTTTCTTAGACATGGGGCTATTGCACACTTAATAGACTACAATATAAACATAACTTTTATATGCAGTGGCAAACCAAAAAATTTGTGTGACTTGCTTTATTGCAATATTTGCTTCATTGCAGTGTACTGGAACCGAACCACAATATCTCTGAGGTATGCCTATACTAAAAACCATTCAATTATATTCTTTAAATGGGTGAATTGTATGGTATGTAAACTATATCTCCACAAGGCTGTTAGAAAAAAGCTATAGCAGAAGATATTTGGGGTCCAGGGCCAAAGACTTCTTAGACCTGACATCAGAAGTGTAATCCATAAAAAGGAAACATTGAATCTCATCAAAATTTAAAATGTTTGCTCTGTAAAGTACCCTGTTGAGATGATGACAATGAAAGCTACAATGAATAAATATTTGCACCCTGTTTCTGACTTAAGATAAGTATCTAGAATATATAAACATCTCCCAAAACTCGACAGTTAACAAAAAGTCTAATTGGGAAATGGAAAAATGATATCAACAAGAATTTCACTGCATAGAATACAAAAATGGCAAACAGGCACATGAAAAGATGTTCAGTATCATCCTAATGAGGAAATGTAAATGTAAACCACAATGAGATCTCACTACACACCTATCTGAATGGAGAAAATTAAAAACAGTGTGAACATCAAATGCCAGCAAGAATGCAGAGAAACTAGATCACTTAGACCTTGCTGGCAGGAATGGGGAATGTGAAATGGTGCAGTCACTCTGGAAAATCAGTTTGGTAGTTTCTTATAAAACTAAACATGCAACTGCCACACAACTCAGCAATTACAAGCTTGGGCTTTTATCCCAAAGAAATAAAAACTTATGTTCACACAAGAACCTTACAAGAATATTCATGTCATCCTTATCAATGTATAAGGTTCCCATGGCTGCTGTAATACATTTCCACAAACTTAGTGGCTTAAAACAAGACACGCTTTTTTTTTTTTTCTCACAGTTCTAGAGGCCAGAAGTCTGAAAAGAGTCTTAGGGGACGAAAAATCAAGGTGTCAGCAGGGCTGGTTCCTTCTGGAGGCTTCAGGGGAGCATCCCTTCCCTTTCCTTGCCTTTTCTTCTGGAAGCGTTCTTTGGTTTGTGACCCCTTCCTCAAATCACATTGCCATTTCCTGCCCCTGCTTCCGTGGCCACGTAACCCTTTTTCTCTTCTGTAGTCATTCTTCTGCCTCCCTGTTATAAGGACCCTTGTGATTACACCGGGCCCATTCAGATAACCCAGGATGATCTCTCCATCTCAAGGTCCTTAATTTGACACATCTGCAGAGTGCCCTTTGCCATAGAAGGCGATAGTCACAGGTTCTAGGCGTTAGGACCTGGCTACTTTGGGGGCCATTGTTCAGCCTACTCTGATTTGTAATAGCCCAAACTGGGAATGACCCACATGTCCTTGGATGAGGGAATGGTTAAATAAACTGGGGTATATGTCCATACCGTGAAACTCCACTCAGCACTATGATTTAATGAACTGTCGCGATACAAAACAACCGGAATGAATCCAGAGAATGATGCCGAGCCAAAAGACCCCGTTTCTAAGATATCGTGTATTGTGTGATTCCATTTACGTGGCATTTTTGAAAAGACAAAACTAGAGAATCAGAGAACAGATGAGTGGTCACCAGGGATTGGAGGGATGGGATGGGAGAAAGTCCGTGTAAAAGGACAAATAATGGGAACCCCGTGGCGACGGGAGCACTCTGCATCTGGACTCTTGCTGTTGACATCCTGGTTATCATATTGTGCTATGGTTTTAGAAGATGCTACCACTGACGGAAACTAACTAAAGGGTGCATGGGATCCCTATTATTTCTTACCACTGCATATGAATGTCTAAAAATAAAAAGCTTGAAAGTCTCATTTTTTTAAACGGGCAAAAGATCTGAATAAATATTTCACTAAAGAAGATACACAATTGGGCACTAGGCACGTGGAAAAATGCTCAGCATCATTAGGAAAATGCAAATCAAAACCACAATGAGGTAACCATTCCAACTGGACAGTATTTTTTTTTCTTTCTGTACTTTCGTGGAAGGGGTGCTAGAGTTGGAAAATGATCATTTTTGCAACTACCACAGTAAAGCCTGGTTTCCAAAAGCATTTAAATCTGGAGAGACTTTTTTTTTTTTTTTAACAAGTAGCAGGGTATATGCATGGCCTTAAAGAATCTCCCCCGATTGTTTATTGGTTGCAAGGCAAAATATAGTAACTGTAAGGTAGAAAAGTGGATAACGGCCTCAATTTGGTGATCAAAATAACATCGTTAATAAGGGGCAGATACACTGTGTGCCTCAGGATGTGATACACTGAGAAGGACATCAGGTCACTTACAGAGTACACAACGTGGATCTAACCTGAGGAAACATCAGACTCCCCCAAGAAGTGGCAGGACTGTATCTTTAAAAAATATCAGTGTCATAACAGAGAAAGAGACTAGAAATGTTCCAGATTAAACAAGACTGAAGAGACACATCTAAAGGCAGTACTGACCCTGAACTGGATCTTGCAGTGGAGGAAAAAATGCCACAAAGGACATTGTCATGGCAACTGACAAAATGGGAACATAGGCATTAAATTAGGTCCAAGTATTATATTGATGTTTAATTGCAGAAGTCAATAACTGTATTACTGCTTTCAAAGATAATATCTTTATTTTTCAGAAATACACAGCAAAATGTTTAGGGGCAAAGAGCTGTGGAGTATGCAACTCACAGATGTTTCAGAAAAACATGTTATGTGAATATAATGTAGAGAAAGGGGTTCAAATGATAAAGCAAATGTGGCAAAATGTAACAATTAGTAAACTGGTAAATCTTAGTGAAGGGTATGTAGGTGTTTTTATATCTCGTGCTTGTAATTTTTCTGTAGTTCAAAATTATGGCCAAATAAACAGTTTGTTTTGTTTTAAGAAACAATCCTGAGGGACTGCTTTAGCTCAGCAGGTCACAACTGGGGGCAATTTTGCCCTCCAGGGGACATGTAGCAACATGTGGAGATGTTTTTGGTGGTCATAACTGAGGCCGGAGATGCTGCTAAACATCCTGCAATAGACAGGACTTCCTCCCTCAACAAAGAATTATCCGGCACTAGATTTCAATAGAGGTACAGTGGAGAAACTCTGCCCCACTTGGCTGACAATAAGTCACTCTGCCAGGACTGGTGGGCAGGAATGCCGGCCGGGAAAGAGGAACCCTGCCTGTGGAATTCAAGGTCAGACAAAACGAGAAAAACAACCTGGCTACATCACTGAAATTAACAAGCCTATTCCTGTGTCACGGGCTGAATTGTGTCCCACAAGGTTTGCAGTTGAAGCCCTGGTCTTTAATACCTCGGCACGTGACTCAGCATGTTTGGAGACAGGACCTTTAAAGAGGTGATGAAGCTACAATGAGGCTGTTAGGGTGGGCCCTAATCCAGTGTGACTGGTGCCCTTAAAGAAAAGGATATTTGGACACACAGAGAAACACCAGGGTGCAAGTGCCCAGAGCAATGGTCATGTGATGACACAGGAAGAAGGCGGCCATCTGCAAGGCAAGGAAAGAGGCCTCAGGGAAAGCAGCCTTGCTGACACCTTGATCTCAGACTTCTATCCTCCAGAATTGTGAGAAATACATGTCTGCTGTCTAAGCCACCCAGCCTGTGGTATTTTGTTATGGCAGTCCTAGCAAACTAATACATCCTGGAAAGTTAACACATAGAAATAAAAGTTCTGTACATAGAAACAGGTTCAAGAACCTATGTTCTTGAACAAAATGAATTTTAAGCGATAGAGAACATCACAGAGTATGTACACCAAAGGAAATTAAGCAGAGATTATAAATTTTAGAATAGAATTGAAATAGAAATAAAATTCAATTAGAGATAGAATTAAATCAAAATAAAATTGTTTCAGCAGCCTTAGAGGCATTTTTACTATTTTACTGATTGAGAAAAACAAGATGCAGAAAGCAGGTATGATATGATCCCGTGAGTTTGGAAAACAATGATAATGCCTTCATTATGTCACATGTATTTTATTTCATTGAATATTATATGAACATCAGGAAAAATGTAAGACAACAAATCCTAGATTATCAACATAGGTAACAGAGAGGAGGGGAGCCCAAGCAAACATAAGAAAAAAGTTCTGTACTGAAACACATCTATTCCATTCTACTCATCTGTAAAGTTAAAGTGTGAATATTGGAAAGTAATACAACATTAAGGACACTAAAAGAAAGAATAGCCCCTATTCAGATCTGGTATTGATAGAGCCTGAGGCCAATTTGGCAGCAGACAGAGACACAAGACTGTTTGCTGCATATGGGTCCTGGGTGAGCACTTACATGTTCTAACTCACTCAGTCAACACAGGAGTCCTGGGAGCAGGCAGTTAGGATCCTGATTTCACAGATGTGGAAACTGAGGCACAGAGAATGCAGTAGCTTGCTTAGGGCCACATAAGAAAATGGCAGAGCTGGGCTATGACCCTAAAGAAGGTTGGCCATATAGGCTGTGCTCCAAACCACTCCATGAAACCTGCCACTCAATTTTTAGAAACATAATTGTACAGGAAGATTTAATTTTCCTGTCTCAGAATTTGGCAGATGTATTAGGGTTTTTTTTTTTTAACTAAGGGCAGAGCAGACCTAAATGAGGCAATGAATAAGTATGTATACACAATCCATCTCAATGTACATTTTGTCTGTCCATGTATACAAATAAAACTTTGTGTTATACAAATACAGAAGATATTTTCTGAGGTCTGTGGAGCATTTACAAAAATAATGATGTTATTTTCATACTTGGAGACAAAGAAAATCTTCATTTTAAAAAAAGTGGAGACTTCATAGGCTACATCCTTTCACTGTAAGCCTACTAAATTAGAAATAAATAACAGTGATAAAAATTTACTGCTTAAAAATTAAGAAGACATTAAAAGAACTCTAAAGAGAAAAATCAAAACACAAAATTAAAACTATCAAGAAAGCAATGAAAAGGAACATATTTCATAATCAGATCTACGTGTCACAGCTAAAGCTGCAATCAGAGGAAAATTTATAGCCTTTAAAAATGCCTTTAGTAGAAGAACTTCAAATAAATGAACTATGACTCTTAAGTAAAAGAAAACAAAAATAGAGTTAGCCAAGAAAAGGGAATTAATAGCTATAAAAGCTTAGATTAATGAAATAGATAACAAAGAGTACAAAGATAGTTTTCTGATAATAAAATATAAATAAAACATAAATTTCTCATGTGCTTGATTAAGAAAAAAGGAGAAAAACCACAAAAGTTCAGGCATAAAGGAAAAGAAAAACGAAGAGATGATAGAGAAGACCATAAAATCACTAAAGGAAAAAATCAGTTGCTACCAAGTGGCAACACAATTGAAATGCTTGAGGAAATTAAATAGCAATGAATAAATTACTCCAAAAGATGCAATAAACTAATTTAGAACAACATATCATAAAACAGACTAAAAAGAAATTACTAAAGATATCCTATAAAACATGTATCAGGCCCAGATGGTTTTACAACTCAATTCTATTTAACCTCTACAGAAAAGATAATCCCAATGTTCTTCAAACAGTTCCAAGACACAGAACAAGGAAGGTAGATAAAACTTTGTTTTGTAAACCATTGTATTTGCCCCCACATGATGGCAGATTTCATACTCTTCTGAAAGATGTACTGTTATTTCTAGGATCAGATATCAGGGATGTCCTGCATCAGTGATGAGAGTGAAGCTTCACAGTTTTGATGGCTGTTTAACGGAGATATGATACTTGAAGCAGACCTCCACTGATGGGTATGTCGGTGGTTTGCAATTTTTTGCTATTTAACAATTGCAGAAATCAATATCCTGATGATGGATTATTTTGCAAATGTGTAAGATATGTGTAGAATAAATTTCTAGAATGATTCAAAGGCATATGCATCTTTAATTTTGATTGAAATTGCCTTATTTATCTCCACAGAGGTTTGTATCAATTTATTTTTCTAACATCAATGACTGAGACTGAGAGTTTCCATGTACACATACCCATAGAGTGTTATCAAACTCTTTGATATTTAATAATCAGATAAGTTTCAAAAACCCCATTGCTTTAGTTTGCATTTCTCTTGTCATAATTGAAGTCATCCAGCATATTTTCATTCTTAAGAATTATTGGTATTTCCTTTTCTGTGAACTGTTTTAATATCCTTTAACTTCTATCTTGATTTACAAGAGCGTTTTTATATAGCAATTAAATTAGCCCCATGCCTATAGGTGAGTGGCAACTGGTTTCTTTAGGTTATCAATAAAAAATTATTTTCAGTATGTTTTTTTGCTATGCAAAATATATATTATATATTTACATTATATATTATAAACAGTTTTATTGAGATATAATTGACATAACTTGCTTATGTTTAAAGTGTGCAATTTGGTAACTTTTGACACATGATGAAACCATCGCCATGATTATGATAATGAACATATCCACTGCCCCAAAAGTTTTTTTGTGCCCTTTTGTCCTTTTCCCTCCTACTACTACCCCTGATCCCCAGGTAACCACTGATAACCACTGACTTGTTTGTCACTCTATATTAGTGGTCATTTTCTAGATTTTTACATAAATAAGATACCATGTACTCTTTTTTTTTTTGTCTGGCTTCTTTCACTCACCATAATTATGTTGCAATGTATCCATATTGTAGGCATATCAGTGGTTCATTCCTTTGTATTTCTAAGTAGTATTCCATTTTAGGAATATACTACAACTTTGAAAAAAATCTATTCAAATGTTGATGGGTATTTGGGTTGCTTCCAGTTTGGGGTTTCCAGTTTTTATAAAGCTGCTATGAATATTCCATGTACAAATGGTGGCATGCATATGATCTTATTTCTCCTGGATAAATACCTAGGAATAGAATCGCTGTAGAATATGGTAGGTATGTATTTAACACATCAAGAAACTGCTGAACTGTTTCCCAAATGGTTGCATCGCTTTGGACTTTGCATTCTCACCGGGAGCATATGAGAGTTCCACCTCCGACACATCTTTACCAACACTTGGTATCATCCATCTCCCTCATTTTATATAATATAATAATTGGGCCGTGGTATTTCATTGTGTTTTTTATTTGCATTTCTCTAATAACTAATGATATTTCAGCCACATCTTCAGGCTCCACTTCTAATTCTAGTTCTCTTGCAGTTTTCACAACATCAGTAGTTACTTCCTCCACTGAAATCTTCAACCCCTCAGTCATCCATGAGGGTTGGAATCAACTTTTTCCCAATTCCTGTTAATGCTGATATTTTGACGTTCTTCCATGAATCACTAATGTTCTTAATTTCATCTAGAATGGTGATTATTTTCTAAAATGTTTTCAATTTACTTTGCCCAGATTCATCAAAGCAATCGCTATCTATGGCCGCTATAGCCTTATAAAATGTATTTCTTAAATAATAAGACTTCAAAGTTGGCATTACTCCTTGATTATGGGCTGCAGAATGGATGTTGTGTTAGCAGCCATAAGAACAACACTAATCTTGTACATCTCCATCAGAGGTCTTGGATGACCAGGTGCACTGTCAATGAGCAGTAACATTTTGAGAGGGATCTTTTTGTCTGAGCAATAGGTCTCGAAAATGGGCTCAACATATTCAGTAAACCATGTTGTCAACAGATGTACTGTCATCGGGCTTTGTTGCTTCATTATAGAGCATAAGCAGAGTAGATTTAGCATAATTCTTAAGGGCCCTAGGATTGTTGAAATGGTACGTGAGTACTGGCTTCAACTTGAGCAAGGTTGCCACAAACCTTCAATTTGTAAAAAATGCATTATCAGCAAAGTGCAGTCAATAAGAATGAGACACGCCTGTATTTTAAAAATCTCAATTTCTGGTTATTTGCTGCAAGAATATATGAATGGAATTGATTTTTGCATATTAATCTTGTATCTGCCACCTTACTAAACTCATATATTAGTCATAGTGGTCATCTTGCATGTTCATCAGATTTTCTACATAGATAACCATGTCTTCTGCAAATAAAGACAGTTTTATTTTATAAAATAAAACTCTCTTCTCAATATATGTTACTTAGACTTGCTCTCACAGGAGATTGGGGTTTCTGTTTACACTGCATAGGTTGTCTAGAAGATCCCATATCTAAAACATGGATCATGAAGGTCCTGGATTGGTTCACTGGGTCACCCTGTACAAGCAAAAGTGCAGCTTCTCCAGAGGCATGTACCTTATACAGGATACATAGGAACCCCACAAACAAAAACATCCACCACACAAACTCATGATCTAAATTGCAAACCCACAATGAAATGAGCCATCATGAGCAAGAGTCAGAAAAAACTACAGTGAACAGAATTAGACTCTCCAAGAACTGCAGATGATGAAATGACAGGATAGAGGGTACAAAATATGCATGTTCAAATGACCTAAAGATTAAAAGTTGTAGTTTAAAATATGAGAAAGGTACAAGATGCTAAAATCAAGCAAATTAAACCCCCATACAAGGATTTATAGGGAAGGAAAAAATATATAACTGAAAGTCTCAGTGGGTAGATAAAGCAGTGGAACAGAAACATCTCAAGAGTTAGAAACTGCATAGAAAATTCTGTGAATGAAGCAGAGGGAGACAGAGATAGAAAATCTATGAGACAGCTGAGGAAGACAATGAGATGGTCAAATAGAAGTTTCTGGAAAAGATCAGAAGCATTAGGGGAGGCAATATTCTACAACATAATGGTACTGACTTTCCACGGTTGATGAAAGACATAAACCCTCAGATTCAGGAATCACAACAAAGTGTAGGCATGATAAATAAAAATAATGCACCACCTTGGTACAGTACATTGAAACCTCTGAACACTAAAGTCAAAAGGAAGGTTTCTGAAGTCACTAGAGGTAGGGAGGGTCACTTACAAAGGAAAATCAATTAGCCTGATGACCCACAGAAGCCAGGAGACTGCAGTGTTACAGCTCCAGAGTCTTCAGACAAAATGTACATATTAACCTGTTACTTTCTCCCAACGAAACCATCATCCAAGAATAAAGGCAAAGTAAAAATATTTCAGACAAACTGAAACTGAGAGTTTACCTTCACTGAAAGAAACACAGACTTCAGGAAAAAGGAAATTAAATCCAAATGGTGAGACAGAAAACTGCAAGTCTGTGAGTAAATATCTCAATGTATGCAGCATCAACAAAAAGAGGATTGTTTAAAAGACAAAACCAAAATACTGGGCAACAAAGGCCCAGGAAACGGCAGGAGGCAGTAGGATCTGGAGCACCTTGAGGTCCCAGTGAGGTTTCAGAGGAGTTGGGGTGACTTTTGATCTCAACTGGCAAAGCATTCAGGATTTAATCCTGTGGCAGCCACCAAAAGTGCACAATCAGAACACACGGCTTTGAATGGAGGAGTGCATGAAAGGCCAGGCTTGGTGTGTTGGGCTGAGGACGCGGAGCCGGGAGCAGGAGGAGGCTACAGCCTGACCCTGTGAGAACCAGGCTCACAAGTGCAGAAGTGAGAGGTGAGGCTGTTCCATGACGCATGCCTCCAGAAAGCACACACACGAGTGTGAACGATGAGTCCCCAGACCACACTGGGGACCTCTGGGTATGTGATGCATGCTCCTCCAGCACGCTGCCCCACTTCACAAACGGGAAACCACACAATAGTCCCAGGTCACCTGGCAAACACGTGGTGACACACACAGGCACAGCTTTGAAGACGCCTCCCCAGAAGCCCTTCAGAATCACCTCCAGGCCAGGTGGAAAGGTGCGTGCTGCCCGATCCTACGTCACAGACCACGACCTTACAGCCCAGTGTTCTCTGAGCAGCAAAAGGCCTCTGAGGTGGCCTCCCCGATCCTACGTCACAGACCACGACCTTCCAGCCCAGTGTTCTCTGAGCAGCAAAAGGCCTCTGAGGCGGCCTCCAGGACCAGTGAATTTGGGGAAGTCTCCTCTGGCCTCCTAGGGGCATTCAGGAGGCCACCTCCGGCCAGCCCTACTCTGACAACCTGCCTCCAGTCCCTTTGTCAAGACAAAACCCTGGTGGCACAGCCCTGCATTTTTATCGTGTACCCACCATGGGTTAGGCATGGTACCAGCTTGGGAAGGGTCAGTGGTGAAAGACAAAGGGCCACTCCCCTATGAGGAGGGGACTGGACAACCTGGTCAATGGTGACCTGGCTGTGGAGACAACTGGAGTGGAGGAGGGGCAGGGTAGGCAGCTCAGGATGGAGGCGGCTCCTTCAGGACTCCTGGGATCCAGGAAAGACAGTTCCAGGCAGAGTGAATACAGTGGCTCTGAGGCAGGGACAGCGAGGCAGCATGGCCAGTATGCGGCTCCAGCCCAGGCCTCTTCTGACCTGCAGATGTGGATGGCCATGCCCGCTTGGACCCTCTGGGCAGGAGGCTGCCTGTGTGTCTGCCCCCACCCCACAAGCATACAGAGGATCTTCAGGACGCCCAAGGCAGCAGCAGCCGGGCTGTGAGTGTCAGGCTCCCCAGGCTGGGCACAGACAATGGCCACCGCATCCTCGCAGGTCCCCAGTCCCTTTGACACTGCCAAGCCAAGTGGCATGCGGTTGGGTCCCCATGCATCCTTCATGAGGAGTCTGTGACGCTTCACTGCAAAGACTCTAGGGCTAGGCTGGCCAGCCCCTGCTGTGCTCTGGCTCTCGGGCTGGGTGGCTGCTGACATTCCCCTCCCTCCCCACCCAGGTCAGAAGGTTGAGGGAGCAGCAGCGGGCCCTGCTGCGTGGGATGAGGGCTGGTGCCTCCCCTCAGTGAGGCTGCTCTACAGGGACCACACAGCCCATTTTTGCTGCAGGTTAGTCTGTGTTCTGATGCTACCATGGGGGACCTTCTACCTTCCCAGCCTCCCTCCCCTGAGGTCTGCCACTGCCATACCTGCCTGTGCCTCTCGACAGGCTCAGTGAGGTGTCAGGACACACAGGTGTCCTCAGGAGTTCCCCACATGGCCCTGGCCTTCCGTTTCTCCATCTATAAATGGGGCCAACACCGCACAGCACCAGCTAGAGCACGAGCTGAAGGGGCTTGTGTGCAGGTGGATGGCGCAGACAGGTAGCAGCCCTGAGGCAGGGTCAAGGGGACTTCTGCCTAACCTGCAGGTTCACACAACAGAAAGCACAGCCAGACAAGGTCGAGGCCTGGGTTTGACTTTGCGGGGGACTCAGTGTGGCTGTTCGTACCCGCCTTGCGGGAGTGGGGCTGTGGGGCTTCCCCAGGAGTGGCATCTGCCCTGGGATCAGCATCTCCTTCTCCCCAAGCCAGGGCTCTCCAAGAGCCTCCTGGGCAAAGGGGACTCCGGATTATCAGGGGTCGCTCTGTCCCTGGGGGCCAGGCCAACAGCTCAGGCTCCAGAAAGCTGGTGGTTCCAGCCTGGGCTGACTTATCAAGTTAGGAAAGAACAAACTCCAGCAGGAAAGAGAAATCTTCTCCGTGGAGGAGCATTCCACAAAAGGCGCCTGACTTTCTCCGCACTTGCCCCTCATTAACATTCCGCAGACAGCACTAATGACTTCATAACACTAACCAGGCTGAATGGACGGCATCGATTCGGGCTGCCCCGCATTCAGCAAGCAGCAAGCGATGCTTCTCCAGGCCGCACACAGGCTGGGTCCCCAGCCCCCGGCCACGCCCACCTGCCCGTTAGCATGCGCAGAAAGCCCCCATTTGCATGGAGACAATGGTCTCAGCCCTGAATCCGGAGCTGTGGGGGCACTGGGCATTGGTTGGCACAATCGCCCTTTGTGCCGGCTCCAGCGGGCAGGCGGGAGCACGTCCCGGGGGCTCACTGAGATGTGGTCGGGTCCCAGCCCAATCCTGATGGCATCTAAGTCCTGGGGAGCCTGGTGCCCAGTGGAGCGGGAGCCTGGACTTGGTCTTGCCTGCTGACTTCCACATGGGATGCCCAGGAAAGCCCCAAGGGGCAGGGAACACCACCCAGCCTCCTGCCAAGGAGGTGGGGATGCAGGTGAGCCATCCTGAATGAACTGGAGCTTGGCGGGCTGGGCTGGTGCCTGCGAGCACAAAGGGTTGCGAACACTGTGGGTTTGTCCCCTCTCTGCCATGCATAAGATGTGACAGCATCCTTACAACTGCTGGTAAGCTGAGACATTCGGGTTAGTCCCAGGCACTGGGAAGAGGTCCGAGAGGGAGAGATGGATGCAGAAATGACCAAAGGGTAAAGGGACGGCTGCTGAGAAGGGAATGGATCATATTACTTGGATGGCTGAGCACATACACAGCAGGTGACCTGTGGTGATGCCAGGGCATCAGCGCTTGGCCTCCCACACCTCCTCTGCCAGGCATAGAACCCTGGCCACTTGGCACAACTGAGGCAGGGCCTGGCTTCCAACAGCCCAGAGTCCGGAACAGTGGGGTCCAGCCTCCAAGGGACTGGGCCACATGGAGCCCTCCCATGGGGCATGGAAGGCAGAGAGTGGGGAGCAGGCCCTCCAGGGTGGGGTCAAGCCTCCTTAGAGGGACATGCCTTGGAATCATGGAAGAAGGGGGCTGAGACTTCAAGGAGCAGAAACCGGGTCAGCAGAGACAAAGTAAGCAGGAACCAATGCAAGGCCCACGTGCGTGATGTCTGTCTGGACAACAGCAAGTGGTCAAAGGGGAGTGGGCTTCAAATGCTGTGCTCCCCCCACCACCTGGAAGATGAGGGCTCTCCCATGCTGGGAGGGCAAGGCCACTGTTTCATGTGGGGCCTAAACTAGTGCTTTCTGGCACCATGATAACCAAGTGTTTTCAAAACAGGTGCCCTTTTCCTCCAAGGGGGACCACGCCCTGGGACGGGGGCTTCTGCGAACATTTGCCAGGGCCTCTGCATTGGTGCTGCAGTGCAGCATCGGGCAAGTGCCATCTTTGTATCAGAACACAGTCACTACTATGTCTGCCTCAGAGGAAGCAGCGAGCAGGGCCACAGATGGCACCTTTGCACGAGGTACTAGGGAGCAAACAGGCTTTGCTGTGTTTTCTCCTGGGAAGACAAGGTGCACGCCCCTGTCCTGGTGGCAGCACAGCTATCTCAAATACCCCACGCTGGGCTCAGAGGACAGAAAAAGCCAGAATCCTTCACATTTGGTTTTAAGAGAGCTGCTAGAGAATTTGGCAGTTTGGGATCACAGTCCCCAGAAGTGGGCACTGAAGTCACATGCAAGAGAAGTTGGAGCTCCCAGGGAGAAGTGGGGTCCCTTCCACCTCTCCTAACTCTCAAGGGCATCCGTGGCATCCGTGGCCAGTGGGCAGGAGGTCTCCAGCCCCTCACACTCTGTAGAGCTACCCAGTTCACGGTCCTGCCCTATAGGATGTTTGTCTCAAAACTGGTCCCGAGATGACGGATGCATCACGTGTGCCTCCTGATGCAGCCAGGAGGCCAGGTCTGCCCTGGAGCAGTGTGGGGAGGCCAAGCGCTGATGCCCTGGCATCACCACAGGTCACCTGCTGTGTCTGTGCTCAGCCAGCTGCACTTCTGGGAACAGCAGAAGTTGGCGGGAGGCATGGGGGGGCCACAACCAGACACTGCTGTGTTCCTGCCGTGTGGCTGAAGCACATGGGCCCAGCCTCCAGGGCCTCACTCGTGGGAGCCACAACCGGGCACTGCTGTATTCCCGCCGTGTGGCTGGAGCACACGAGCCCAGCCTCTAGGGCCTCGCTCTCCACATCTGTCAAAGAGCCACGCTTACGAGTTAGCGTGGGTAAAACCCCTCACCAGGGATGGAGGACATCTAAACCCTAGACAGGTCTGCCATCCAATCGTCAGGTCCCGCAGAAGGTAGCTTCATCCCAGCCCCCGCTGCAGGGGTGAGAGGAGGGACGCAGATCCGAGCCACACCATCACGCACAGACTCGGGGCCCCTGGGCTGCATGAGAAGGGCCTGTCCCGTCAGGCCCCCCACGTTTTACCCGGGCCTGGTGCTGCTCCTCCAGGGCCCCATCCCCAAACCCCTTCCCTCTGGCGTCCCTGCCAGTAGGCCCAGAGGTCACCCTAGCCACTTTCCAACCAGAGCCCGTGGGCTCGGCTGGGAGGAAGCCAGGCAGCTGGAATCAGGAACACACCCTTCCCTCAGTACAGCCGGATGGAGCCGACCCACCCCATCACCTGCCCAGGCTTCCTCTCGCAACAGAAGGCGTGGCCAGCTCCTCCTTGGGAAGACTCTGAGGGGAAGGCACCTGGAAGGTTTACAGAAGTTTCTAGAAGCTCCACCCTCTGTCTGTTCATACCTCGTTGTCAGAGACCACAGCCCAAGGGAGAAACTCACTGGCTTGCTCGGGCTCCCAAAAAAGGCAGTGACCTTCCCGGCCCCGCGGCCCCCAACTGCCTGAGGGGTTCTCACCAGAACTGTCATAGCCGTCGACAGAGAAGTGGTCCAGCCGCCGCTCTTCTGGGGGGTCGCACGTGATATGGGGGACTGTGAGCATCTTCTCTCCAGGAGTCACCCCATTGTCTTTGTCCAGCTTGAACTTTTTTTTCTTTACCTAAAAAAAACAAGACAACAGATTAGCGGTTCCTGGACATCGTCTGCCAGGCCCTACGCCGGCCCCAGAGTGCCTGTGCAGCCGCCCCGAGCCCAGCCCCCGCCACATACACCCGGACAGGGACCTGAGGCCTGGGGCCAGCTCCAGTGTCTTCACACAGAGACAGGGCAGGGCTGCTGGGGGTCACGTGGGGGGCTTGGCCCAGGTGCTGCCCTGTGAGCTCACGGCCTCGCTAACAGGACAGCAGGAAGCAGATAAACGTACAAGATGGTGCCAGTGGAGGTGGTAACAGGGGCTGTGACCAGTAGGGGAGAATGCATATCGGGGGAACAGGCTGGGGGCCAGCAGGGCATGAAGAGGGCGCCTGAAGTGAGGGAGCAGGCTGTGTGGAAATCTGGGGGAACATTCCAGCACAGGGAACAGTAGGCACGGAGGCTCCACCGGCAGCTGGAAACTGGGAAGGCCAGGTCTCTCCACAGGGGGTGGGCACGGGCCAGGAAGGGGAACCATGCCAGCGTCAGCCCCAACCCCTTATGACCCCAGCCATGTCACAAGACTTCTGCCCAGCGCCTGCCAAACTCCACTGCCCTGTGACCTCCAGACCCCCTTCGCTGCACCCCTGCCTCACCTCCCTCCCCTGCTGCTCCCCTCCCACCACCCACTGCGCGCGGCCCCCTGCCCACTGCTCACCACCCACTGCGCCCGGTGTGGAAAGCCCAACCCTGAGGCCCTCTGAAGAGCCTTCTTTCCAGCCCGTCCTGCTCCCAGAGCTCTATCTCTGGAGCTCTCATGCCCTGGCCCTGGAATGACCGGTCCTACATACCCCCAAGTCGGGGGACATTGGGATGGCAGGAACCTAGCATCGGGTGTATGGCCCAGTGTCCCGAACGATGCTGACTCCCTGACACAGGCTGTACCAAGCCAAATGCATGGTGAGATCCCAGCCTCGTGCTGCGGCCCCCACGGCCTCCCCACCTGCTAGCAAGAAGGCCCTGCCCTGGTGGCAGGTGGGCTACTCACCACCACAGACTTCTTGGGTTTGGGGCTGGGTGACAGCAGAGTGTGGCTCCGGGGGGCCTTCCGGATGTAGATCTTCCAGGTGGAGGAGTCGGGGTTCTCGGCAGCATAGCACCTCCATGCGGTCTGAGGTCGGGCAGGGGGACAGGCTGTCACCTGCTGAGCCACCCGGCGGGGGCCCTTATGGAAGCTACAGCTCCCCCTCCCTGTTCCCCAGGCCTGGCCCCTCCCCTCTGGGTGGCAGGGTCTGGGACCTCAGAGTCACAGGCTTGACATGGTCCCAGCTCCCAGACCCTCTGCCCAGGCAGCCTGGCTTGGTCCCTTGCTGCACCAGGCAGCTCACTGCCTCATGGGCTAATTGTTACCCACAGCTGGGACACCACAGAGGTCTTTACCAGCCCTGAGCCAGCCTTGAGCCAAAGGAGAGACTTGCAAAGGTGGGCAGGTCGCACATCATCCCCAGGTGCCAGGGTACACAGCGTGCATAGGAGACCAATGCGGAAATGGGCAACCAGTGGCCACACAGTGAGGAAGGGCTGAGAAAGAGGGGTCGCCCAGGACCTGCAGGTGCTGAGCAGGGGGCAGGGAGAGGCAGGATCCCTAGGGCTGGCAGGAGGTGAGGTCTCTCCCAGAGGCCTATACCACCTTGCAGTTGGGGGAGCCTCTGATGGCACATGGGTGCAGCTCTGAAGCCAGCATTTCAGAGAGACCCCATGGCAGCACCACAAGGGAAGGGTGGGAGGAGGGGACACTATCGGCAGGGGACCCGGCGGGGGAGCAGTTGTGCAGCGTCCAGATGGGCAGGAGGGGCTCCCAGGGCCTTGTATGAGGACATGTCCTGGTGGCCTTGTCATCACTGGCCACATGAGCCTGAGAGAGGGCCGAGTGGAGAATGTTCCCCCACACTGATGGGCTCCTGGGTGACAGCCCCAGGTAGACACAGCAGCTGGCGAGGGGCACCTGCAGCCCTCACTCCCATCCAGCACCCAGGGACAGGCAGGCGAGGGCACAAGCCCAGCCTTCCAAGGCCCGAGTGTTACACACACAGGCTGAGCACTCCACGTGGTCCCCCAACCCTGGCAAACCCCATGACCCCTGCCCTGCTCCTGTGCACACCTGCCACCTGGGGCCCCTACTCCAGTCCTCCCACAGTGTGTGCAGCTTCCGAGGGAACCCCTTTCAAAGGACCTGTGGTTCCCAGGGAGTGGGACCAGGAATCCAATGTGGTCCCCTGCCAGGCGTGGGCGGCCAGCATGCTCATGCTGGGACCAAGGCGGGTTTACGGGCCTGATTTATGGTCTCCCAGGAAGGAGAAACTGTGAAGCCATAAAACCAGGCTAAGGGTGGGAGCACACAGCCCCCCCGATGGCTGAGCCAGGAGTGCAGGAGGACTGCGACTGGCCCCTGACAGCCTGGGCCTTGCCTGGGGCAGCGAGCTCACGAGGACTGCAGGGGGGACGCCAGCCAGCGGGGGCTGCCCAGGTCCTGGGCCTTCCTGGGGGACATCAGGCCCAGTGTGCCCAGAGGAACTGACACTGTGCTCCCAGCCACTGCACTGGGCGGAGGCCCTATCCCCAGTGGGCACTTGTCATTCAACCCGGCAACGCCCACCCTCTGGGCACCTCAGCGGCTGTTCCTCAGGGCAGCCCTGGCCCTGCAGTGGCCAACAAGAGAGACCCACAGGGACGCAATTCTCAAGTGACTCCTGTGCCAAGTCCTTGCTTACGTTAACAGAGCAGTCCCATTCTCTGGTGGGTCCTGGAGAGCCTGGAGTGACAGAGCCAGAGCCCAGCATCCCAGAGCTTGGTACTGCCTGCCTCCCCACCTGCCTCCAGAACCTTCCTGCCCCTGTTGCTCCAGGGCTCTGCCTTTCCCAGCCCACTGGCCTTGTGAGCCCAGAGGGAGGCCCATGCCATCCATCGCCAGTCCTCACCTCCAGGCACCAGGGCCTCCCGAGCCCTGAGGGATGCCAGGCCCTCCAGAAGGCACCAACTGCACAGCTGGGTCCTACCTCCCTTGGGGACAATCACCTGGCCACCCCACTCCCAGACTCAGCCCTCAGGTTGTTGTGCAGTGGGAGGGAGAATGGGAGCACAAGGGAGCCTCAGAGCCAACCACGTCCACTCCTGGCATGGCCACGGCCGTGCCTCCTCTCCAGCCCACAGGGCATGGCCCTTGATGGGAGCAGCTTTGGAGGAAGACAGGCTCCAATGCCCCGTGCTCACCCCATCACCACAGCAGCCAAGGCTTCCACAAGCAGAGTATGCCCCACAGGCCAGCCAAGCTGATGCAGGGGCCAATGATGGTTCTGACAGGTGGCCGTGAGGGCTGGATGCAACAATAACAGTGACCAAAATGACAGTGACCAGGGCCTTGCAGGCACCGCACCTGAATGAGTGAGGCTGCCGCCGGGATCTGCCGGTTGAAGTGCTTCTGCCTCTGCTTCTGCTGCACCTTCAGGGCAAACCCCGAGCCAAGAATCCCCTGGGAAGGAATGGACAGGAGGCTCCCGTCCACACAGGCCACTGCCAGCTGGGTGCAGCCTCAGGACGTGGTTACCGGTCACCGTTGTGGGAAGGCCAGGTATGGTCAGTGCTGGAAGCCCCCCCAAGTCCCACCTCGGGCCCAGCCTGCCTGTCCTGGGCCAGCATGGGGGGCAGAACTTATACCCCAGGTCTTATCCAGCAAGGGGCCCAGTCCCATGGGGCAGGGCTGCAGCCGCTCTAACCCATTCCCAGGGACCATTCTGGGGGCCAGGTGGGCTGGTCCATCTGTATGTGCCCAGGAAGGGGTCATACTGGGCACTGGGATTGGGGTCGCAAGTGAGAAGGCAGTCCTCAGCTGAGGAGGACCCTGCTGCTGCCTCGCCCAAGGACGGTTGATGGGATGCAAAGGACCCACCCTGAAGCTAGGGAACTCCGTGTCTACAGAGGAGATCACGTGGTGCACGTGCATGTGTGATGCACACACACACACAATAGATATGCACACTAACACACACACACTGACACACACACAAACACTAACCCACACACTAACACACACAAAAACACACTAACACACAAACACTAACACACAGTAACCCACACTAACACACACTAACCCACAAACACACACAAACACTAACACACACAAATACACACTAACACAAACACATACTAACACACACACTAACACACAAACACACACACTAACCCACATACTAACACACACTAACACTAACATACACTAACATACACACACAAACACAAACTAACGCACACTAACACACACACTAACACAGAAACACAAACACAAACCCACACACTAACACACAAACACACTAACATACACTAAAACATACACTAACCCACACTAACACACAAACACTAACACAAGCACATACTAACACATGTCTACATGTCATGTGCACACACATATACGCACATAGATGTATAGGATACATACCTGTGACACAGATACATAAATACACATATGCAAACATACTGATATACATGTATAATGCATACATGTGCACACAACACAGCACACATACTAAATACAACATATGCACATACAATATGTATACACAGTATGCACGCACACATACAGTACATACACACCCATGTGATACATATACACATACCCATAGTATACAGGTAACATAAAATTATACACACACAACACAAACACATATTATGCACATACGCACATAACACACACACACACACCCACATACAGGCATTGTGAACTAGACACATCACCTTACAATCTGTGGTTTCTGGAAAGGACATGGAACAAAACCCCCCCAGCCACAGCGTGGAAGTGCCCTCTCCAGGCACAAGATTCTGCCTCCATGGGGCGTGGTAGCAGCATTGCCCACCCACCCAGGGCTGAGTGAGCAGGCCTGCCCCACACTGCGCCCATGCACAGCCACTCCAGGCTGCCTCCCACACTGCCTGCAAGGACCCCAGTGGGGACTGCAAACGGGAAGTCTGCATCCAGGGCCCCAGGGAGGGCAGGTGGGGCTCTGGAGTATAGCACCTTCTAGAAGGGAAGCACCCTCTTGGTTCTGAACGTAAGTGGGTCTGCTCACAGGGAGGGGCGTGCAGCCACCCCAGGACCCCAGCTGTCCAAGGAGCCAGGGAAAACGCACCCACGGGGCACCTACCGCTGGGAGCGCAAAGAAGGAGATGGCAAAGACAGAGAAGCAGGAGGCGATGGTCTTCCCGACCCACGTCTGGGGCACCTTGTCCCCATAGCCGATGGTGGTGACTGTGACCTGCAGGGAGAGGGACAGTGGTCAGCCACGGATGGGACTGGAGCCTCGGGAGGGCCAACTGCCTAACCCAAACCCACCACTCTGATGAGCGGAGAGGCCGGCAAGAGACCCTGACCACCAGGACGACCCCGTGTGACTCGGCGAAAGCACCAGGAACAGAGCCGCGGGATGGCACATGTCTCCCAGGCTCTCGGCGTCACACACAAGGTATGTCCCACCAGCACATGTAAGGAGCCCAGCACCCACGAAGGGCCAGGCCTGCTGGCTGGGAACGTGGGCCTGGGAGCTCGCCCCACACCGGCTGCCTCATCTGCCTGCCTGTCCCCAGGAGGCTGGGCCCCTGGGCCACCGACGTTGCTGTGCGCCGGCCCCCAGGAGACCGGGAGCTCCCACTGAGGCTGGTCGTCAACAAAGAGCAGGGGCTGGGATGACGCGCTGCTTCCTGACGCCACTCCAGGGCACCAGATGTTTTATTTTCCTCTTTTCTGAGAGTACAAGATGCAGCTCAAGCCTTCTTCTTGGTGGGAGAGCCATCCGTCCAGGACGTGTGGTGGGACAATAGAAGGCTCCCCCCACCCTTTCCCCCGCGCTGGCATCTGAGGTTTGCTTCCTGGGGATTCCAGTCTGAGCCTGGAAATGTCATTCTGCAGGACGTAGGAGCCTACCCTGGCTGGGCCTGGTCCGTGCAGGCTGCCTGCTGGGTTCTTCAGGAGCTGGCGCTGAGCCCAACAAGGAGACCCAGAGTGGCCCTCAGGCACAGCTCACCCTGTGGACACACAGGCTCCTGCCTGGGCTCATCTGGACAGCAGGCATGGTGGCCCAGACCATGGCTGTGGCTGCGGGAGGTCTTTGCAGCCCTGCTCTGGGCACCACACTCAGGACAGCACAGCATTTACCGGCTTGGGGCTTCTGGTCAAGGTCAAGTGACGGCCACCGCTTGCAGGCCCAGGAATGCCCCAGCTGGGAACCACATGGAGACCCCCACTGGATTCCCAGCCCTATGGGCCCAGTGCTGATGGCAGGAAGGCCTGAGGCCTGTTTAACACACTCTGATGGAAGGCAAGAACAAACCCCGGCCCACCTGAGCCCCCACGAGACCAGGGTCCCTGGGCCACCCTGTGGTTTCCACCAGCCACTGAGGAGGAGGGAGGGTGGGGAGAAGCCCCATGGCCACCCCCGGGCAGGGGTGCACAGGCGCACACGCGGACAGAGAGGCAGGTGCACACGGCTCACGCGACTGCCCAGAACTGCCACAGCAGGAGGCTCGGAGGCTCAGGTAGCAGAAGCGGCCACATTGCGGGAAACCAGGCTGTACCGATGAGCACGTTAACGAACAGTGATGAACGCCAGCCACCGCCGCCAGGCCACAGGGCGGGACAGGCCTCTGCTGAGCCCTGGCCGCCACCCAGGCCCCTGCCCCACTAGTGCCCTGACCGCACGTTCGCTTATGGCCAGGATGCTTCTGCAGAGGCTGCTTGCAGGCTACCTCCCACAGCTGCACACGGAGCTCTCCCTGCAGCGCCACTGTCCTTAAGAGACACACACATGCCCCCATGCCCCTGCCACACACACAATGTGCACAGGAAGCTGTTTACTGCCAGGCCCTTTCAGTGGACCACCCGGCTCTGTGTATGTGGGTGCACACTCACAAGCGTGCCCCATGCAGAGATGGGATGCTCCACACGTGCACGTGTCTGTGCTTGTGCACACACACACGGAAACACACGACCCGGCACACGCACGTGCGTCACACAGATGACAAGGTCATGTGAAAAGGGAGCTGGTCCCCATGTCCGAGCCTGACACTCTCAGGGCACATTCAGGTGCAGACACCTTGAACGCACAGCGCAGGCACACGGAGCGCAGCCAGGTCCCTGCAGGGTGAAGCCAGGCCATGGGTGAGGCTGACAGTGGCTGGCAGAGAGGGGGGCCCTGGGGGAACCGGAGCCCCTCGTCTGCAGGGTGTCCTCCCCAGAGGGCCTGCACCCACATGCACAGGCTGGGCTGCCGCTACCTTCCCCAGAGGGCCCAGGTGCACTGGGGTGGGGAGTTGCAGAGGCAGACACAGGGCTGCAAAGTGGGCGGGGCATCGGAGACCCTGTGCCAGTCCTGCCCTGGGGAGTGACTTCCACCTGGTGAGCTCTCAGCCCAAAGGGGCTCAGCCCAGGGTCCCAGCACATCCACTGTTTACCAAGTCTACAGCAAGTCCAAGAAAGCACACACAGGTGGCCCAGAAACGGGCCTAGAAGGGCCTGGGCAGGGCAGGGACCCTGGCCTATCCTGGCCTTGAGCTCGGAGGGCCCCTGCAACCTGGAGCAAGAGGGCTCCAGAGTCTGTCTAATCCAGATTTTTTGGGGGGACACTCACCCCTTCAGTATGAACATGCTGATTCCTACTTGTTCATCCAGCAACCTCCTATTCATCCCTCAGACCTGTGCCTGGGCTGGCGCAGCCCCTGCCAATGCCCTGAGGCAGTGCTCACCCCTCCACTCCGGGCTCTGCCTCCGCTCTGCAGAAGGGCCCCTCTCAGCACCGTCTGCCTGGCTGGCACGTGCAGCCCGAGACTTGAGGAGCAGCCCAGCGCAGGCCCAAGTCCCACCCCGCCTGGACATCCTCCTAGCACTGGGTCCGGGAGGACAAGGTCAGGCTGAAGAAAGCAGGGGTGGTGGGGTGTGGCAGACCAGCGCCCAAGGTGGGGGTCAGGTATGAGAAGCAGGGTTGAAGGGCTGCGTCCAGGACAGGGCTGTCTGTGTTCCCCAGGCAAATGTGTGCTGATGATCTGCTGGGGCTGGGCTCAGGGACGGCAGCACTCTCTGTGGCTGGGGGGCACTAACAGGCACTCCTGCTCCCACCCAAGCGTAAGCAGTGGGACGTTGCTCTTCACAGACAGTTCCGGGACAGGCGTGGGGATCCCCGTCCTCTGGGGAGCCAGGCTTTCTGGAGATTTGCAAAAATGCATATTTTTCTTTCGATAATATTTGTTTTGGAAAATATAGAAATTTTTCATGACATTATGAAAATGTAATGGGTCTATTATTTTAATAAATTAATATGGAATTGTTTTTACATGCCTCCACTGTATTAAATAGTGATGGCACAATGCCCACGAGCCAGGCTTCTCCGTCAGGGGCACCAAGGGGCCCTGAGACCAAGAGGCCTGGGCACGGCTGCCTCCCGAGGCAGCCGAGGACAAACCCAAGATAGGCTGAGAGGCAGGAATTGGCCTGAGGGGGGCTGGGCGGCAAGCAGTTGGGGGAGGCCAGTGGGGAGCTCCTGCCTTGCGTGCCAAGCGTAAGGGGCGCCAGCAAACCCAGGCATCAAGACAAATGGCACGGGCTGGCATATTAAACATTGTTCTAATAACAACATTAAATTATTTTAATATATTTTAAAAGCATTACTTTTTAAATGAAAATACCATATTTTGATTATTTAAAAATCTAATACAGAAACTGCATGATGAAGGTGGAATGGAGTGGGGCTGGCCTGGAAGTCAGAGTGGAGTTGGGGTCAGGTGAGCAGGTGAGGTAGCCACCTGCTCGCGTAAGGACACCCGAGACCACCTTCCAAACCTGCCCCCAAACAGACGAGAGCTGCTGAGGGTGGGGGTGTCACCTCCTGGGGCTGAGCTGGGTGCACGTGGGCTCCTGCTGGCTGGCTGGGTGGTCAGTAGAAGGCAGGGGTGCCCCGAGAGGGAGAGAAAGGCCAGCCCCAGAAGTGCCCCTGGGTGTCTGCCCACCGTGGAGAGCACACATACAGCAGGACGCAGCTCCAGGACCCCACCTTCGCCTGGTCTGCCTGTCTGCCCAGACCCGGCCCCAGACCCTCATCCTCAAGTTAACAAGGAAACGGCCCCTCCCTGCAGACCTGTTTGTTTTTCCTGCATTCAGACACAGGCAGCTCAGGAATGGGCTGTTTTATGGTCACCATGCTGGGGATTAGTCCCTGATGGCCCACCACCTGGAATGCAGATCCACATGTCTGTCTCCTGGGCCGTGGCTCCTTGCCAGGGCACCAGCCATATGAGGCACACAAAGTCACGCCCATGGCAGGAACTGTGGGGGCGAGCGGGGAACGCACACCCCACTGGTCAGTGTGTTTCCCCCGCCCTCCTGCTGGCCTGTGCCTTCACTCCCATGTGAAGGGGCGGGAGGCATGGGGAGCCTTCTAGTCCCCCCATGTTCCTCCCTGAGAAACACTGGGATTCTATTCCCTCCTTTCAGAAGTAGCCTCCTCAAGGCTGGCCTCGAGGGGAGGACAGAGGCCAGCCCAGAAACCTGAGCTCCAGCCGCATGCCAAGCCCTGGCTCCCAGAGCTCACTGGCCCCGGCTGGAAACGTGGTAGTCATTTGCCCAGAAGGAAGGGGTGGTCCTGGCTGGAGATGTGGTGGTCGTCTGTCCAGAGGAAGGGGTGGTCAAGAGCGGGAGGAGGGGGTAGCCCAGAGGTGTCACACCCCAGCTGGCACTCTCAGGTCAAGATCATCTACGAAGGAGGAAACTGAGGCTGGGCAGTCACTGTGCTGAGGGCTCCCCATTAGAAAGTGGCCAGGCAGACAGCTGGACCAAGGCCTGCAGGACCCACGTTCCCCGCTGTGGCCACCCCGAAGGCAGAGATGGGCTAAGAGGCTGCTTCAGCCATTGCAGGCCCCGACCTTGCCCAGCCTCGAGAGCCCAGCCTGCCCGTGAGGAGGCACCTAAGGATGGAGTCAGGAGAGCGCAGCACCCAAGCTCAGCCCCACAGCTCCAAGGAGGGCGGCAGGGGCTCCGGGACATCCCATGCGGCCACAGCCATTCCCAGGTCACTGTGCTGGGGCCCCAGCCATGAGGAGGCCCCTGGCTCTTCATGGAGGCTCTGGGCCAAGGGCGCCCTCCCAGGCCTGCTCCCCTCTCCAGGGCTTGGAAGGAAGCCCATGCAGGATCTCGCAGAGCTGGGCCCTCGGCCTCAGTGCCCCCAGTAGGCTGAGCACACAGAGGTCCAGGCAGGTGTCCCCTCTCGTGGCACGATGCCTGTCTCAGTGGTTCCAGGGGATGTGGGACAATGCCCTATGAGTGAGGGCCTCGGGCCCCACCTGGCACCGTCACCTTGCCTGGAAGTCCTGTGGCTGCCCTGCTGGCAAGGCTGGGCTGGCACCGTGGCTCTGAGTGTGGGGGGCAGTTCTCACCCTGTCCGTCTGGCCTCAGGCAAAGCCCCAGCATGTTCTGTACCTCAGTTTCCCCCTCTCGGGAAGGTGCATGATCACAACACACTTCTCACGGGCTGCCTGCTGGGTGAGGGCTTGGCACGTGGCCAGCCTGTCACTCACTCCTGGAATTTGTAAAGTGCTTTGGTGCCCCTTGCAGACTTAGAGACCCAGTCTAGAGCCTGTCTAGAGCCTTCTGGGCCTCTGCTAGCTGGTGGGCTCCCCCCATGCAGGGCTCAGAGACATGCACTCCTCAGGACAGGGCAGGACAGGGCCCCACTGACCTGGGTGACACTACAGAGGGCAGGGCCAATGAAGGTGGAGGAAAGGGGCCTAGGGGGGTGGCCTGGGAAAGGGGGAGCCGTGGACAGAGGGAGGCCCCTGGGTGGGGGGCAGGACTGTCTCTGGGACAGAGAAGGGTGGGGCCAGCGGTCCTGGGGCTCTAACAGGCCAGGCACTCACATTCCAAGGGGACGCCCAGCCCCCGTGGGGCCGCCCTGGAGACTCCGGCCTGTCTCTCAGGAACAGCCATAAAGGGGCTGACGCCACCAGGTGGGGGTGGGGGAACAAGCCAGCAGGCTGGCAAACTCTCAGGGTAAAAGCAAAAGCAGACACACACCCCAAAATAAACCTGCTTCCTTTCAGCAGGAGAAAGTAAATAAACGAACACCAATTCACGAGGGCCAGGCCTCCCCGTCACATGGAGTCCTCTCCTCACTCACGAAGCCCGGAGCCCCACACACGGGCTGGTGGTGAAACCGTCAACACCCCCATGGCACCCAGGCCCCAGGCCGCGTCTTCCCCGAGGTACAGCCAGGCTCAGCGCCCTGCCGGAAGGTGGCCCAGGTGACTGTGTCTTGAGGTCTCAGCTCAGCTGTCACTTCCTCAAGGAGGCCTCCCTGCTCCTGGGCCGAAACAGTCCTGCAGGGACACTCCGGCGGTGCTTCCCATGGCCACCTGCGAACCACCACAGGCCAGCCCCAGCTCACACCATGCTTCTCGCTCCTGACTGTGACAGAGAGAGCAAGACAGGGCTGCCCGAACCCCTGCCGGTGCCTGGCACACAGCAGGACCGCAAACCACACGCCTCAACAGTGAGTCCACAAACGGAGACCCAGCCTCACCAGGAGGCCCTTTCGGTCCAGGGAAAGTCTCCGCAGCAGAGGGATCGGTTGCAGCCTCTGGGATTACAGTCCTCAGCAGCCCTTGCAGCGGGCCCTGCATTGGCCCTGGGAGACGGACTGCTGTCTCCCATGTGCAGATGGAGAAACTGAGGCACACAGCAGGTGCGTACTCTGCCTCTGTCCCCAGGCCCACTCAGTAGGGCAGCTGAACTCGTTCCCCTTTGCACGGAACTCCAGGAGGAGGAAGAACGCTGACCCAGGGGCTCGGTGGGTGGCCAGGTCCTGCCGCCCCTCGGCCCACGGCGCCTTGGCTTCCCCAGCTCTTCCTGACACCACCCCTCCCGCTGGGCAGTGCCAACAGGGCTGGCCTGTGACTGTCTGGGAGGCCCTGCCCTCACGCACACCCCTGCACCAGCCCCCAGCCCCTTCTGGCCTTGCCCCGCCAGGGTGCAGCGTTGCCAGGGAGGCGGGAATTTCTGGAGGCTCCAGGTGAGGAGAGAGTGAACAGCAGGCAGTCAGACTCGACTTCAAAAGGCGGCTGAAATGTAGGAATGGGGTTCCAGCTTCTTTACTTTCAATTCTAAATTTAGGTGCAGAGGGGCAAACACAGCCCGGCAGCCTCCTGTTTGTAGAGACCCCCGGGCGCTGAACAGAGAAGCCCGTGTTTGCAAAAACTGCTTCTCCCTCCACTCAAACTTTAACACAAACAAACGCATTTTGTTCCAAGGGCAAAGAAAAGTCTTAAATTCTCCCCAAACGCCTTGGCAGCCAGGGCAGGCGCCACACTCAGGGGATTCGAGAGTTCTCACATCCAAGTTGCGTATCCCCACCCCGGCGAAGGGGACAGGAGGGGACACTCAACCACTGAGCCGGCGCCTTCGCTGGACAGCTGTGGAAACTGGTGGCCGGCAAGGGGAGGGACCTTCCCAGGAAGTCCACCTGGGCCACCCACTGTCCTAGGCTGGACTGCATCCCCCCTAATTCATATTCACCTGGACCCACAGAATGCGATATTTGGAAATAGGCTCTTTGAAGATTCAATCAAGATGAGCTCCTCCTGGATCACCTGGGTGGACCCTAAAGCCAACAGCAAGTGTCCTCATGAGAGACAGGGCCTGACACAGAGGAAAGAGGCGGCCGCACACCGGGCACGCCTGGAGTCTCCAGCCACGGGGAGAGGAGAGGAAATTTCTCCCTGAGCTTTCGGAGGGGCAGGCCCTGTGCACACCTCGCTTCGGGCTCTGGCCTCTAGAGCCCATGAGTTTCTGTTGCTCTGGGCCCAGCAGTTCGCGGACTTTGTTGTGGCAGCTCCAGCACCCTCTCAGGGTGTGTCTGAGGGGTGAGGAGTCCACAGAGTCCAGGCAAGGTCTGGGGCAGATGCAGCATGATGATCAGAATGGCCTGGCCTCCAGGAAGCCACCTCCCACCCAGTAAGGGCCTGTGGCAGCCCCGACGGACGGACAGACATGGAGCAGCCCTGGCTGCCTGGCCGGCGAGGGCGTACTTCACTCCCCGGTGGGGTGAAGGAAGCAGGACAAAGGAGCTGAAAGAAAACAACTGCTCAGGGCGCAGTTGCAAATTGGCAAAACTGGCTTAAAAGCCCCCATCTGGGCTGCTGCCCCTTCTTGCGTTTCTCAAGTTCTGTTTGTCCGAGAAATGCCAGGAACACAGCCCATAACTCAGGCCTCAGGGGCCGCTCCCCCCAGACAGCTGCAGGGCAGCTGAATGGGAGCTGTTTGCCCCACAGCCCTGGGCGGTGGGGGGCCCAGGGCGACCAGGGGCGCGGGGCCTGGCGGGAACAATGGCCAGGCCAGGGCGCGCGATGGCCGAGGCTCGGGCTGCAGCTGACGGTGTGGGCCGGGGCACTGATGCCAAGCCGGGCACAAAGGGGCCGTGTTCCCGGCCAGCGGGCGGATGTTTGCACAGGTGTGGGAGTGGGAGTGCCGCTCTGCTGCGGGCTGGGGGGCTGGGGAGTAGCGTCCGCTGCCCACAGCTCCAGTGGGCGGCTGGGAAGGCAGGCAGGGCAGCAGCGAAGGCTGGGCACTGCTTATCAGCCGTGCCGGGGCCAGTACCCACTGGCTTTTGCTGCACCGCCAGCTCCTCACTGCCCACCTTGCCACCAGCCTCCCGGGAACTCTCCTGGCTCTGGGCCGTCCATCCCCCGAGCACGCCCTACCCATCCACACTCACTGCAGGCAGGCTCCCGCAGGGGGGCTGGGCCCTGCTGCCCAAACCTGCTCAGGCCTGCCACACTGGGGCCTTCGGGGACACAGGCCCCCAGGAAGGCGGGAAGAGGCCGAAAGTGGGGCCTGCCCCAACCCAGGAGCTGTGTCAGCATGCCCCTGCCATCCCTGAGCATTGCAGCACTTTGGAAGCTTCCAGAAAACCTGCTGACTTGGCCTACGTCAGGAGCCACTGCTGAGTGTCTGGCCTCATGGGGGAAGCGGCGGTTGAGGGGGAGGGAGGAGGCACAGCAATCGCAGGGACACGTGCCTGCCTGGGGAGCCACCGGGAGGCTTCTCACCCCACCCAGATATGCTCTGATGGTGGTGGGGGGTCCCGAGAGCCAGCAAGTCCGGTCCTTTCTGGAAGGAGGACTCGGGGCAGACGGACTGGGTCCTGGCACCACCACGTGTTTCCCACGGCTGCCCTGCCCGCCCCCACCTCCAGCCCCCGTGCGGCCCCCAGGCCTTGGCTCCCACCCTGTGTGGGCTTCGACGGCCTCCTCCCCAGCCCCCAGCCCCTGTTGCTACCACGATTCCATCTAACCTGTTATCGGACTGAGTGAGCCCGGAGGTCGGTAGACAAGGGCAGACGCGGGGGCAGGCTTGTGGCGGCAGAGTAGGGGTCACCCTGTCACCTCGGCACTTGGGCTTCTCGGTCCCCACCCAGGGCCACTCCCCAAGGTGTGATGGTGCCACCCTGGGCCTTAGTGGCCTGTGGACGGCCCACCTGGCCCTGCAGCTGTGGGGGGAGATGGGATGGAGTCATTCCCTCCCTGCACTCTGGCCTCCAGCCAGCTACTCCCCTCGGGGTACCCACGTGTTCCCCCTAGAAGCAGCCCTTGAGCTCCATGCATATATAAACGCCGACTTTCACTGGAGGATTTGAAGGCAGCCACCAGCTCCCAGAGGGACACTGGCAAGCTAGGCCTGCCCCCTAAAAATGCCTCAGCCAGCGTCCTCTGAGCCATGAGAAACTGCTGCTGGGCCCACAGGCCAGTGACTTGGGACTTGGGGAGCCTGCAGCTCGGAGGGCGCACCCTGATTCCTGCAGCTGCATCCTCATCGGAACATCTCCCTCTCCCACGTGCAAGCCTGAGTCCCTCAAGGAAGCCCCCACAGACACGGCCCAAGACACCCTGCCCCACCCCTCCCGCACAGCCTCTCTGAGCTTTGGGTGGCTCGGTGTTCCAGTGCGGGATCTGCCTGCTGCACACCGGCTTCCCCAAGGCTCCCGGGCTGCTCTAGGTGGCCGGAACCCACCTTCACAGCCAGGGGCAGCCTCTGGGCCCACAGGCCGGGTCCCTGCTTCCCTAGGCCCAGCTGCACCTATGTCGCCACTGCCCAGGCCCGGCTCCAGAACTTGCAGGCCCAGCATCCACTGGAAACACGGGGGCTCTCTGATCTCTGCTGGGGTCTCTTGAGCCATCATGGTCTTTCCTGTTTGCTGTCTCATGTCTGGCTCCTTGGGGACAGGGGCACTTACAGGGCCTGTGTGGACCCTCAGAGACACGCGAGGTATGCATCTGACGCCGCTCTCCTTGGGCCCTGCCAGGGTGAGGGCCACGGTGGAGGCAGGGAATGGGCAACCTAGGACGATGGCGGGAGGCAGAGCCATGGGGGAGCCGAAACCGCTAAGCCCCCAACACACGCTCCAGTGACCCCTCCGATTTCCCTCTCAAATCTCAAGTTCAAGGATGAGACCATTCAGAACTTCAAGATGGTGATGCCAAAGGACTCAACACTGAGCGTGGGGACCTGTGCCAGCGGCTCCAAGCACAGGTTTGTGGACAGAGGCCTGTGAGCGTGCAGGTGAGAAGCCCCTGCCAAGGCCCGAAGTCTCAAGACACCAGTGCCCAGATGTCCTGCCCACTCCTCAGCCTGAGCTGCCCCTGTCCCCATGCCTGGAAGTTTCCGACTTACCACCCCCCACCACAGCGCATCTGCGTAGCTGCCGAACTCCACGCGGCCTGACTCGTTCACCGCGTCCTTCTCAGCCAGGTACACAAAGTACGAGGAGAAGATGAGGCCCAGGAAGCCGATGTACAGGGTGGTTATCAGCTCCTAGGCCAGAAAACACACAGTGTCGGGCTCCAGGAACCGCAGGCTGGGAGCCTCCTGTGCAGACGCCTAAGGCAGCGAGTCCCAGCGATCACTGGGCGTCCTACGCCGCTCCAGCGCGGTTCACATGCACAGGGCCGGCTTCAATATAGCCCACTCCTCACAACTCCGGTAAGTGGCGGGTGGGGGTTACCCCCAGAATGAGGCTCAGCCCTGGGGTCGCCCTAGGCCCACTGTCTGGGCCGGCGCGGGCTCCACTGATTGCCCAGCTCTCTTTCCTGCCACGTGACAGAACCAAGAATGGACCAGGACCCAGGAGATCCTCAGGGAGAGGAAGGGTCCCCTCACCCCACAGAGCCAGGGGCCAGTGCAGCCTGAACCCATCTGAGTGCAGCCCTCGGGAGGGAGTCTGGTGGCCCTGCCTTGACCGGGTCCTTGATTTGCCTGGGTTTTTCATTTCTGACTTTCTGTCTTCATTTGCCCCCAGCTCAGAGGAAGGTGAGCACACCATCAGCCTGGCAGGCCAGGGTCACTGGCACCAGGCTGGGGTGGAGCATCCAGGCTGGGCTCAAGCTTGGGCTTGCTCTGAGATCCTGGGCCCCGTTCAGGTACCCCTGCGCCCAGGCACCCACCGGCCCCCGGGGCCTCAGCGCATCTCAAGCTGTCCTAGTGTGGGCTGCTCTGCTCCCTCCGTCCTGTCCCCAACCTGGGCCCCGCACCCCTAACCCGGGCCACCCACCTGGCGGTGGATGAAGACCACGGAGCCCAGGAGCCTCCAGGTGCCTCCCTGGCGGTCGACGTGTAGCATCCTCAGGATCTGCAGGAAGCGGATGCCCCTGCGAAGGAGATGGTGTGGGGCTGAGGGAGCCAGGCTGGGCTCAGCTGTTCACGCCGGGCCTAGGGCTGGCCGATGGCATGGGTGTCCCTGCCCCTGCCCCTCCCAGGCGTCCACTCTGGGTGGGGAGGCTGGGTATATGTCCATCCCGACAGGGGCCTGGGAATCTCCCTCTCAGGCGCAGCCCCCCAGAGCCTGCTCTGAATCTGCCCACACAGGGCTGAGCTGGGGGTCGGCCAGGTACCTCCAGATTCCCTCAGTCCCCAGACTGCCTTCTGGGGGGCTCCTTGGGTCACCCCAGTTTGCAGATGGGCAGGCTGTGTGCCCAGATGGTCAGGTTACCACCCAAGTCCTGGAAGTTCAGAGGCGCTAGTGCTGGGCCAGAGCCTAGGGCTGCCTGAGGCATCTTGGGTTGAGCCGTGCCCTCCACACTTGCCTGCACCCACCCTGCTCCACCCATCCCAGCACATGGCTCAGTGCCCCCGGGGGCAGTGGGCACCAAGGCACCTTGCATCTGAGCAAGGTGGATGGGGCGTGAGACCACCCGCGGCTCAGGAGGGGTGCTCGGGGTGGGGCGGCATGGCGGGGGGAGCTTGTGGCACAGACGCACCTGATGGCCGACGTGGCAAACACCTGCCCCTTGGAGCCCACGCAGAGGACCACCATGGAGGCCACGACCACGATGAGGTCTGTGGAGTGCAGGAGAGGGGGAGCTTTTCGTGATCGCCACAGCCAGGGCCCCAGGGAAGAGCATACACCCTGCTCTCGTCTGGGGAAGGGGCTTGCTGGTCAGACGGGTCACGCCCTGATGACCGGGGACATGGAGACACCTCGGATAGGGAGGCAGGCAGCATCTAAACGGAGAGACCCAACCTCTGTCCTGGCCATGTGGAGCCCCCGGCCTAGGCTGGGCCCTGTGCTGAGCCCTGCAAGTGGCCAGAAAGGGCAGGGCCTCAGGCCTGGACCATGGTTCTCAGGCTGCCGAGGGTGACTGGCCCACCATGAAGCTATGCTGGGCTGTGAGGCTCATGGGAATCTGTGAGGGACCAACCCCCTACCCCCAACACCATGATCAGCGTCTGAGTGCAGAGGCTGCTGAGGGCTGCCAATGCTCCTGTGCTGGGTCCTGGGCAGTCACCCCCTGCTGGCCTTGGGGTTCCCCAGTCCTTAGGGGACTCCATCTGGTAGGGGTCATGAGGTGGGGGTCCTTCCTGGTCTGGAAACCTGGGCGTGACCTCCACAGGGCAGGCATGACTCACCGATGATGGAAATGGGCTTCCGGGCAAAGCGCAGCCGCCCCCAGAGGCCCACGTACTTGCTGCGGCAGCCGGCGGACCAGAGGCGGACCACGTACTCCGTCCCGAAGAACACCACCAGCACGATCTCCTGCAGGGACAGAGTGGGACGCTCACTGCAGGCAGGCTCGGCCTTGAGTGGCTTCAGACCCTGCAACCTGTTTGAACCCAGCCATGCTGGAGCCTCCGCTGAAGGACACCCTGAGAACAGCAGGCCCGGGTCCTGGCCTGCTGCGGATGGTGATGCCTGCGCACAGAGGCCCTGGAAGGCTGAGCAGCTTCAGCTCATGTCCATAGGCAGTGGAGCCCAGGTGAGGCTGCAGCTCTCAGGCCAGGCCCACCCAGGCCAGAGGAGGCCCCACACCAGGAACCCCAGCCTTGGCCAGAGGGGGCCCCACACCAGGAACCCCAGCTTGGGCCAGAGGGCGTCCGACGCCAGGAACCCCAGCTTGGGTCAGAGGGGGCCCCACACCAGGAACTCCAGCTTGGGCCAGAGGGCGTCCGACGCCAGGAACCCCAGCTTGGGTCAGAGGGGGCCCCACACCAGGAACCCCAGCTTGGGCCAGAGGGCGTCCCACGCCAGGAACCCTAGCCTGGGTCAGAGGGGGTCCCACGCCAGGAACCCCGGGTGCCCTCCGTGATAAGCACTTTCCCACCAGATCCAGCCCCGGAAAGCCTCACAGCTGGCCTTTGAGCCTGGTGTACCTGCGGTAGGGGCAGCCTCTGGATCACTTTGCCCTTACAGGGAGTCACCTGGCCCCTCCACACCCCAACACCTCCTCAACTCCACCGACACCAGAGGGCGGAGGTTCCTGGAGGAGTGGGAAGAAGACCCTCGGAGCTGGATCCCACCCCCTAGGCACAGAAGTGGAAAGCTGGGCCTCAGTTTCCTCAGCTGTATAGTGTGGATGCAGCAGGGCCAGGCTCAGTGGGCTTGGTGGGGACTTATTGCCAAAATGCAGCTTTCATGTGAAGTGCAGCCCATTGTGACACTTAAAGTGCAGCGGCCACCTGCAGGCTGGAGCCCAGCGCCCAGGCAGCCGGGGTGTACGGGAGGCCCTTGGGGAAGGTGTGTGGGGCTGGAAGATGAAACCAGCCCCCACGTGTGAGAGGCGCTAGCCACACAAAGCCACAAAGCCACAGGCATACGGCGTCTCAGGCCCACTTCCGGCGGACTCCTGCCTGTCCTCCCTCAGAAGCCGGGCCCTGGAGGGGACTTCTGCTCCCACTGGGTGACAGTGGCTGGCCTTGCTCCCATGCCACGCCCCCACCAGGGAGTCCACTATGAGCAGTCAGCTGGACACTGCCATCGCTGGCTCCCAAATGTTATTAATTAGGATGGAATGATACTTACACCATCCGGCATGTGTTTGGGACAAGCCCAATGGATAAGGGGAGACACGCTGGGAGCTTAGTTGCTTTCCTTTTGCAAAAATGTTTTTGGCTCATGACGTCAAATCCTTCAGGGGTGTGTGGGTGTGTGCGGACAGGTGCATACTGGAGATGGCAGGGGTGTAAGGTAAAGAAAGGGTGTGGGCCAGGTGCGGGGGCTCACGCCTGTAATCCCAGCACTCTGGGAGGCCGAGGCAGGCAGATCACGAGTTCAGGAGTTCAAGACCAGCCTGATCAACATGGTGAAACCCTGTCTCCACTAAAAATACAAAAATTAGCCTGGCATGGTGGCGCACGCCCTGTAATCCCAGCTACTCAGGAGGCTGAGGCAGGAGAATCGCTTGAACTCGAGAGGCAGAGCTTGCAGTGAGCCGAGATCACACCATTGTACTCCAGCCTGGGTGACAGAGTGAGACTCCATCTCAAAAAACAAAAAACGAAAAACAAAAATCAAAAAACAAAAACAAAAGGTGTGGACACCTGCAGGCTCTGTGGCCTCATGGGGGGGGTGTGGGTCCCACCTCTGTCCTCAGCTCCTGGGGACCAGGGCTCTAGGCTGAGGTCCGGCTGAGCTCCTTAGAGAAGAGGCTACCTTGGTCTTATCCACCCCCATTTCCCAGGCCCCAGAACAGGACCTGCTCCAGTCAGTGCTCAACATGGACATGCTGAATGAACGAATGAAGGAACAAATAAATGACTATTCCAATGAGCCGGCCTAGGGCTCTCTGGTAGCAGGAGCTCTGTCTCGTCGGTCTTTGCTTCTGAGAAACTGCCCGTTAGGGAGACCGGGCCTGGACACCATAACACCCGCCTTTGTTTGGTCATCGTGAAAAAGGCCACGGAAACACAGAGCTCCAAGTCCCCGGAGCTGAGACAGGGTGCCCATGACGGCACAGAGGCCGGCTCACCCGACTATTGGTGGCCTTGATGGGGAGGCATAGCGGCTCCCAGCCCAGCTCTGCTGACCCATCCACCACCCAGCAGACTGGCCCTTAGCAGGGTTTTTCTTGTTTTGATGCACTTTATTTATTTATTTATTTATTTATTTATTTATGAGACAGAGTCTCGCTCTGTCACCCAGGCTGGAGTGCAGTGGCGTGATCTCGGCTCACTGCAACCTCTGCCTCCCAGGTTCAAGCAATTCTCCTGCCTCAGCCTCCTGAGTAGCTGGGACTACAGGCGCATGCCACCACGCCTGGCTAATTTTTTTGTATTTTTTTAGTAGAGATGGGGTTTTGCCATGTTGGCCAGGCTGGTCTGGAACTCCTGACCTTAGGTGATCTGCCTGCTTCGGCCTCCCAAAGTGCTGGGATTATAAGCGTGAGCCACCGCGCCTGACCTTGTTTTGATGCACTTTTAAAATTACTTAAATACCTTCTCCAGGCATGTCCTAGGCAGGTCTGAAATGATAGGTGTGTCTTATGTTATACCCTGAAATAGATAAGTAACTATTAAGGATTGCTGTGGATAGCTGCGTGTCTTTTTAAAGTTATTTTGACCTAACACTCAGGGAACCTGTTTAGGGGCTGGCCTTCGAAGATGGCAGGACTCCTGCCTGTGGGACAAGGTGGTAGGAATGATTAAAAACAACACTGATCCCCAAATCCAGCTGGATGTGGGAAGGCAGTGCAAGGCTGCATGGCTGGGGAGGCCCCGCTTGTCAGGTTAATTAGGCTGGTGCTGCTAGCAGGCCAGGAAAGAGCCAAGGAAAAGTCCCCTCACCATCTCTAGGCTGGAAACAGCAAGATGGAATGTTTGCTCAGAGATAAAACTATCTCCACCACCATCAGCCTCAAACGCTCTCCTGGGCTGTGTGGGACAACACCCAGGGCCAAGGCCACAGCAAGACCCCAGGGAGCTCACACTCAGCTGGGGACAGGGAGGAGGGCTGGTCCCCCACGCCATGCCATGGCCCACCCCTGATTCACGGGACCACATCCCCAGTCTAAAGCAGGCTCACAGAATGGCAGGCCTGCCTCCCCCTGGTTCCAGCAGTCCAGACCCCAGGTGGGTGATGCCCCAGCCACCCTCCTAACCCTGGGTTCATCTGTATTTGCAGACTTGGTCCTAAGTTCCAAAGGTGAACTAAAGGGGCCTCAAGCTCCTCCCCAGAACCTGCACACATTTGGTACTTCTCCCTTGCCCACCTTGCTCAAGCAGCTGCCATAGCTCCTGCTGTCCACACTGAGGGTGACAGTCTAGGGCTGTCCCTGAGGCCTCCTTCCCAGGGGCTCACCGCCCAGTCTCCCCCAGAGCCTCCCGTGGGCCCCAGGTGCCCCCCATTCCCTGGGGCACCCCTGCCTCCTCAGGACCCTGTGTCAGGAGTGCTCTCTCCCTCCCCCACTCCACCCCCTAGGTTACCCCACCCTTCTCAGGCCAGCTCAGCACCCCCATCACCCCCAATCCCTCTGAGAGCCCCATCCACTACAGGTACAGAACCGGGGTACTTCCTGACTCCCCCACTGATAACAAGGCCAGCCCCAGGGCCTTCTCTGAGGGGCACCCAGGATCATCCAGCCCCACAAAGCGCCTCTCACAAGATCTATGTGGTGCCTGCAAGCCCCCCGGGGTCAAGGATGCAATGGCCCGGGATGCTGATGGAGTGCGGCCCTGAGCTCTGCCCCGTAGATACGAGAAGAAGAGCCGTCCTTGGTCTCCACTGAGACCACAAACAGACCAAAGGGACAAGGAGGCCCCTCCTACCCTGGTCACTCTCCTTCAGACTAAAGCAAGGCCGCCTCCTGGCTGCAGATGGCTTCATGGACAAAAGGGCCTCAGATCTGGGCACCGAGACGTGCACAGAGCAAACACAGACCCACATAATGGGGGTGGTGGCCTCTGTTCACATTTTACAGAGGAGGAAAGCCAGGCTCAACTAGGTCAGGTCACCCGCAGCTTAGGGGAGGGAAGACTGGCGTCCATGGCAGAGAGAGCCCCGCCCCGGGACAAGGTACAGGTGTCCTCGGGTGTGGGAGAGGACACTGGCAGGTGAGGCCAGGCCTGCCATGGAGGGCTGACCACTCTCATGCACAGACATGACCTGGGCATGGTGGTGGTTCTGGAAGTGGCCCTGTTACTGCCAGATGAGTGGGTGCAGGCCAAAGGCTGGAGGACCCTTGGCAAAGGGGACCCAGACATGAGATAAGGACACCAGGCTGCAAAAGTGGCCCTGGGAGAGAGAGGGTAACCAAGAGAGACTCCAGAGCCTCCAGCCCTGCCAGGGGACAGGGAGGTGTCTCAGCCCTGTGGGGTGAGGTGGGGAAGACAGGCCTGGGCCTCACAGAGCCGTCAGCACCACCAGCCGCCCTGCCTTGGTGGTCATCTAGTGGGCAGCCGGGAAGCTGGAGAGCTGGGTCTGGCCTGGAGGGAGGGTGTGGGTGTCAGATGGCCCCAAGGCGGGTGCAGGCACAAGAGCCACCAGGACCACAGCACCCTCCTTCCTCCAGACCCAGTGAAGGGCCTGGGACAAAGACGTTCAGGGTCAGGAAGCCAAACCCCATGGGTTCTGCCCCTCCCTGAGACACCTTCGCAGAAACAACAGAAAAGACATGTGAAGTGGGAAGAAACGCCTCGGAGCCTTGGCTGATGCCACTGCACTCCACATCGGACCCACTCGTTCGACTGTATGCTTTTCTAGCAAGGCCTGAAAGCAATGAGTTTCTGGGTCCCTGCCCCCCAAAACAAGATAGGCCACGGGTCTTTCCCCTGGCCACAAGTCAGCCCATCCCACACTGCACCCTCAGCTCTGTTCTACCATGAGTGTGAATCCATGTCCATCCTGGGGCGTGTTATAAGTTGGCTCTCAGGTGTCTTATTTGTGTGCTTTAAAATTATTTAAAAAACCAAAGTTCCTAACAACTCAATTTTTAAAAAATAGGCAAAGGGCTTGGACAGTCATTTCTGTGAAGAAGATACACAGATGGCCAAGAGGCACACGGAGAGGTGCCCAGTGTCACTAATCATCAGGGAAATGCAAATCAAGACCACAACGAGATGCCACCTCTCATCCATTAGGGTGGCTGCCACCCCAAACAGAGTGACAAGTGCTCCCAAGGATCCGGAGAAGTTGGGACCTTGTGTGCTGCTGGGGGATGTAGAATGCCACAGCTCCTTTAAAGCGTGAAATGACCAGCCGCTCGATTTTGCTGTGAACCTAAAACTGCTCTAACAAATAGTCTGTTTAAATAACATGCCAGAAAAAAAACAGAATTACTGTATGACCCAGCAATTCCACTTTGGAGTCTGTCCCCGGTCTCTTTAAAGGAGATCCATACACACCCATGTCCACAGCAGCAACATTCACAACAGCCAAAAAGGGGAACCAGCCCAGTGTCCCTCAGTGCACCGACGGAGACGGAAGATGTGGTCCCTCCCTACCACGGAATAGGATTTGGCCTTAAAAAGGAAGGGGATTCTCACACAGGCTGCAACATGGAGGAACCTTGAAGACATTACTCTCAGTGAAATGATCCAGTTACACAAGGACAAATACTATCTGCTTCCACTCACGTGAGGTCGCTACAGTCATCAGATTCACAGAGGTAGAAAGTAGATGATGGGCGCCAGGGGCTGGGGAAGGGGGAGTAGGGAGTGAGTGTTTAATGGGGACAGACTTTCATCAGTTTTGCAAGATGAAAAAAGCTCTGGAGCTGGATGGTGGCGATGGTCGCAAGGAACTGTGATCTTAAAAAGGGTTAAGATGGTAAAACATATTTCCATTTTATTTTATTTTGAGATAGAGTCTTGCTCTGTTGCCCAGGCAGGAGTGCAGTGGCACCATCTCAGCTCACTGCAACCTCTGCCTCCCAGGTTCAAGTGATTCTCCTGCCTCAGCCCCCTGAGTAGCTGGATTAGAGGCACCCACCACCACACCCGGCTAATCTTTTTGTATTATTAGTAGAGACAAGGTTTCACCATGTTGGCCAGGCTGGTCTCAAACTCCTGACCTCAGGTGATCCGCCCGCCTCAGCCTTCCAAAGTGCTGGGATTGCAGGCATGAGTCACCGCGCCTGGCCTTATATTTCACCATAATGTTTAAAAAGAACATGTTTGTCAGGAACTAGGAGAAGGGCAATGGGGATGGTTTTCCTTTTGAGGTGATGAAAAAGCTCTGGAACCGGAGACAGGTGTTGGCTGAACCGCCTTGTGAACATACTAAATGCCACCAAATTGCACGCTGTGAAATGGCTGAAATGGCTGAAATGGCTGAAATGGTGAATTTTACGTTATGTGTGTTCTCTGATACTGAAATGAGTGCCTCGAGGGGCCCTGGCCCGTGGCGGTTGCTCACCTGGGCTCCCGCGGGTCAGGTCTCCAAAAGGATTCTGTGGGCCTTCAGGGCCACCCAGCGGCCCCGAGTATCTGCCGCACTCCAGCTGTGGTCATCTGTAGCTGTCCTTGAGCCTTTAGTTCTTAATCTTCACTGACTATTGTTAGTTCAGCATTCAACGAAATAGCTAAGCACAAGCCATTTGTCAATTGCAAAATGGCATGCAGACCTTGAGCCCTCTCAGGATGAAGACAGAAAACAAATAGCAGGCAGTGCAAAGGGCCCTGGGTGGAAAAACACAGGCAAGCTGTAAAATTCCCCTAATCTTGTTTCATCGGAACGCTGACAAGACTTATGTTGAATGGTGCTCGGTGCCATCCTTCACGGGGGGCCCTGGATGCCAACGGGACACCCTAAGGCACAGTCACTGCCACTGACGGCTTCGCTATTGGTACTGAAATCTTGTCATTAGGCAGACAGACCCTGGGACCCTCAACCTCAACCCAGGGGAAATCAGTGCATGGTGCGGAAGGAAAATGGAAGCTCAAGGTAGCTCAAGGTCACACAGGAGGAGACACATGGCCCCGCAGGCCGACCCCATGCTGGTATCCGGTGTTGTGGGGTTACAGTGGCATAAAGAGGAGACCTGCCCGAAGCCGGAGGGCCAGCAAGGGTCTAGCAAAGCAGGTGCTTATCTGGGATTTTTAGTCTCCGAGTGAACAGAGCGGGGAAAGGTCGCACTTTGGCTCAAACGTGTTGCAACCGGCCGTGGAACCGGTGTTCTCCGAGAAGGCTGAAGGTCGACCTGGCCATCTTATCTATTGTTTTGCTTTTATCAGCCGGCGAATCTCCAACATAGCGAAGATTTTCTGGGGTTCAATGTGTTTTGAAGTTCCATGCTGCTGGAACCACATAATTTAGGACCCTAGAGAAGGTCCCTGTGTCAATCAATCACGTGGGAAAGATCACAGGGCAGCCTGAAATAACTGGTTCTGACCAGCTGCGCTCACATCCTGTCTCTCTGGATGAAATATATAGATTTTTTTGCAAAACATAAAGGAAGCCTCGCAGACCCTTATCGCGAGGACTTTAGTGTCTCTGATATTACTCTTCTATTATCTCTTTTGTCTATTTTGGTGTCTCTGATGTTACTGCTCTACAGTATCTTTAAAGGAAAATTAATTTTAAAGACGGCGGAAGATGAAGATTAAATACGAAGGATCAGAGCTGAGCTTTGTGGAAGGGGCCAGGGTCAAGGATGCAGAAACACAGCCGGCCTCCCTGGCGCCCCCATAGACTTAGGCCTGGGGACCTTCCACTGGAGCCAGGAATCCACCCACCCTTGAAAAGCCTGAGATCTGTACCCACACTTTTTAGGAGACAATGAGGCCTCATCAGGCCAAGATGGGGCCTGGAGACTCTGAAGAGGGGTGGACACAGGGGTTAGGCTGAGGGTGCTGTGGGGACCCGGGATTAGGGTCTCACCCCCTCCCATAGCGAGGAAGCCAGAGGGCTGGGCCTGTGCTGAGCCAGGCGCTTCCCTGTGGGGGCAGTGGTCCCCACAGCATAGAGCCCGGCTGGCGGGCTTTGGGGCCAGCTGTTCCAACTCCACACCGGCCCGGCCCTGATAAGCCACAGAGAGAGCCAGCCTCGGCTCCGGGGAGGGTCAGCTGGCCGGAGGGCAATGCAGGCACTCAGGCAGCTCAAAGCGCCCTTTGTCCCAGGGCCTGCCTGTGGCCAGCTGCTCCCAGCCGCCAGCCTGTGCTGAGAGCTTGTGGGCCCCCAGTGACGTGCTGGGCACAGCTGGGGCCCTCATCCACACTCACCCCCGCCCTCACCCCCACCCCCCGGGGAGTACCAGTCCCCACCCCGCCCAAGGTAGCCTGGCCTGGGGCAGGCGCCACAGTGCAGCCGGCCAGGCCCAGGTGAGATGCACCATCCACTGGGCTGAGGGTGGCACAGTCGGGGTCCGGCTGCCCTGTCCTGGCCTTACTGCTGGGGACATGACCCTGCCCTGCCACAGCCCCTCCCCTGCCAAGTGTCCCCTTAGTGTGGGCACCGCTGGGGTGCCACCCTGAGGCAGCCTTAGTCGGGCTGCATCCTTCTGCTCGGCTGCTTCCCCAGGCCCCATGGAACGTGCAGCCCGTGACCTTGAGTGGGGCCCTCTGTGTCCCTCCTGAGGCCCTGGCCACCCAAGGCCCTGCCCGCCCAAGGTAGCCTGGAACAGGCCCACCTCCTCGGAGGGGAGGGCTTCTGGGCCCCTGCACAGCTAGCTCCAGGCAGCCAGGGGTGGCACTGGGAGTATGGTGGGGGGACCCGCTACCTTGGCCAGGCCCCCTGAGAGCCCCTTGTCCCACACATTAGCAAGAGAAAGGATCGCTAAGCAGGAGGAGGATGGGCACAGGGCAGGAGCAGGCTGGTGTGAGGACACTGGTGGCATCCCAGGCGGGGGACCCAGACGAGCAGCTCAGCCTCTCTGTGCTCAGCATCCACACCTGTAAAATGGGGCACCAGCAGTGCCCACCTCCTAGGACTGTGGGGAGGGCGAAATGACAACAGTGGCCTGGGCCTGTGGAAAGGGCATGGGAATAGTGTAGCAGGAAGGTGGTGTCCCATGTGCTCAAGAGGGAAGCGACCTTGTCCTCGGGGGGCAGGGTCCTGAGTACAGGTGGGGTACAGACTCTCATGCTGCACACAGCACAGAAGAGCCCCGCTGACCTGACGCCCCGTCCCGTGCTGGCCCAGCTGCCTGGGGCCCTCCACGTCACCTGGCCTTCCTGGCTGTGGAAGTTCCTATCTGTCCACAGCTCCACCCTGGGAGTTCCTTTTTTTTCTTTTTTTCTTTTTTTTTTTTTTTGAGACGGAGTCTCGCTGTCGCCCAGGCTGGAGTGCAGTGGCGCAATCTCGGCTCACTGCAGGCTCCACCCCCTGGGGTTCACACCATTCTACTGCCTCAGCCTCCCGAGTAGCTGGGACTACAGGCGCCCGCCACCTCGCCCGGCTAATTTTTTGTATTTTTAGTAGAGACGGGGTTTCACCGTGTTAGCCAGGATGGTCTCGATCTCCTGACCTCGTGATCCGCCCGCCTCGGCCTCCCAAAGTGCTGGGATTACAGGCCTGGGAGTTCCTATCTGTCCTGCAGGGCACCGCGCAGCCTCACTCTCCCTGCAGTGAAGCCCTCCCCCATCCACTGCTGCCTCTGCTGGGATCCCTCCTTTCCTCCACGTCTGTCCTCATCCCACCCAGAGCGCCCTAAAGTCAGGGGCCCGCCTTCTCCACCTGCAAGCTCAGTGCTGAGACCAGCTCACTACCCACCTTGTGCCCAAAATCCTGCTGAGAAACTTCAGGCAGGGGACAGGTGTGTCTCCCTCCCAGGCACCTGCCTTGTGGGTGCTGTACTTGGGGTGTGGAAGGGGAGGCTGAGGGGCCCGTAAAGACCTGAAGACCCCCACTCTGGACATCATCCCCCATGTTTGGGATGTTACTGTCTCCCCCAGGATGGACGTCACCCCCCCCCGCCCCCCCAGAAGGAACATCACCTTCCCCCGTCCCCCAAGGATGAACATCACCCGCCCCCAGGATGGACGTCACCCCCCGTCCCCCCAGGATGGACATCCCCCACCGTCCCCCCAGGATGGACGTCACCCCCCAGTCCCAGGATGGACGCCACCCCCCAGTACCCCCAAGATGGATGTCACCCCCCCCATTCCCCCAGGATGGACGTCACCCCCCTGTTCCCTCAGGATGGACGTCACCGCCCCCACTCCCCCAGGATGGACGTCACCGCCCCCACTCCCCCAGGATGGACGTCACCCCCCCATCCCCCAAGGATGGACGTCACGCCTCCGTCCCCCCAGGATGGATGTCACCCCTCCCCAGGATGGACATCACCCCCCTCATTCCCCTGGGCTGGACATCTCCCCCCCATGTCTGAGATGCTAACCCCCTCCTGACCGGATGTCACGGCCCCCCATGGCTGAGATGCTGCTATCTGTCCCCAGGCTGGCGGTACCCCCTCCCCCGTGTTTGGGACGCTGCCTCTCCCCACAGGGCACCTCTGGAGCTCCTCCTGGTCTGGCTGCCCCTCTCTGAAGTCACTGGAACACTCTGGGGGTCCTGGCCCTGCAGGAAGACACACCCAGGAAACCAGCGGAAGCCACACACCAGGCCCCACCCTGACTTCCCATGGGACCCCAGAGACAGAGAGGGAGGAAGGAGCCCCTGCCCAGGAAGCAGGCAGCAGAGCCCTAGCCACAGGCCTTCCCACAGCTGGCGGCCATCTCTGACCTTCAGAGCTGCAATCGGCCAGCTGCTCTGTGTGCTTGTCTCCCCGTTAATGATTTCGGGGTGACTCTGGGAGGCACGAGGCCGCTTTCCCTCCAGAACTAGCCCCACCTGCCAGCTGCCCGGACGTGTCTTCTTCCTGGTGAGCGAGAGAGGCAAGGGACTTGCTGGGTCGTCATGGGGATGGCCGTTCCCATCCACCGGGCAGCCGGGCCCTGCAAGTGGGTGACAGCTGTCGTCTGGTCCCCACATCCCGGACACCATCCTGACAGGCGGCATGAGGCCCAGTGTCCCCTGTGGGCTGTCTGGGGAGACTCTCAGGAGGCTAAAACCACAGGGGCTGGCCCTCCCCCTGCCCCGGGCTCTACGTCTAAGTAGCCACAAGGGCACATCCCGGGGTGTCAACAAGATCCAGGGCTTTCCTGATCCTCCCTGTGCCTGCGTCTACCCCTGGCCTAAGGGGAGCCATGTTCACACATTTCTCTACGACCCTCCAGGCCCCAGGACTGATTCCATAAGGCCTTGGGTGTCGAATGCATCCTCTCCACGGGCTTCCCGGGAAGCACCTCTGGGAAGACTGCCTGGTAGGCTTTCAGAGAGCAACGAAAGTGCAATATTTTGCTCAAGGGACACTCCTTGAGCAAAACCTCCCTGCAGGCCAAGGCTCAAGTGACCCCTCTTGCTGAGCCGGTGCCTCCAGCCCCACCTTGCCCCTTGTCCGTAGCTCTGGGAGTAACTGCAAACTCTTGACATTTGTCACTCAGGTACCTCACCTGGGTCTGAGCAGGAGGTGCTCAAGGCAGCTGGCCCCATGTGTGGGTGTAGTGGGGGAGGCTTCTCAGGGTGGAGGGGTTAGCTAAGAAAGGAACTTGGACCACACCCTGGGCCTAGCACATTCTTGGGCCCATTATCATTGGGGCCAAATCTTTCCCAGGACTGCCGGCTTCCGGGCCTTGGCCTCCCCATGAAGGCTGCCCACCCATGGAGGGGAGGAGAGTGGGGCCTCTCAGTAATTTTAATTTCACATGTACTGCCGGTGCCTTACGGGGGCCGACTAGAGTTACACACGTTTCAGGCGGTTTAATGAGGTGCCTCCAGCCCTGGGACCCAGCTCGCTGCGCAAGCCGGCGGGGTGGGGGTTCCCGAAGCGCGGCCCACTTCCTCCCCCACCTGGGTGTTCTCAAGGTCAGGAGGCGGACACAGGGCGCAGCAGCCACCTGACACCTGCCTGGGGTGGGAGAGGCAGATGGCGCTAGGCAGAGTGCCCACAGGCTGGCCCATCTAGTCTCTGCTCCGAACTGGGCTTATCAGCAGATTCTGATGAAGCAAAAACTATGTGGACCCCCCCGCCTGGAGACCCCCAGCACACTGAATCAACCCATCACCTGGCAAGGGGTGAGAACCCAGGACGCACTGAATAAACACGTATGCTTACACAGTGTGCAAGGCACATACTTCATTACTTTCAGGCAATAGATGAATTTCAATCCACGTGGGGGACAACATTTGCAAACACAGTGAAGCCACCAGCAAGCGATGTGGGCACTGGCATGGAATTTACAAAATAAAAGCATCTACAGTTGGTGCTGGGGGGCAGCTGGAGTGATGTAGGGGCTGGGGCAGGCAGCGGGGCCTACGTCTCATAACGCCCTACAGGGCCCGCACTTCCCACATCAATCTCTTCTTTCTGGCTATTTAGGAGAGTGTTGTTTAATTCCCAAATAGGTAAGGGATTTTTCTTCCCCAATCTTTTAATCATTTATTTCTCATGATATTGGGTTTTGATCAGAGAACATGGCCAGTTAAATCTCAATTTTTTGAGGTAGGTTAGATTTGTTTGTAGCCACATGAATGATTGGTTTTGTAAGTGTTCCGCAGACATAAGGGAACAAAACAACTCCATTACTAGGGTTCGAAGTGATAGTGCTGGTTTTAAAGCACAGTCCTATGAAGTTCTTTGCCAGTCCTCCCCAACTGAACCTGGGCTCTGTGACACCTGCATCAGGAGAATACAGCCAGGTGGCTCTCAGTCCCTGGCACTGCCTGTCTCCTGGACTGTTCATTTCTGAGATGTGAGGAATCCATGCAGCCTTGGAGAAGCCCTCATGAACAGGAGCCTTACCAGCCATGTAGATGCAATGCTGTGGAGGCTCCAGCCCCAGCTGATACTATGCAGAGGGGAGATGAGCCGTCCCACTGAGCCCTGCCAGACTGTAGGCTAGCGAGCTCAGGCGTGATGCGTATTTTGAAGGTGCTAGATTTGTGGATGGTTTGTTACATGGCTATAGATAACAAGAACAGGAGTTATTTCAAATTACTGTTAGAATCTGAAATTGCTCATGATTACAACATTTACCTGTCCATGTCCTCACTTATTTTGTGCCCACTAGAACTGTCCTATTCCAAAAGAGGTACATTAAAATCTCCTCCCGTTATCATATTTAACCTTCCTGTCCTTGCAGATTTTCAATAGTTTTTGCTTTATGTATTTTATGTTGTATGATGCCTTAAAGATTACAGTCAGGTCTTCTAATAGTGCCTGATCTCATTCACACTTGTCTTGTTTGGGCTTCAGTGTTGATATTCATCCTGATCTCCCTGTTTTTTCTCTCCTTTTCTTCTTTTAGCTTGCAGTTTCTTGGCCTCTCTTTGGCCATTCCTTTATTTTTCAACCACCCATTATTGCTTTGCCTTACTTAATGCTGCTGAGCAATGTATTTGTTAAAAGATAAAAGCCCAGAGCTACGGCACGGCCTTCTCTGTCTTTCAAAGAGGAATTCAGGCGATTTACATTTGGTGTGAAGTTGGAGGCATTTGATTTGACTCTTTCTGTCCTTATATTTGCTATTTGACTCTGTTGACTTCTCCCTTTTGCTTTTGGTTGTTTAGTTGAGCCACATGTTATCCATGTTCTGATCCTCATGAAGTTGAGGATGTCACTGAACTCTCATTTCACTGGTTCCTCAAACTCACAGCCAGGTCTGCTACTCTCTAAAGACAGTGTCCACTGTAGTGGGCTCCCTAAGGCTTTCTCCTCAGGAAGATAAGAATTTGCGTGTGACTGCATTTCACCCCTCTCCCTTCACCCCATCAACGGCTCTGTGGGTATAGAAAGCAACCTCCAACATTGTCTTCATAGTTTAGAACAGGGCTTGACAAGCTTTTTCTCTAAAGCCAGATAGTAAATATTTTAGGCTTTGCAGGCCACGCGATTTCTGTTGCAACAACTCCAGCAGACAATTTTGTGCTGTTATAGCACAAAAACAGCCAGAGATGAGATGTTCACAAGCACACGTGGCCGTGTGCTAATCAAATCTTATTTATACAGATCAGCAGCCAGGTTTGTAGGCTATGGTTTACGGACCCTTGGATTAAAGAATCCTCTGACAGGTAGGTATTCCTACCGGCTAAACTGTGTCCCCCGCCCCGCAAATTCATATGTTGAGGTCCTAGACCCTCCAGCACACCTCAGAGTGTGACCTTGTTTGGAAATAGGGTTGCTGCAGATGCTATTAGGTAAGATGAGGTGGTTAGGGTGGGCCCCTATTCCCATACAACTGGTGTTCTTATCAAACGGGAAACCTGGACATGGACTTGCCGGCCGGGGGGCGCTGTATGGAGGCGGAGGCAGGGTCTGGTGCGATGCGTCGACCGGGAACCCTTCCACAGTAGCTGGGGGAGGCCTGGAACACTCCCTCACAGCCTCAGAACGAACCCACCTCGCTGATACCTGGAGCTCAGACTCCTGGACAGGCAGGGGGCTGCAGCTGGCACCCAGGGGCTCCAGGTCATCAGCAAGGCCAGGCCAGAGGTCTGTTCTAGGGTCTCTAGAGAGGTCCAGGCCATAGGCCTCAGGGCCTGAAGCTTCTCTCTCCCCAGGCGGGGTCCCTGTGGGCCTACAAGAAAGTGGGCCCTGTCTCTCCAAGAGGTCTATCAGCCTACCCCTGCCCCATTCCACCAGAAAACCCAGGCTCTGAAGGCAGAACTCAATGTGCCAGTGGAGGCACTCCAGGCCGATGACCAGAAGAAAAGGCCCAGGGGCAGGAAAATGTGGGCATATGGGAGGCACTCAGGGCTCTGAACAGTCAAAAAGGCAGGTGGGGCTGCCCGCAAATCAGGCCCTGAATCCTCTGCTGAGCCCCACAGTTTGGGAGCTGCCTCCCAGGAATCATACCCAGGGCCCCGCACACACAGGAGTGGCCCAAGCCGGCTGCCCTGCAATTTGTGGTGGGGGAGCCCATGGCCCGGAGACGCCCACGCCTGGCTGCAGACACCATTAGCCGCCTGGCAGGCAGCTTTACACGTATTTAAAGCAAATCCCCCATCTTCCCCAGGCAGGGCTGTTTCCGTCTCCAGGCCAGTTAAACGAGGATTTAGTTTCAGCCTGGGAACCCCACTGCTGATGGCTGTTAACCCCAAAGACGGTGCACCCCTCTGATCACTGTCTTAGCTAGAACTGGGATAGGGGGAAAAGGGGGTGGAGCGGGGGACATTATTTTTATCTGCCAGGAGCCGAAGCTTCTAAAAATGTCATATTTAAGAATTTCACCAGCACTAGAAGTTTGGCAAACCAAAGAGACCAGGGGCTGAGCACCCTTCTTTTGACTTGGGGAGAGTGCTGAGAAGGCCGCAGGGTTGAACCCTGTTTACTTTAGCAGAGATTGAGGAGCTGCAACCCACACCGGCCCTTCAGGGGCCCGCGCAGTGTTGGGACAGGAAGGCCTGCGGTTATTAAAGGCTGCCCTGTGGACGTGTGTGTGTGCACGTGTGTCAGCGCGTGTGTGCACACGGGCCTGTCTAGTCTGTTTTCTGACTGCTGAGTACCTCACTCTGATTCTGCAAATCTAGAGATTTTAATAACAGGCGGTGAATTTAAACAGTTGTTTTCCCCCCCTTTCAGGAATGTTTTAAGGGATTGAGAGGAAATTGTGCACGGATTTTGCTGTTTTAAGAGCTAATATGTGAACAACTTCAGAAGGATGTATGTTGTTTTAGGGCTGAAGTTTACACAGTAAACGGGAGAGTCAAAAGCAGACTTGTCGTGAAATTGTAGGGCCTGTCTTCTTAAATTTCATTCCTCTGAGAAGGGACTGCCTCCCTGGGGAGCAAAGCTGGAAGGAAACAGAGAAAGTCTGATCTTTGTCCCCCGTGCCCCTTACGGTGTCCTGTTGCAGAATCCCTGGGGAGGCAGTGCCCAGTGGGATGGCCAGCAGCAGAGACCACCCAGCCCAGGCCCCCTCTCAGGGCACTGAGGAGGGTCCCCCTGCAGATGGCTGCATTCAGAGGTCTGCAAACCCCACAGCCCCTAAGCTGCTCAGGAATGACATGTCAGCACAACATGGTCTTGTTTCCAAATTTGGGCTGGGGCTTCTGCTCCTTGGGGACAAATACTTTCAAAGACATGAACAATCAAAACCTCATCAAGAAGAAATAGACAACCTGCATAGCCCTGTATCTGCTGACTTTCCAATGGCAAACTTCTCCACAAAGAAAACTCCAGGCCCAGATACCTCCACATGTTCTAGCTATCAAATGTTTAAGGGAGAAATAATTGCAATTCTACACAAACTCTTCCTAAAAATTGAAGAGCAGGAAATATTTCCCAACTCATTCTCTGATGCCAGCGGCATCTGATGCCAAAACCAGACACAACAGCCAACACATGGCAGGTGACGCCCTCGTGAGCGTGGGCGTGGAAGTTCTACACACAACCGAAGTCAGTCACATCCAAAAAGGTGTTTTAAAACGCATCATGACAGCTGGGCATGGTGGCTCACGCTTGTAATCCCAGCACTTTGGAAGGTCAAGGCGGGCAGATCACCTGAGGTCAGGAGTTCAAGACCACCCTGGCCAACATGGTGAAACCCTATCTCTACCTAAAAATACAAAAATTAGCTGGGTGTGGTGGCGGGCGCCTGTAATCCCAGCTACTCGGGAGGCTGAGGCAGGAGAATCACTTGAGCCTGGGAGGCAGAGGCTGCAGTGAGCCGAGATCACGCCATTGCGCTCCAGCTTGGGCAAAAAGACCAAGACTCCATCTCAAAAAAATAAAAAATTTAAAAAAGTACAAATACATATAAAATAAATAAATAAATAAATAAAATAAAATAAAATAAAAATTCATCATGACCAAGTGGGCTTTGTGTAAGGGAAGCAAGTTTGCTTTGCTATTTGAAAGTCAATCAGTGCGATTCCCCACACTAGCAAATTAAGAAAGAATTTGATTGAGATTGTTGCAAATGATATGATTATCTCAATAGAGGCAGAAGGAGCACTTGTCAAAAAATCCAACAGCCATTCTTGACGCACTCTCTATTCCCAGCAAACCAGGAAGAGGAGGAACTTCTTGGCCTGATAAGTGGCTTCTACTAAAACCCTACAGCTCCCACCACACCTAATGGTGAAAGATTACCTCACTTCACCTTAGGAGTAAGATAAGGATAGCAGCCCTCTCCCCACTGGCAGACACTGTCAGGTGCATTCAAGTAAAAACAAGAAATAAATAGTATATGGACTGAAAAGGCAAAAATAAGACTGACTTAATTGTGGACAACACAATCATCTCCATAGAAAATCCTAAAGAATCTACAAAAAAACAAAAAAAAAAAAAACAAAAAAAACCCCAAAAACAGATGAACAAGAAACCTTCTCAAACTAATAAGTAACATGAGCAAAGTCACAGGACGCAAGGTTAATATACGAACAAATCAATTGTATTTCTATATCCTAGCAACAAATAATCCAAAAGTGAAACTGAGAAAACAATATCATTTCAGTAGCTTCAAAAACATAAAATACTTAGGAACAAATCTAGCAAGTTTCACACCACTAAAAATTACACAATCCTGATGAGTGGTGTTGAAAAATATCTAAGACACCGGGGAGCAAGACCGTGTTCGTGGATCAGAAAACTCGGTATTACTAAGACGTGCATGAGGCACTGGGGAGCGAGACAGTGTTCGTGGATCGGAAAACTCGGTATTACTAAGACGTGCATGAGGCACTGGGGAGCGAGACCGTGTTCGTGGATCGGAAAACTCGGTATTACTAAGACGTGCATGAGGCACTGGGGAGAGAGACCGTGTTCGTGGATCAGAAAACTCGGTATTACTAAGACGTGTATGAGATCCAAATTTATCTACATATCCAATGCAATGCCAATCAAAATTCTAGCCAATTTTTTTTTTGGTAGAATTGACGAGCTGATTCTAAGATATTCATGAGAATGTGAAGGAGCTGGCAGAACAGCTCACTCTTGAAAATGAACAAAATTGGAGGATTAACAGGACCTGATTTCAAGGCTTAGCGTAAAAGTCACAGTAATCAAGACAGTGCTTTCCTGGCAGAACAGATGACAAAGTCCAGAAATCGAACCCACACACACGGCCAACTGATTTTCATCAAAGGTGCCAAAGTAATTCAATGGGAAAAAAGTCTCTGGGACAACTGGATAACCACATGCAGAAAGATTTAACCTCCATCCATACCTGTCACCATATATAAAATTAAACTCGAAATGAATCACAGATCTAAACAAGAAATGTGAAACTATAAAATTTCTACAGAAAACAGGAGAAAAAACTTTGTAATCTTGGATTAGGCGAATATTTCTTAGACAGAACACAAAGAACATGAACCCTAAAGAAAAAAAAAAAGAAGAACCCTGATGAATTGAACTTCATCAAAATTAAAAACTGCTGCTCTTTTGAAAGATCCTGTTAAGAAAATGCAAAGACAAAGCCATGACTGGGAGAAAATATTTGTAAAACAGATCTGGTGAAGGACTCATATCCAGAACATAGACACAACTCTTACAACTCACATGATTATTCTAAGAAGACAACCTAATTGTTAAAACCAGCAACAAACTGGACAGATCCTCCATCAAAGGAGATATATGAATGGCAAATATGCCCAACACCATTCGTCACTAGGGAAATGCAAATGAAGACCATGACGGAATATGGCTCCAGCCTTTAGGATGGGCAAAGCTTAAAAAGCAGACAATACTAAGTGCTGGTGAGAATCCATAGGAGCCAGAATGCTCGTACATTGATGGTAAGAGTGGAAAACGGGCCTACCATTTTGCAAAATGCTTTGGCAGTTTCTTCGAAAGGAAAATATGCATCTAACACATGATCCCGCAATCCCACTCCCAGGGATTTACCCCAGAGAAATGAAGACATATGATTACTCAAAAAACTGCACGCAATATTCATGGCAGCTTTAATCATAACAGCTGAAAACTGGAGACAGCTCAAATGTCCATCAGCCTGTGAATGGATAAACAAACTGTGGTACATTTTATCCTTTCCAAATAAAAGGAGACAAACTGCTGAATGCAGAGACCATGACACGGATGGGCCTCAAATGAATTATGCTAAGTGACAGAAGCCAGGCGCAGAGGCTACACGCCGCGAGATTCCATTCACATGACGTTCTGGAAAAGGCAAAACCATGGGGACAGGAAACACGTCCACGGTTCCCAGGTGCGGGGAGGGGCTAGCCGCCAGTGGGTACCAGGGAGCTTTCGGGTGATGGGAACACCTTGGATCTTGACTTTGGGGGTGGTTACAGGACCATAAATGTTTGCCAGGACTCATCGAACTGGACATCTACAGAGGGGGAGAGTTTTCCTGTATGTAACTTAAACCTCGACAAACCTAAATTTAAAAGAAGAAATTAGAAAATAAGAAAACCTAAGAAATGCATGAGTCAGTCAACAATACTTTTTAGTTAATCTATTTAGAGGGAGAGGCAGCTATGACCCCACCAAGCCCACTGAGCTCAGCACAGCCTCCCCTGCCTCCTGCTACCACCAGAGTCTGGCCTGGGAGCAGCTGTACCCCATGGATGGAACACGGGGACCCTGTCTCAGTCTGTGCCCCCCCCTCACTTGGCAGCCTCCCCAGGCACCCCTCGCCTGCCATCTGGGCCCCCGGGGAGCCAGGTGCTAGGTGAAGCCTGGCTCCTGTCCATGCCTTGTACTCGGGACTCCAGCCCTATTTGCGCTCTGGTCCTGGGCTGAGCCTGGTGCTGCCCTGCCCTTCCTGTGAGGCTCCTTCCAGAAGCCCCTGACCCTACATCAGCCGGGACACCATCTCTGTTGGCCCTCAACTCGCCACCCCAGCACCCTTCATTCACCTGCTCAGGGAGGCGCCCCCTCTTCCGGTCACTCAGCTCACGTGTTGGCATTTGTTCCCCTACCCTGCCTGGCACTCTGGCCTAGGCGAGGATGCATGTCAGGCATCAGCTCCCAGGGCGGGCAGTGCCCTTGGCTGCTTTCCAGCTCCGGGGCCCGCGCATGGAGCTGCCTAGGGAGGAACATGGGTGTCTGGGCCACTGCGACGCTCCCAGAACGTGGGCTTCTCCCACCTTCTACCTATGCCTTTTCATTCAACCCCCAGAGGGACCCTAGCAGGGGGTGTGAGGGGTGACGGCAAGGATGCAGATGCTGCAGTGTGTCGGAAATCCAGGCGCCGCGCCACGGCTCTGCAACTGCAAAGACCCTCTCACCCCGTGATCAGAAAAGTTCAAACTCCAGGCACACGGCCCAGTCCCGGCAACGGCAAAGAGAGGCGGGGGAGGGACGTGCACTGCCTGCGGGATGTCCATCCAGGCCGGGGCTCGGCAGCTCTGGTTCTCTACAGACAACTCTGAGCATCTCTCATCTGAGCTCCGCAAAGACATACAGATACATCCACACCCAGACCTGCACATTGGGGTCCAGTTCTGGGGTCCGTCCCTCTCGAGGCCCAAACAGTCCCCTGCACCCTGGCCTCCCCGTCTCTGGGTCTACTGGAGGTGGAGCTGGCTCCCTTCCTGCTCCTCTACGCGGCTCGCGCTGGGTGGCGGGGGCGGTGGGCAAGGAGCCGGAACCCCCAGATTGAGTGGTGCAGAAGGAAAAGCCAGGGAGGGGTGTCCTGCCCAGGGGTCTCTCCGCCACCCAGGGCCAGTCATGGGGAAGGAGGCGCATAGGGGCCTGGGGTACTCATGACTGGGGGCCACGTGCTGCTGCTCACGTCCACTGCCCCCCAGGCACCCCCACACCAGGCCTGGGGAGCCCAGGGCCACCCATGCAGAACACAAAACGCCTCTTGTTCCCACCCCAGGTGCTTGGGAGGAGGAGGCCCCCCCACGCCCCTACCCCGGGCCTCGCAGAGCAGTCACTGGAAGTGTCCCAGCTGTGCTATGAGCAGGTCACGAGGCTCCACAACAGGACCTGCCCACGCCGGGACACCCGGTGACACTCCACTCCCTCTGCTTTTGCAGCCCCCGGGGGACCCTCCTCGAGGGCCCCATGTCTTCTGGGTTCCATCGCTTTGAGGTAGAAAATCTGAGGCCTCAAACTGCCCCCAAAGCAGGCAAAGGTCAGATGTGTGGAGAGAGGATGGCGAGGATGGCAAGGACGGCCAAGGAGGGTCGCCCCAGGTGCCTGGACCCAGGTTTGTCCCGCACCCCGCACCCTGGCCCACATGTCTTCCTTCCCCATAGCCCCACCCCAGCATCCTGGCACCAGTGGGCTCCTGGTGGCACTGGCTGGATGCTGTAGCCTGCTGATGGCCACTAGCACGTGCTGGGGACCTAAAGCCACATGGTTGAGACATCATCATTTGCTCCACAACCCCCTAGCCTGGCTTCTCAGATCTCAGCCTGCCCCCTCTCCACCCAGCCACTCTCCCTTGGGTGGAAGCTGGATGTACTCTAGAACCCACCCTGGAGACAGCCCCTGGGATGAAGAAACCAGGTCGTGTCCGGGCCCCAGCACCTGTCACCAAACATCCTCCAAAGTGAGGATTTTTCAGTCACAGGGGCTCAGGAGGGCTGGGGCAGTGGTAGTCGGGGGACAGTAGGGCCCCTTTATTCCCGCCAGACAGGTCCTCACTTTACCCCAAAGTCGACAATGGCGAACTTCTCCTCAGACACCCACCCACCTGGGCCAAGTCAGGCTGTGTGTCTGTGTGTGTACGTGCGTGGGCATTTGTGCACAGCCTAAGCACCCCCAGGCCACCGCCAGAGCCCAACACCGTGTGTGCACACGCATAAACACACAAACCTGGTGCTATCTGAGATGCAAGAAGAAGATGTCACCTTGAAGTGGGTCACTGTATCCAACAGCCCCACACGCACCTATGAAACCGCCTTAAGAAACTTTTCACTAAGGGCTTGGCGGGCTCCTGAGATGTCTTAGCAGAATGTAGCGGTTTGCAGACACGTAAACGTGTCCCCCCACCCCCAGAGCTTAGGACACTCCACCTACACCTACAAGGCTGAGAAAGGGAATATAAACTGCTATGGAAAAATTATAGTTATACCGGAATTTTTCTTTGTTCGCTATGAAATCTTTCAAATAAGTCAGAATACAGCAACTAACCTGACCGATTATACGCATGGATATTCCCATCCCATGTTCTGCTGTATTTTCTTCTGCCACGCTTGATTCAGACTTTGAGAAACAAAATCCAAGGGAAGCAGCAAAAGACGTTCCCAGTCTACCTCCCTGGACGAAGCCACCATCTTTCCACCTACGTTTCTGTGCTCACACGACTCGTGCAATCAGGACAAACACGCATGACCCTGGGACCTCGGGTCTGAGCTGCCACTGCTTAGAGACCTGCCTGCCGCCACCTTATCCTGGGCCTGGCCTCTACCAGTCAGAGGGGCGGCGTTAAGTCTGAGTCACACCATGCCAGGCCCCAGGCTCCTGTCATGCAGAGCGAAACCCTAACTCCCCAGAGTCGCCCCAAGCCCTCACACGCCAGGTCCTGCCACCTCCCTGACCTCATCCCCCACCGCTCCCTGCTCCCCTGTCTCTGAATGCTACAGGCTCCTCACAGCTCCCTCCACCCGCGCCAGGCACACGCCCCATCCGGGTCTTGGCACGTGCCATGCTCTCTGCCAGGAATGCTTGACCCTGAAACCCCAACATCTGGACCTTCACCTCCATACAGAGACTCGCAGCCCGGCCGCTCCACTGAGAACTGCCGCCCCTCCCCTTCCATGCCACTCACCATTTCTTACCCGCGAAGTAGTCAGTAGTCCACCCAAGGTTGTGGGGGTCTGAACTTATAAAAGATGGAAATGGAGTCAGCTTATTGTTTGTGGTATAGGCACTAAGTAGAAGTTAAGGCAGATTAATAAAAACGGTAAGCCAGACAGTAAAGGGTTAAATGAGAAACCAGGGACCAAGGAAACTTTGAAAGGCATATGTATAAAGGTAACTATTAGGACAAAAATACAGGCTGGGCACGGTGGCTCATGCCTGTGATCCCAGCACTTTGGGAGGCTGAGGCGGGCAGATGACTTGAGGTCAGGAGTTCAAGACCAGCCTGGCCAAAATGGTGAAACGCCGTCTCTACTAATAATACAAAAAAAATTAGCCAGGTGTGGTGGCGCCCACCTATAATCCCAGCTACTTGGGAGGCTGAGGCACGAAAATCACTTAAACCCTGGGAGATGGGGGTTTCAGTGAGCTGAGATCATGCCACTGCACTCTAGCCTGGGCAACAGAGGGAAACTGTTTCGCAAAAATAAATAAATAAATAATACAACCTCCTAATTACCCAAATGTTTTTAAAAGAAAATAATACACATATTGTAAAGAAAACTACAACAGCAACCGTGACAAAATACACGTAATTATAAAAGACAATGACAGAGTTGAGACCAAGAATGTCAGTCCTATGAATAAATGCAAATTAGCTGTACTTTTCAGGAGAAAAATAGTTTGACTCACAAAATAAGACTCAACTATATGCTTCATATGAAAAACAAGTTTTGAGTCTAAAGACACAAATGGTTTGAAAGTAAATGAGTAAAATATATACCATGCTAACAATGATAAAAAGAAAAAGCCAGAATAGCCATATTAATCTCAGACAAAGCAGATTTCAGAGCAAAGAAAGTGGCCAGGGATAAAGAGGCAGTTTCATAATGACAAATGTGTTGACTTCTCAAGAGGACATAACAATCCTAAATGCTAATGCACCCAAGAACGAAGCTTCAAAACACATTGAACACATGGTATACTTGTATTGAAATATCATATGTACTCCATAAATATGTACAACTATTGTGTATCCACAAAAATGAAAAATAAAGAATGTAAATAATTTTTTAAATGACAAAAGCAAAAAATAAAATACATTAAACAAAAAACTAATAAAGAATAAAGAACTGAAGAATAAAGAGAGAAATCCACAAATACAGTTGGAGATTCTAACATCCTTCTCCCAAGAATGAATTAATAGAACAAGTAGATACAAAATCAGTAAGGATGTATCATTACTGATGTAGACTTGGACAATGCCATCATCAACCACATTAGTCTCATTGACATTTATAGAACAGTCCTCCCAACAACAGCAGTACACACTCTTTCCAAGCACACAATGGAGTATTTACCAAGATAAATCATATTCTGGGCCCTAAATCAAGTCTTAATATATTTTAAGAGACCAAATTATATTAAGTGTTTCTATAGCCATAAATAAATTAGACATCAGTAACAGAAAGGTATCTTGAAAATCCCTAAATGTTTTGAATACACTTTTAAATAATGCATACACCAGAGAAGAAGTTAAAAAGGAAATTAGAAAATATTTTAAATGGGATAAAAAAACACAAAATTTGTGGATGTTTATACCACCAAGTGCCTGTATTAGAAAGGAAAAAAAAATTTCTATTCAATGACCTCAGCTTCCACCTTAAGAAACGAGAAAAAAAAGAACAAATTAAAACTAAGTAGGCAGAATAAAATAATTAAAATTAATCAAATAACCAAAAAGAAAAAAAATAATGAAACCAAAAGCTGATTCTTTGAGATCCATAAATTTGCTAAAACTTTAGCTGACTGATTACACTAACAAAGAAAGAGGCACAAATTACTAGTATCAGGAATGAGAGAAGAGACATTGCTACAAATTCTATAGCTGTTTAAAGGATAGTAACAGGATATTCTGAAAAACTTTATGCCAATACAATTAACACCCAGATGAAATGAACATATTCTTTCAAATACACAAAATACCAAAGCCCACTCAAGAAGCAATCACCTGAATACCACTATTATCAATCACCTGAATAGAATTATCAATCACCTAAATAGAATTATCAATCACCTGAATATAATTACCAATCACCTGAATATAATTATCACCTATCAATCACCTCAATGTAATTATCAATCACCTGACTATAACTATTATCAATCACCTGAATATAATTATCAATCACCTGAATATAACTATTATCAATTACCTGAATATAATTATTATCAATCAACTGAATATAACTATTATCAATCACCTGAATAAAACTATTAAGTCAATTTAAAATCTAGTTAACAATCTTCTCATCAAGCAAAGTCCAGGCCTACCTAAACAACTTTCCTGATGGAGTCCACCAAACACAGAGGGAAGAAATAAGACCAATTCTACACAAACTCCACCTCTAAAAGGGAGAGAGAACACTTCCCAACTCACTCCTCATGCCAGCATTACTCTAATACCAAAGCCAAAGACGTTACAAGAAAATATATAGACAATATCCCTCATGAACCTAGATGCAAAGGTTGTTAGCAAAATTTTAACAAGTCAAGTCCAGTGATATACAAAAAGAATACTAGAGCATGACCAAGTGTGGTTTATCCAGGAATACAGAACCTGTGAAAATGAATCAGTGTAATTATCATATTAAGAGACTGAAGTAGAGAAAGCACATGATCATATCAAAAGATGTATCAAAGAGCATTTGACAAAATTTAACACCCATTCATATTAAAAGCTCTCAGCTATAGTATTAGAGGGGACGTTTCCTTAACCTGGTAAAGACATCTATGGAAACCCAGAGCCAACATCACCCTTGACGGTGAACAATGATGTGTGTCTTCTAAGGCTGGGGACACAGCAGTGTTCACTTGTATTGGACACTGCAGTGGATGAGCCGCCCAGTGCAATCAGGCCAGAAAAAGAAACAAATAGGCGTCCACATTTGAAAAAAAGAGGTAAAACTGTCTCTATGTTCAGAAAACATCATTCATATAAGGAAATCAATGGAATTCATTTTTTCAAAAGCCACTGGAACAAATGAGTTTAGAAAGGTTGCAAGATTCAAGATAAATTTGTCAAAATGAATTTCAGTTCTAGATTAGAAGAAATACCATTGACCATAGCATAAAAAATATGAAACACTTAGGTACCTCAAAAGATGTACAAGACCTATACACTAAAAACTATGAAACATCTCTGACAGAAGTTAAAAATCTAAATAAGTGGTATATAACCTCATATGTATATGAGATATATAACCCTTATAAGAGATATATAACCATATACATATTAGGTATGTAACCATATATATATATACACACACATATATACACATATATGCACACATATATATACACATATATATACACATATATATACATATACATACACATATATATACATAGATATATACATATATACACATATATACATATATATATACACATATATATACACACACACACATATATATATACACACACACACATATATATATATGAGATAGATAATCTCATTGATCAGAGGATTCAATATTGGTTAAGACATCAATTCTCCCCATGTTGATCTTTAGGTTGAATGCAATCCCAAACAAAATTCTACCAGGCTTTGCAAAAATTGGTAAGCAGCTTCCAAAATTTATATGTAAATGCAAAGGACCCCGAACAACCAACACAACTTGAAATAGCAAAACAAAGTTGGCTAAATTACCCTAACTTATTTTAACCGTATTATAGGGCTGTAACAATCCCAGTGTGTGACTGGCAAAAGGACAGATCAACGGATCACAGTAGAGTGTCCAGAAAGAGACAATTTTATGATAAACTGAACCTCTTAAAAGGAGTCAAGATGATTCACTGGGTAAAGGATACTCTTTTCAACAAATGACACTGGACCAGTCAGTCATCCATAAGAAAAAACACATGAATCTCCGCCTATGTCTTACATGATAGAGAAAAATTAACTCAAAATGCATCCTAGGCCTAAAGGTAAGCACAAAAATTATAAAACTACTAGCAGAAAATCTTAGTAAGAGTGTGTTTGGTAAGCATTTCCTAAATAGAATGTGAAAAGCATGAAACATATTTAAAAGGAAAAAGCTATATTTGACTTCATAAAATTGAAAATGTTTGGTCTTTAAAAGATACTATTGGGCCTGGAGCAGTGGCTCACACCTGTAATTCCAGCGCTTTGGGAGGCCGAGGCAAGGGGATCGCTTGAGGCCAGGAGTTTGACACCAGCCTGGGCAACAAAGTGAGACCCTGTCTGTACAAGAACTTTAAAAAGTTAGCACCTGTGGTGGCACATGCCTATAGTCCCAGCTACTTGGGAGGCTGAGGTGGGAGGATCCTCGGAGCCCAGGAATTCGAGGTTGCAGTGAGCTACGTTTACGCCACTGCACTCCAGCCTGAGCACAGTGCATGACCCAGTCTCAAACAAAAAAAAAAGATACTACTAAATAAATGAAAAGGAAAGCCACCGACTAGAGAATACATGTGTAAAACAAATATCTATGTAACCAGAATATACAAAGAACTTTTACAACTCAGATGACAAACAGCCCAATTTTACAATGGGTGAAACATTTAAAAAGATATGTCACCAAAGATGTTTCCTGGATGCCAATGAAACACGTGAAAAGATATTCAACATCACTGGTCCTTAGGAAATGAAAGTTAAAACCACAGCAGGATGCCACGCACACCTCTTAGACTGGCTAACATGAAAATGACGGACCACGTCAAGGGTTGATGAGTTAGCCAGTTTCTTAAATAGTTAAAAATATACACTCACCACATTATCCAGCCATTCTATACCTAGGTATTTACCCATGCAGAAAGGAAATATAAGTCCCTACAAACACTTTTATACAGAGTCCGCCAGCACACAAGTGGATAAACAGACTGCAATGCGTCCGTACAATGGGATACGGCTCAGCAATGAAAAAGGAATGAATTATTACATGCCACAGCCTGGATGACTCTCAAATATGGAACCAGACAATAAAAACCACACACTGTATGATTGCACTGACAACAAGCCCCAGAAAACGCCAACCGTCTACACTGACAAGACAGACCAGGGGTCCCCTCCGGAGCCAGGAGCAGCGGAGGAGGGGCCAGCGACGGGAGCGAGAAGCCTTCTGGGGGTGACGGATGTGCCTGCTGTCTCAATTGTGGTGATGGTCCTGTGGCGTACACCCATGTCCAGATTTGTCAAATCCTACATTTTAAACAAGGCCTTCCACTCTATGCCAATTATACCTCAACAAAGCTGATTTTTTGTTTGAGTGAGCAGAATAAATAAAACTGAGGCTATGGCGGTTCCTGGCTGAGGCCCCTCCTTCGCAATTAGCGCGCCTTTGGTGGGCACGGGGCCCCTTACACCGGCTTCCCCTAGCACTTCCTTCCCCGCCCCCGCCAGGGGAGGAGGCATCGTCCACCAACACCCTTTTGCCCTCTTGGCCATTGGCTCTGGACTGAGAACCTTCATGCCCAATGTCCCCACACCCTCGGCACAGCCCCAGGAACTGAGGTCCTGATATGACCTGAATTTCACACATGAGGAAGCTGAGGTGCAGAGAGGATTGGTGACGTGTGTGGACCCACGGGGAAGTCTCAGGAGTCTGGATACCCCCATATCCTGGAGTTTCCCCAGCAAGGTCTGGGAGTCTTTCTGCAATCCCAGGCTCCAGGGCCATGGAGAGCCACAGCAGGCACGGCGACAGCCTCTGAGGCCCACCCCAAGCCAGGGGACCCCACGGTGCAGCTCTGCGCCGGCCTTTCACAGGAGGGGTGCAGAGGCCTCCAGAGGCTGCCGACTGGCCCCCAAACCCCCTTAGCTGATGTCTATGCGAGGACCAGCCACAGGACCTGGGCCTCAGCGCCTCTGACAGGGGCTCCATGAACTCTGGGGAGAAACTACAAATTCTTACAAACTCCCGGGATGAGAGGGGGTTTTCCAAAGGTTCTAGAACTCCTAAGTGGTCTAACAGATGTCCTCATTTAAAAAAAAAAAAAAACTCAAAACACCTGAGCCTGAGATGAAGCAAGAGAACTTGAGCAGAAGGGGGCTTTCTGGGAACGTTCAGAGTATCCTAACGGTGGGGACAAAGCCCTGCTCACAAGCATCCCGAAAACGGCGTCCCCATGGCTTTGTCCTCAATCCCAGGCTTTCATAGCCACCGCCAGGTCCAGGGACCTGGCTGGGTAGGCCACACTGAGAACTAACCAACGAAAAGGGCCCAGCTCAGTCCCTCCCCCGAGGACAGCAGCCATCCCTGACCCTCCCCAGCCAGTTTCAGAAAACGGTCAGTGAGAAGAGACACAGGCCCCGCTAAAGAAAGCTAAAATGAAATAAAGACGCCCGCCCTTCCCCCAGGTTCCCCACCAAATGCTGCTCTGAATGCACGCATCATTCTCAGCACATGGTGCTCGGAAACTGACCAGATCATCACCCCGCCAGGAAAAGGGGCTGGCCTGCGCCTCTCGGCACACACTTGACATTTTGTTCTCATCCAGGCTTCCCATGCTGACAGTTTCTGGATTAAATGTGCAAATGGAACGCGGCCCCAAGGGGGTCTCTCTCCCTGCCTGCCTGAGGTCCAGGGCTGGGTGTGCACGTGTGCACGTGTGCATGCAGGCACGTGTCTGAGCCTGAACGTGCACACACACGTGAGTGTGTCCACATGGGTACCTATGTGTGCATACGTCCACACGCCCATCCGTGCACATATGTCTGTGCGTGTGTGCCTGTGCATCCTCTTCTCCATAAGGCATCTGGGCTGGACACGAGTGTGTTTTTCAACCCCCGACTTCAACTACCTTGACCATGACCAAGTCTGGAAAACTCACCACCAGCTCACAGCCGCCCAGGACTTTTCTCAGCCCAACAGGGATTGGCTTCACCTAAAAATCTAAATGCAGTCCCCTCACAGCAAGTCCCCAGGCTGTGCTCTCTGCCTCCCATTGCCACCCTAGAGGGCACAAAGCTGTGAGGCCCAGAGGACCAGAACGCACCTTCCCAAGTGGCCAGGAGTCAAGACTGCATATTTGGGGAGGAGACTATTGTCCCCAGTTGCCAGGGTCCTAAAGACACCTGAAGGGAACATCCACTCCTCCTGAGGCCAGCTGGAGCTGACCTTGGGGTTGAGAGCATCTCCCACAAGCTACTGAGGAGGCTGCTGGCCGCCCCTGGCCCCAGGTACCCCAGTCATCCCACCAGGCATCCCGTTGGCCAGTTTTATACCCGGGAGAAAGAAAATCTCGTGGGAAGAGCTGTCTAGGCCTGGCCCTGAACAGGGGGCTGGGATCCGAGGTGCTCGAGCCGTGGCTCCTGACCCCGTGAGGCCGCACCGAGCCCTGTCCCCCCAACCTGCAAAGTCACATGATGACACACTTCAATGGTGCACGGCCAGGGCCTCTGGTTTTCACTCTGTGTGACCTGGGAAGCCAAGAACATAATTAGAACTCATCTGAATGTAATGCCCTCTAGGGGGTTCCCCTGGCACCTGCCCAGCCCCCTCCCCAGGCTGCTGCCCAGCGTCAGAGGAGACCTCAGGCTACCTCCTTGTTCAGGGACACAGCGGGTGGACCCCACTGTGCAGTACTCCATGGCCAGTGGGCCCCACAGGGTGGATCCTATTATCCCCCAATGACTTCCCTAGCAGCCCCCTAGGAGCCCCACGTGCAGTGCCAGTGCCAGCTCCCCCAAGCCTGCCTGCGCCCGGCCTGCTCAGCCCGTCCCGTTGTGTTGTGTCAGCTGCTGCCCTGCGCTTCAAGCGAGGCTCTCCAGCTGGCCAGGGTCAGATGTGAAAACAAGGACATAACCCAACCCGGCCCGCCGGCTCCCCTGCACCAGAGACCCCCACCGAACGTGGCACTCACTGATGAGGCTCTTTCCAGCCCTCAGGCAGAACATAAAGGAAACACCTGTCCCCATGGCCGCACACTCTAATCCCACTAAACCCGAATGGAGAAGCCTGGGGGCCCCTGCAGCAGGCGCACCCCCCACCAAGGTCTGACTTTTGTCCTGGACTATGGGGAAGGCGGGAGAGAAAACACGGGAACTGGCCTGGGAGAGCTGGAAAGCCGCGGCCGCCCTTCACCAGGGATGCAACTTCCAACCAGACCCAGGGCTGCAGAGAGCAGAGCACCATGGCGGTGTTCCCTTCGGCCAGCACAGCCATCGGCTTGGCTCCCAGGCTGCCGCGGTGGAGTCCGCACAGGGTCACACGCTTGTGGGGCCTCTCACCAGAGCTCCCGCAAAGATGTCAGGTATTGTCTAAGATGCCAGCGCCTGCCTAGCGTAAGCCCGTTCCTCTAGCCACTCAATGCTCTGGAAAGATTGCGCTCCTGTAGCTTGAAAACAGGGAAGACGATGGAACCAGCCGACAGGGCCCCAGACTCTTCAGGCAGCAGCAGGTAGGAGCTTCTACCTGGCCATTATGGGGTCTTTCTGGGGCCCAAGAGGACTTGCCACCAGGCACGAGCCAGGCCCCCATCCCCTTTTCCTTCAGGGGGCGCACCTGGCGGAGATCTGGAGGAGGTGTTCTGGTGGAGGAGCAATGGGGAACAGGCACCTTGCCCCCCAGAGGGACCACGGGCTGCCGACGGGACATCATCCACTCATGCCTCGGCTGCCCCACCCCTGGCCGGAGCACCATGGGCTGAGACCGCCTCCCTTGAAGCCCCAGGTTCCTCAAACCCAGGTGGGGCTCACTGCCTTCCCTCTGCACAGCCTCCCTGGAGGAAAGACGCTGACTGGTGGTTCCCAGGTTCCAGCCCAGGGGTGTCAACCCCATTCTCACAAATCGCTTGGACAGAATCGGGTTACGTGTTTTTGGAGAAGGTTTAAAAAATCTTGCAGTTTCCTCTACCTCCTGCCCCAGGCCCCTCACTGCCCCCCACCCCACCCCATCTTGTTCTGAACAAACTTGATATATATGACAATTCTGGCCTGCAGAAGATAACGTGAGGCCCGTGTGTGGGCTGCACAGAGGAAGCCTTTGTTACAGAAAACGATTCACCGTAGGGCCCCTCCACACACAAGGCCCCGTATACTCAGGGAAGTTTCCGGTTCCAGCCCAGGATTCCTATGTACTCGGGGAACGTTCCGGTTCCAGCCCAGGATTCCCACTTTCACGACTCTCCCGCAAGCAGATTTCGCATGAAAGAATGTCAGCTGTCCTCCTCCCAAGCAGCTGCCTTCAGACAGGAACGCAGCCAATCCAAACCCTGTCAACCGCGGTCCTGGGACAGGGGACCTGGCTGGGGCATAAATGATGTCCATCGTGGTGGAGACAGCCTGCCTGCTGCCTCTGCCCTGGGCCCCACAGAGGGGCCTGTGAGCCCTCCAACTCGTCCACACAACATCCGTGGGGCCAGGGGACTGTCCCCAAGCCTCCATGTCCACCGCCCTTCCCTGCCCAAGAGAGAGACCAAGAAGGGAAGGCCGGGCAGGGCTGCTCCAGGTCAAAGAAGCTGAAACCGCGTGACAGCCATGTGCAATGAGAAAAAACCAGCCACACTCACTGGGACCAGTGACGAGCCTTAAATGCAGGCTGTGAAATGGACAGCGGTGTCCTGAGAGTCGGACACCCTGGCTAAGTTGAAGGTCCTCATTCCAGAGGATATACACGGGCTTTATACGGAGAAACGGTCATACTGCCTCCAACTTACTCTCAAATGACTCAGGATAAAAACAAAGCAGGCTGAGTGCAGTGGTTCATGCCTATAATCTCAGCACTTTGGGTTGGCCGAGGTGGGAGGATTGTTTGAACTCAGGAGTTTAAGACCAGCCTAGGTAACATGGCAAAACCCTATCTCTACAAAAAATACAAAAATTAGCGGGGCATGGTGGCACGCACCCACAGTCCCAGCTGCTCAGGAGGCTGAAGTGGGAACACTTGAGGCCAGGAGGCCGAGGCTGCAGTGAGCCGTGAGTATGCCACTACTCTCCAACCTGGGCAACACAGCAAGACCCTCTCTCTCTCAAAAAAATAAAAATAAAAAACCAACAACAAAAAACCCCACAAAACCCATATAGGTTTTTGCATATAGAGAGAAACGTGCAGAGCAAATGGCAGAAGATGAAAGCCACTGCTGACCTGGCAGAGGGTGCCTGGGAGCTGCTCGTTCTGACAAGCCTGAGATTAAATCAAAATTCAGACACCCAGGAAGAAAGACACAGACTGTGGAACCAAAAGGCCCTGCGCCAACCTGGGCACTGTAGAAACGTGGGGCACGGTGGGCTGGCCCGGGGCACACGCTCTCCCACTTCTATTTTCCCAAAAAATAAAATTGTTACTAATTCGACTGCAAGTTTAAATGCCCCTAGCAACTGCTCTTTCCAAAATTATCCTGCTAAATAAATAGCGTGGCAAACCTTTCCTGGAAGGTCAGGTAGTAGAAATCTTAGGCCCTGTGGGCTGCATGGTCTCCATGGCAGGACTCAAATCTGCCATGGCACAAAGCAGCCAGAGGCATTAGGCCCTCAAGTATGTGGTGCTGTGTGCTAATAAAGCTTTATTTACACACACAGGGAGCCACCCTGTGGGCCATGGTTTGGAGACCCCTGGGTTGCCCTCAAATTCATATGATGAAGCCCTAATCCCCAGTACTCAGAGTAAGACCTTGTTTGGAAATGGGGTCCCTGCAGATATGATCAGTTAGGAGGGGGGTCACAGTGGAGTAGGGTAGCCTCCAATCCAGTAAGACTGGTGTCCTTACATAGAGGAGAAATTTGGCTCCAGACTCACACGCAGGGAGGATGCCCTGTGAGGTAAAGGGAGGGACTGGGGGGGATTGGGGTACTACATCTAGAAGACAGTTGCTAGCCACCCTCAGAAGCCGGGAGGGGCCTCAGAAGAACCAGCCCTGCCCACACCTGGGTCTCGGCCCTCCATCGTCCAGAGCTGTGAGAGGGCGACCTCCACGGTTTAAGCCGCCCAGCCTGGGGTCCCCCATCACGCAGCCCAGGTCGACTCTCGCGACCCACGTGGCTGGAGATAGGCCCAGCGGTCCCTCTGGCAGGCTGGGAGGGAGAGCCACGCCCTGTGTCCGGTTTTGAAGCCCAGCCTGGGAAGCCACTGCTGTGGCCCAAACCAGCTCTGTTGGGTTCCAGACCCGCCTGAGAGAGGGAGGTCCCAAGAAGCTGTAGCGGGTGGCCTCAAAATCACATGTTACCCTCCCGACCCTCAGTGTCTCGCTGGGAGGGCTCAGCATGTCTCCCCAGGTCCTCTGCCCCCACAGGCCAGGCAACTGCTGAGCCCTGCCAGCCACCCTGTGGGGCAGGGCAGCGCCAGCCTCCACTCCAACAAGGCACTCGGGGCACCCACCCCAGCCTCCCTTCCTTCCATAACTCTCGGGGGTTGAGCAATGGTGCACGAGAGACTCCTGTAAGAGCCGCAGGCAGTGCGGATGGTGTGTTTATCACCAAGTACAGGAAGCCTGGTGGGGCCGGAGTCTCTGCTGCAGCCTGGCACAGCAGGAAATTTCTAGAATCCCTTAACACCGTGGAGCCGCGGCCCAGCTGAGCGCCCCTGCTGCCCTGAGCCTGAGCTCCTGTCACAGGCAGGGAGCGGACCAGCCTTCCTTCAGCAGCCCCTGTCGCCGCGTGGCCTGTGCATGGGGCTGGGTGGCTGGGGACAGCAGCGGGTGTGCTCGGCAGAGCATGTGGCCAGTGAGGCTGGACCAAGGCTGTCCCGGGGGAACAGAACCACCGGGTCTTCATGCCATGCCCCGTGGGCCTCAGGCTCTGAGACTGTGGCTTCAGCAGCGCCCCTGCCCCCAGCTGTGCATCCCACACCCTGAAGCAGAACACTGGAGGCAGGGTGCCCATCACAAGCACTGGCTGCCTCCGGGGAGCAGCAGCGCCGGGGTTCCTCTCCTAAACAGCCCTCAAAGCAAGGCTGATCCTACGCCCAGCAAAGCGGCCTCAGAAGGGAGCATTTTGATGGATTCCCAGAGGCAGGGGGCCTGGTCCCAGGTCTTCAGGGGGTACCAGTCACCTGACCGCCCTCTCTCAGGTGCAGAGTGGGTGATAGAGATGCTTTCAGGAAGCTCTACGGCCAGCGCATGAGAGAGACGCCACAGGGCTCTGAAAGGCAGTGAGTGGGTTGCACAGGGCTCCCCAGGACCAGGAGCTCCTGGTGGATGGGGATTTCAACAGCTTCAGTGTCACTAAAGGGGAAGGCAGGAGGGACTTGTATCCGGTGGTCCTCAGTGATCAACACTGGGCTCCGGAGAGCCGGCCAAGTCACTTCTCCTGTCCCCACAGGGCAGTGGCTTCAAGTTCCGCTTGGTGGATTCTGAGCCTTTGTTCTTGGAACTCTTGCCGGGACATCAGGGGTCGACCCTGACCCGGGAGGAGCCTTGGCAGCTGAAGCTGGGTGGCAGCTGAAGTTCAGCCCACCTGGGTGTCCCCAGCTGCCCCAGACAGACACTTGGGCCTACCCTGCTCCACCTGCCCCTGGTCCACTTTCACCTTCGCTACCCTTACCCGCCCAAAGCCTGCAGGCCAGTGTCTAGCGTCCTTTCACCCTGAACAGGCTCCGAGAGCCTCTGTCTCCCTGGGGTGGGCTCCAGGCAGGTCTCAGGACAGATGAGTGAGAAGTTTCTCCTACAGGCTCATGGGGCAGTGACCTGAAGTCTGGCTGGGCAGAGCTGCAGGCCACCCCGTGCCCTGGGGGCTGTGCAGACAGAGGGCCCACATCTGTCAAGTCCTCTGGGCCTAGCTCCAGGGGCTCAGTGCAGACAGGAACCAGGGCTCCAGCCCGCACATACACAGGGCCCTGCAGTGAGGATCCCAGGGGTGCGGAATCTCAGTCCAGCTCTGCCTTTCATGAGCCCATGGGCTGCTTGCACATAGATCCTGGCACACAGTAGGTGCTTAATAAAGATTTGCTGGCTGAACAAATGCAGGCGGAAACAACCCTGCCAGGGAGAAGACGACCGCGTTCTGAAGCCTCAGAGTGGCCTGGGTGGTGGGGACCGGTCTTAGCTGGGTAGCTCCCAAGTGACAGGGACAAAAAGGCAAGTGAGCCCACAGGCCCACAGAGGGACACAACTCTTCCCAGAGCACCCTGCAGCCCTGAGGAGGGAGTGGGTACCCCCGTCCCTGGGCAACCAGTCTAGTGGGGAGTTGCCCCCGAAGCAAGTGTGCAGGACGGGGCTTCGTCAGACCCATAGGAGCTCACCAGGCAGGGCGAGGCAGGCAGGGAGGAAGACAACCCTCAGCGGGCGGCAGCTGCAGAGGGAGTCAGACCTCGGGGTGGGTGGAGGAAAATCCTGAGTCACCCACTGGTTCCCCAACCTGGGCAAAGGTGCCTTTGCTCTGCGTCTTTTCCCGGCAGCGGCAGAAATGGTGCTGCGGGAAACCGCCCCAGGCCGTGCGCAGAGCAGGCTCCTCATCAGAGCAGCTGCGGGTCCCAGGTGAAAAACACCAGGTGAGGACCTGCGGGCCTGCGGGCGCCCTGAGCAAGTGGAGGCCAGGGCGCTGAGGACAGGACCCGACCTTGTTCCACAGAGAGGGCCGCCCAGGGCCGTCACGGAGGCCCAGAGACTCCCTACAGGGTCTCACTTTGCTGCTGGGAGGGAAACTGAGGCCTTGCTCTGAGCTGGGAGGGAAACTGAGGCCTCGCTGTGTGCTGAAGGCGCAGCAGAAACCCAGGCAGTGGAGGCTGCAGCTGGCGGGAGGGGTGGGCCACCGGGCGGGGCGGAGGGAGCCTCAGCAGAGGGGAGGAAGCCGCAGCGATGACCTCATCCCCTAGGCCTCCGGGGCCGCAGCTCACGGGGTTTTTTAACCACAGGCATTGCAGGACAATTCCCTGGTATGTTCACCACCAAAGGCGCGGACTAGCCGTGTTTGTGTTGTGCTTTTGAGTGCCTCTCTCTTTGTGTGGAGTTTGACAAAAGCTGTGATCCTGGAGACAAAAGCCAGGCCCTCACCTGGGCCAGGGCAGGGTCTCTTACTGCAGAGAGCAGGGGGCCAGTTTCTAGCAGCAGCTGGCTTCGGCAAGAAACAGGAGAGCCACCCAAACCGGGAACTCCTTCCCAGGCAAGAACACGCAAAGCACACACACGTCAGACACACGTGTGCACACACACACCAGGCATATGTGTACGCATGTGCGCACGGAGCTACCCACAGGCACGCACACGTACACTGAGTGCACACATGCACACGTGTGCCACTTCCACAGACATGGGTACACAGACGTGCACATGCACGTACGTACACACGTGCACACACAGCCCCCTCTGAATTCAGAAGCCAGGTTGGGGCCCTCTTTGCAGCCCAGGAAGTGGCTCTCCTCCCTGGGAGGCCTTGAGGAAATCTCCCTGCCCAGCAGATTTCCGACGTGGTGTTCACGTGGTGTTCACGGTGCCGGCCGGACCCCAGCCGAGACCAGATTCCTCCCGAAATGGCTTTTTCAGGCCCACCGCATATCCCTGGTTCAGCAGAATGCCTAATCCCTCCGAGGCCGCGCTGGGGTTTCCTTAGCAGTGCTGAGATAACAGCTTTCTGGCACTGCAAAGCTGGGCGTACGAAAAGAAACGAGAAAACAGGGGCTCCCTGGGAACACATCGCTTTGATCCATTTTTTCCCCCAACATTTAAACATCGTGCTCTCGGAATCCCTCATGCGGGTCCTGCACCCGCCCGGCCCCTCCTGGGTTCCCCAAGGCTGTGGTTTGGGCTCCCCGCGCTCAGCACTCCTTGGCGGGTGCCAGCAGCTCCTGAGTTGCATGTAGCACGAGCGCCCTCTGGCGTCTACAGGCCTTCCCGCCGCCTGGCCCCAAGGGCTGCAAACACCTTTGCTTCTCGTACCTCCCCGAAGCGCCCCCAACCGTCCTTCCTGCAACCCTGCACAGCCTCCCTCTGCTGGAATCAAGAACCCAACAGCCGTCCTCACTCCTCCAGGCCTGAAGCCTCGGGAACCTGCTGTCAGGTGACTTCTGCCTGTGCTCTGATCCCCACAGCCCTGTGCCTGCTGTCCGCTGGAAGCTGTGAGCCCTGGGAGGGGTCCCTGCCTGCCCCGCCAGCACCAGCTTACCTCCTTCTCACTGTGCCCCTCCCACCTGAGCGCCCCCTCCTCCAAGCAAGTGGTCACTGTCTCCCCACCCAGAGCCCACGCCTCAGTCTCGGCCCTGATGTGTCTGTACATCCGCCTGTCAAGGCCAGGCCCACGGCTGCCTCACTCTCTGCTGTGTCCCCAACGTGCCCCCACCATGGCCATGACTGAGTGACAGCTGGACCCTCAAATCCCCTTGAAGGATTTGTTTCCACGCGGCCAGTGCTTCGAGAGACTGCTGGGAAGTGTGGCAAGGCGAGTGGGAGGGTGTCTCCATCACGCAGGGGCAGCTGAAGCCGGGAGCACATACCAAGCTGGGTCATCCTCGCTGGGCAACTCTGGCCTATGCATTTGATGCAGGGAGGGACATGCACGGCCAGGAAGCGCCATGCAGAGCTTGTGGGGTTAGCGCAGCCACGGGGTCCCACCCTCAGGGAGTGTGGAATGGCCTGAGGCAGACAGATGCTTGTGAGCCTCCCAGAGCCCCATGAACCCAGAACAGGGCAGGTCGGCGGGGATGGTGTGCAGGATAGTGCCAAGCAGAGGCCTGAAACCTGACAAGAGGCTGAGTGCTGACACTCCCGAGGACAGCCAGGTCCAGAGAAGAGGGCTTGCAAAGGCCCTGGGGCAGCCAGGAATGTCCAAGGCTTGGCCTGGAGTGAGTGAGCCCAGGCTGGGTGAGGTGGGGTGGGTAGTGTTACAGGTGATGGGCCTGAACGTGGCACCACCTTGGGGAATGTAGCCTAAACGTCACAGGGAGCTTCTGGAATGATCAGGTTTTTGTCTTAGAAAGTCCTCCCCAGCTGCTGTTTGCAGGGTTGCCTGGTGAGACGCAAGGTGTGGCAGGGAGGCAGCTGGCATGACAGATAAAGGGACAAGGGAGGCGGCCAGGGTCTCTCTGCCTTCCAAGCAGTGGAAAAGGCAGAGGGGACTGCAAGGGGGACTACAGCAGAAAGGGGGCTCTATGCTTGGGGCCACGGGCTGCTTCTCTGCCATGCCACCCCGGAGGAGAGGGAGCTGCAGGGCAGTGAAAGGGCCGGTTCCTGCTGACCAGGGGTTTGTGGCCACAGTTCAGCAAATAGCCACCAGGTGGCGCACAGACCCCAGGGATGCGCAGACAGTGGGCAGGGCTGCTGGGATGAGGACCATCTTGGAGGCTTCCCTGGGGGCACAGCTCAGCACTGTGTAGGGTCTGCCCTCCTGCCTGGGCAGGGCTGCATCCTAGGGAGCAACCCTACCTGGTCTGCTCCATGCCCCTGTCCCCTGCCTGGTTTAGATGCCGCATGGGGGCCTTGGGGTGCTGCTGGTGATTCTAGGGCTGCAGACGGGCACATGAAGCCCAGGGCACGTCTAATTCTCGAGCTGCAGACGGGCATGTGGAGCCCAGGGCACGTCTAATTCTCGAGCTGCAGACGGGCATGTGGAGCCCAGGGCACGTCTAATTCTCGAGCTGCAGACGGGCATGTGGAGCCCAGGGCACGTCTGAAGGTCCCTGCAGGTCCAGCCTGGGTGCAGGCTTCTCCAGGCTTCGCCCTCCCAGCTGCCTGGGAGATAACCACCTAGGAAGTGAGGACCTGAACTTGGACGCTGTGGTGCTGACAGACAGCCCTGGCTGGGCAGGAGCACCTGGGTGGGCTCACGTTAGCACCGGGGCTCCATTTAAAACCAGGCAAGTCCCAGGCCACCTGGGGGCGAGGGGCTAACCACCTAGATCCAGGTTAGTACGTGAGGGATGGGACAGGCAGGATCTCACGTCTCACACACAGCACAGGCATGAACACACGTACATACACATAGGTACACACACGCAGCGACACATAGCTATACATAAATACACACAACACAGCCATGCATAAACATACAATACATGCTCACAGGCGCACACTACAATGTGCCTATATGTGGCCACATTCACACATGTACACGCTCAGATACACATGTGCACACATGTACACACATTGAAACAGAGCCAAACATGCGTGAAAGTCCCCACGTGCTCATGTGTATGCACACTTACATAATACTCAGATACAGATGCACACTTAAGCACACAGCTCACCCATAAACACGCACATGCGTGTACACATTCCCGTGCATGTGGGCACTCACATACACACATGTACACACACCTGCAGAGGTACAAAGGGCCTCACACGGAGACTCTCCAGGGGAATGTTTGGCAGCGCGGCTCTCACAGCCTGGGAACCACTGGCATCCTTGGCCCCAGGCCCTCCAGGGACAACTACCAGGTCAGGGACCCCCCACAGACCCGCCCCATGGCAGAACCAGCAAAGGACATGCCGTGCCCACTCCTGCAGTTGAGCCAACCCTGTCAGTTGGCCGGGGCAGAACATCCTCCTGCTAGACATGGCCAGAGACTTGGCTGGGTGCTCATCTGAGAGCCAGGTCTGTGGTGGGTGAGGAGGACTTGGGGATCCTGGGCAGGTACCTTGGGGACCCCATAAAACATGAGGCCCATGCTGCCAAGGGTATTGGACATCGCCCTGTGGGGGAAGGACGGCCTCACCCCAACCAAGATGGCACCACAAGATGACACACACACCCCACTTCACAGGGCAGTGCAAAAGTCTGAACAAAGCATGAGAGTACAATGTGATAGGACATGAAACTCACACGCCAGGACCAAGGGGGTTTATTCCAGGAAGGCAAGGGGGGCCCCTCACTGACAGGAGCACCTCACAGAAGCAGGAAAGACCCCTGACCAGAATCCACATGGTCACCGTAAAACCACGCCAGGCATCGGACCTGAAGGACCCTTCCTGAGCACGGGAGGTGCGCACCCCCCGCCTGGCAGCCGGCCCGCCCACAGAAGCCAGGAGGGCCCCGCTGGCCGCAGGTACCACCCCCAGCTCTGGACAGACCCAAGCAGCAATCTGCCCTCCTGGAAGGCATCCCTTATCTGGAAACGCAAAAGATGCAAAGGACAGAGGGAAAAACTTCTACGACCACAGTCACGAGAAGTAGCAGGACCACAGGCTGTAGCAGAAATTAACAGCTTTCGCAGACGCCAGGAAAGTGCCTGGAAAACATGATAGACTAGAAACTCCCTATGTGATGGCAACAATAACAACTTATTCTCTCAATATTATTATGATGAGGAATAGACTTAAACTGCCTGCAATCTACATAATGAAACCATAAAATGCTGCCCATAAACACACACACCATGCTCCTGGAGACCACCGAGATGTCAGTCTCCCCCAGTTTATTCACCCGCGGCCTTCGAGTTTCTTCCCGGGGCTGGATAAGGTGATGGCAACGTTCACTGGGAAAAGCAAGGCTGCAAGCGCCACCAGGAAACCCCCGAAAAAGAAAGCCCTGCCGAGGCACAAAGTGACATCATGAAATTGATTTTAGTACCGGGACCACCAAGTCAGTAGGGCCCTGGTAAAGGAAAAGTCCAGGAGACCAGTGGGACAGAATAGAAAAACCCCAAAGCAGACCCTTCCTACTGCCTCTGGACGTCTGGTTTACAGAGAAGACGGCCCCTCCAGTCAGGCAGGACAGATGGACTGTGGAAAACATAGTGCTGGGAGAACTGGGAAGACGAGGGAAGAGTGACAGCAGGCCTGTGCCTCACACCACTTACCCAGGAAACTCCCAGCCACCATGGAGCACACACAGTTAACCTGGTCAGGGCTGGAGGAAACCACAGGTGAGTTCTTCCAGCTATGGCTCAAGGTCCAGAAGCAACAAAGGAAAGGTAAAACGGACTCCCTAGAAATGAGACGGATACCACTGCCGAGGCCATCGCGAGAGGACTCTGGACCCCGGAGGGACGGGCTCCCCTGGCCAGGAAGACACAGTGCCAGAAAGCAGCATGAAACCAGCCCAGATCTGCCTGTGCATGCCGGGAGCTGAGTCGTGACACTCTCTTCCTTTGTAGATACTAGAACTATTCCACGACAAGACAGGAAAACACAAAAGCCTGGCCACGGAGAGGTGCTAGACCCAGTCCTGCCAGAGTCCTGCTGCTCACGGCCCACATTCAGGTGGCTTCCGTGGGGACCCCGTGGGCTCCAGACACAGCTGGCCCCCTGCACCCCACCTTCCAGGCAGCCTCACGGCCAGATCAACTTTGGGGTTTCCCACCAGGCTATGAGCCTGCCCTGCCCTGCTCTCAGCACCTGCCTGGCAGAAATGGCACAGACACCGCTCAGGCCAATGGAAGGGACCATCCAGGTGCCTGGGGTGGGGGCTGCTGCTGGGACACCAGCAGGGCCTGTGTGCCAGCCATAACCCAGGAACAGAGTCACCCAGACCCCAGGGACACGAAGGCTCGGGCAGGCCTTTGCTGGCCACACCAGCTCTACCCTACCTCCTCCTTCCTTCCTTCCAGCCCAGCCTGGAAGCCCCTCCTCCAGGAAGCCCTTTCAGACCACCAGCTCCAGGTTCCCCTCAGTCCTTGGTCCCCCTCGCCTGTGGCACATACATCCCAAGTCACTTGGCAAGTGTGGGGGCTGGGGAGGTGCCCCCTGTATCAGGGCAGGACCAATGTGTGGGCAAGGGGCTGGGAGTGGCTCTGCCCCCCACCTTATGGGGCCCAGCGCCAGGGAGATGCCAGCTTCCAAGGCAGCCATGACATCCAGCCATGCCCTCAGATGCTACGTACCATCCAGAAGAGAGTCCCCGTGGCCAGGGCGGCATACTGCTCGATGGTGGACAGCACGCTGAAGATGAGGCAGACCAGGACGATGAGGAAGCTGCAAGACAGGGACACGGCAGTCAGCATCACGGCCTCTGCCCATCCCACAGATGCACCTGGGGAGTGGAGGGGCCCCTGGCCTCAGCCCCGCCCCCAGGTAGGAACAGACAGTGCTTCGAAAACCCAGTCATCCATTAGCTGGTAAGCACACACTAGAGGTAGGTCCGCACGAGGGATGCCGTCCCGCCACGGGAAGGGACGAAGCACCAACACATGCTGCCACGTGGATGGGTCCGAGAAACATGGCGCCAAGGCCAGACACAGACAGGTGACCACCTGCTGACCACCTGCAGTGTGGCTACGCCCTGGACAGCCAGAGCCACAGAAACAGAAAGCAGGCTGGTGGCTGCCCCAGGGCGGGACTGCTGTGGGCGTGGGGTTTTCTTTTGGGGTAATTAAACGTTCTGGATGTGGATGGTGGTGGTGGCTACACAACTCTGAACATTCTAGAGCCACTTAGGGCCCTAGAGCCACAAATGAACTGCAGTGTGTAATTACGTCTCTACAAAGCTGATTTTACAAATCACTTCCAGAGAGCAGTCAACGCCCCCTGTCCAGGAGTTCAGGGCCCAGGGCAGGGGTGTTGGTGGTCACAGCACAGAAGCCAGCCCGCCAGGTGGGGGTCCTGACACCTGCACCAAGCGTCTGCTTCCCAGAGGAGCCTCCAGGCGGCAGGCTGTGGGCCGCTCTCCTCCAGTTTCACTTCCTCCTTTCCAAGGCCCCGAGGCCGAGCCACAGAACTCATGAAAGGGAAGGCGCACAGAGCCCCACCCTGGGGCCAACGTTCTGGGCCTGTGGGCCCGCAGAGAAAAGACGGGCCGCCTTCTCTGATCGCCGGAACCATAAAGATAGGGAGCTGCTGCCACTGCAAACGTACCCTCCAGGGCCCGCCCGGCCTTCCTCCCGCCTCTAGGGGGATTCCCACGGGCTCCGGAGACTCCAGGGACCCCCGTGGATCCTCAGCGACCGGAGAGCCAGGAGATGGCCACATGGCCCCCAGGGCCAGGGGAGACACAAACAGAGAAAGCCACACACAGACCCTGGGGGCCCCGGCATAGATCCTCTGCCTGGCATAGGGTGCCCCAGGCTCCCTCCGCTCCCTGAGATCCTGCCATCCTGAGTGGCTTCTAACCCACCCCAGGACAGCCAGAAGGCCCCCTGCATTGCCTCTCATCCAGCCTCCTGAAGTCAGCCCCACCCAGAACCCATCCTCTTCCACCTGTCCAGATGTGGACAGCCCAGCCCACCCTCCCCAGGCCCCCAGAGCCCACAACAAACAGGCTACCTCCCAGCACAGCCTGCCTCGGCTCATCCTCCTGCTGCACGGAGGTTTCTGGGGAAGGTGGGGCTCTGGCCCCCCACCCCCTTCCCCAAGCTCCTGTGGACAGGACAATCCTTTCCTGGCCTCTGGTAGCCCTACCCAAAGGCCCTTGAGGGCTCACTCAGCCAAAGACCCTGCTCAGGCCCCCTCCCTGGGTTCCTCCCTCCCCACAGCCATAGTCCCGCTGCTGGGACTGGGGCCAAAACCTGCAGCTACCATTTCCTCAGCCACCTGCCTCACCGACACCCTGTCCCTGCCACACCGGTCAGCTCTACCTGCAGAGCCGAACCCAGCCAGCCCCTGTCTGCACCCTGCCCATCCATCCTCATCTCCCCCTGACCACAGTGCCCACCTCCACCCTCGGCGCCCCCAGCCCACACACCCAGCCAGTCAGTGAACCCTCCATGTCGTGCCCCAGTATTTACACCACGATGGCCCCAGATCACCCCAGCTCCTCCCGGCCCTTGTTGCCAGTCCTGACTGTGCCCAGCCCGGCCCACCTCAGGGCCCGTGCACCTGCTGCTGCCCAGCCTAAAAGCCCAGCTTGAGGGTCCTGCCAGCGGGCCCTGTCTCATAGGCAGAGGCCAGCTCTGATGTCTGACCCTGGCCCCCACAACACCCCAACTGTGTCCTTTATACTCAAGCATCATCGCTGGGACCAGAGTCTGTTGTCCACCCCCTAGACCATGAGCACCCCAAGAGTGGGGCTGTGGGCTGCAGTCCATGCCCGGGACGCAGCCTGGTGCACAGTAGGTGATCAGCCCCGTGGGACTTCCTTCATTTAATCTCTAAGCCCCAATGCTGCTGCTTCATCCCCACCACCATGACCCTTCCTCTGCTCCCTGAGGTTACTCCCCCACTGGGACATTCGACCCAAAGCACAAGTCTGATCAGCCACGTGGTTCCCAGGAGCACCTGGAAGGCTGGCATGCAGCCCTACCCCTCCTTGGGCCTCAGTCCCCCTGACTCCCGCCTGCCCAAAGCGCTGGCTGCATAAGCTGCCTGGCATTTGCAAACGCGGTGCTTCCAGCCAGGGACGCTCTCTGCACCCCCACCCTCCACACTGCTTTGGCTCTGAGGACTCCTCCTGGCCAGCTTGGACAGGATGTCCAGGCCCTGCCAGGCTCCCTCTGGGTGCTCCTACACTGACCACCCCTGCTCTCATCTGTCTCTGGGACTATAATCCGCACAGCGCTAGCACGCGGTGGATGCAGAGTAATTTGTTCAACAGACACAGCTGGAGCCTCCGGGCCAACCCTGTGGGGAGCCCTCCGTAGGGTGAATCTGTGGATCTCACGGGGACACAAGCAAAGGTTGGTTGGAAGGGTGAGTGCCCATCTGCACTGGGCACCATTCCGGGCACTGGGAATGGGCTCAGACTGGCTCACCTTGCACACAGCATGCTGCCCACTGCCGGAGCAGGGTTCCCTCCAGGTTCTTAGAAGAGTCTTTGTGCCAAGCTGCAGGCCCTGTCCCCACACCCTGCAGCCCCCAGGGCTGGGCTGGGTCTCTGCCCCTTGCTGGTGCAACTGTTGGCTCTCTCCACCCTACCAGGGCTCCCTCCGCCATGACTGCCACACTTAATCCTCCTGGACGTCTGTTTGTTTTGATTTGCAGTGAGCAGGGAAGTGAGATTAGACACAGCCTGGCTCAGCCACGAGGAAGCAGAGCCGGGCTGCCCGGGGCAGAAGATGCCACCTGCCTGCTCCCCAGGCCCACGGCGTGCAGAGAGGGCCAGGGCACCATCTGCACATGGAGATGCAGTGCCCACTGGTGACCCAGGCAGCTCCCCTGCCTCAGTTTCCTTATCAACACAAAGAAGTGGCCCACAGGTGCTTCTTCCCAGGCTGTGGAGGGAAGTGTCACCTGACGTCCAGCAGGGAATCAGCAGCGAGCGTCGACTTCACCCTGAGGCCTTGGATAAGCCGGAAGCTGCCAGTGCTGTCTACTGCAAAGATGTGGCAAAACCCACCACCCACCAGGGGCCCTGGGAAGGATCCACTAAGTTGCTGTCTGTTCAGCAACAGGAAGTGCTCCTGGGGACTGCAGGCCACTGCCCGCTACCCACGCCCCTGCTCACTGACCACTGGCCCAGCCAGTGCTTTGCAGACAGTAACACAGACCCCCACGAGACCCTGCCAGACTGTGACATCACTGCCACACTATCATCAAACACATGCTACAAGTAGGGAAACTGAGGCTCCAAGGGCTTCTGAGGTCACAATTGGGGTAAACTGAGGAGGAGACACAGGACTGCAGCCTGGTTCCCTGACCCGGCATGGCTGGGGTCCCTGGAGGCTGGGCCCTGGGCCCCTTTGACCCTCGGTATGAGACGACTTGCCAGGCTCTGGTCTTGGTGCACGTGAGCAGGGATAGGGCTGCGGTGAGGGTGGCACAGCAGCTTTCCCGTCGCCGAGCCTGGCTTCCATCCTCCCGTCTCTTCCTCCAACTCAGATCCTCCTGCTTCTCTTAGAAGAATCCTCACAATCACAGTGAGGGCTCACCCGGGTAACCCAGGACAACCTCCCCTCTCACGAGCCATCCCTCAGTCACCCTGCAAAGCCCCTTTGGCCACACAACCTAACTTGTTCACAGGACAAGGACACAGACACCTCAGGGGCCACCGTTCAGCCAAGCGACAGCCATGTCTGCGAGTCATGCACCCGAATCCACGCCACTGCCCCAGCCTCTCAGTGACCTGCACGGAAGGCGCTGCACTCCCCCCACTCTCAGATGAGCAAATGGAGGCCTGAGGAGGGAAGGGGGCCATGGGCAGGACCCAGGTCTGCTGACCCTGCAGCCTCCAGGCCCAGGTTGAAAGCTTTAAACTTTCAAAAAAAAAAAAAAAAAAAACTGTAAACTTCCTCCAAGGCAGAGGCGAGCGAACAGAATTACCTGCAGCTCCTCTGCCCTTCACAGGGGCACCGTGATGCAATGTGGAAGCTGAGATAACCCCACTTCACAGCTGCCCTTCTAAAAGACCACAGGCGACGCTGCCTTCTGCATCTGCCATCACGGCTTTTCGATTCTCGTGCTGTTTGGGTGACAGCCGTCCATCACAGTGGCAGTTGGTGACCTCGGCCACAGCATAGAAAGCAGTGGTGGGGCCGGGCGCGGCGGCTCACACCTGCAATCCCAGCACTTTGGGAGGCCGAGGCGGGAGGATTGCCTGAGGACAGGAGTTCGAGACCAGTCTGGCCAACATGGTGAAACCCCGTCTCTACTAAAAATATGAAAAAATTAACTGGGCGTGGGTGGTGGTGTGCTCCTGTAATCCCAGCCACTCAGGAGATTGAGGCAGGGGGATTGCTTGAACCAGGGAGGTGGAGGTTGCAGTGAGCCGAGATCGCGCCACTGCACTCCAGCCTGGGTGACAGAGCAAGACTCCACCACAAAAAAAAAAAAATTAAATTAAATTAAAAAAGAAAGCAGTGATGGATGCTGGTTAGCACCATGTGCAGGGTGGGCACTCACAGGCCGCAGGTGAGGGCTTGAAAACTTGGTGACTGGCTGCAAATACCACGCGCCTGGGCTTCATGGCGCGGATTCCAGCTGCAGGGGCCTCTCCTGCCCATGTCCTGTGCTCAGGAGACACAGCTGGCTCAGATATGTGGAGTTACTGCAGCAGGAAGATTCTTGACTGGGCGTTGCGGGAGAATACAGGATGTGGCCAGGGAAGACTGCACATGGGTGGTCCTGGACCAGCCCCCACAGAGTGTGCACCCAAGTGGGCGTCCACCCCAACTACCTGGGCAGAGGTGCCTGGGAAAGTCCCGTGCAGTGGAATCGCGGCTGAGGCAGAAGACAGGGCTCCAGGCCCGGGGGTTGGGAGCCAGCAGGGGCTGAGGAACGTTCCCCCGCAGGCCAGGCAGATGGTGGGGACAGGTGCCCATGGGCCAGGCTGGCTGTCAGCCTTGCCATATTCTGAAGGCTAAATGATTCTTCCGATATTTTGATATACCGTGCTAGCCTCAGAAGGAATTATATGACAAAGCTTACTTTTATCTACTCCAGATAAAAAGAGTTTTATCTTATTTACCGCTTTATCTATTCTTGTCTCGGGCGGAGCTGGGAACCTCACAGGTGCCGAGCTGGGGTCCCTGCCCTTGAGGCACTCAGGGCCTGGGGTGCCTGTGTCCCCTCCTGCCTCTGCAGGGCCACCTACCACCCCCTCTGCCTCAGCTCCAAGGCCAGGCAGTCACAGCCCCCCACTCTGCAGAGCCGGGAAACTAAGGCCCTGGGAGAGGACGAATCCTATGCGTGTTTTGGACTCGGAGTGGGAAGCAGGACAGGCTAGCGAAGGGGTGGGGGAGAGAAGACACCGACCCCCCCCCAGCTCATGTGGTCCCCTGAATGCTGTCCCACCCGAGCTCCCAAGAGGGCGTGGTCATGCGGGGGGCGGGGAGCTGCATGAGCGGGGAGCCCACCGCACCCCAGAAAACAACCTCCTACTTGTTCCCCTTGACAGCAAATAGGCCTCAGGAGCAGTGACGGCGAGTACCAGCCCCGAAGGCACCCGGTGAATTATCCGACATCATTTCAACATCTCAGCCCCGGGTGCCCGGGAACACAGGAGAATGCAGGAACCCTGCCAGGGTCATAGCCCGAGACGCTGTGGGAGGGCTCCCCCGGGGTGCAGGCAGCGGGCCTGGGTGGGCTCCACGGCTCAGATGGCCTGGGGCTAACGCGAGCTGAAGGCTGGAGACTCCATGACCTGCCCTGCCGCACACACTAGGGCCCCTGAGTGGTGCTCCTAAATGGGCCTGGTTGATCCAGGTGACCCGCCAAGCAAATCCAGTCCGGGTGGGGGCTGTGCCGGGACTCTGGCCTTCCATGCCCACTCGGGGACAGGCCCCACACACAGTGAGTGACAGCCTCTTTAGCCCATGGGGGGCGTTTTGTAACCCTGAGATGTTTCCCAATAAAGTTGAGGAACCTTAAAGAGAGCCACCTACTTCACGTGCAAAGACACGTGGGCAGCTCAAGGGGTGCCCTTAGAACTCCAGCTGGAAGCCACTGCACCATGGAACTCACCCAGGGTCGAAGCTGAAACCCCGGGGCGTGTAACCACTGGAGCGTTTCACAGAACTTTGCACTCTCGTGACCGTATGCTTAATTTCTTGAATCTGTAAACATTAAAAATTACGTTAATACTTGAAGAGTTTTGTCAGTCTGAAAGCATCATGCATGGAAGGACATGAGCAGAGAGGCACCTTGAGGACACCGGATAACACACAGTGCCAGTCACAGAAGCGCAAAGGCCCAGAGCAGCGAAATCCACCGTCGCAGGGAAGCGGACAGCGGGGCCGAGGGAGAGGGGATCTGTGGACATGGGGAGGACGGATCCACGGTTGCGGAGAGCAGGATGGCGGGGCCGGGGAGAGGGAGTGGGATTTCATGGGTGCAGAATTTCAGTTTGGGAGAGAAGTTTTGGGGTGGATGGTGGTGACGGTTGCACAACCATGTAAATGTACCTATTGCCACTGGGCCGTGACCTGACACAGAGTTAAGACGGTAAATTGTGTGTTATGTGTATTTTATCACAATAAAAAAAAAACTTTTTTTAAAGCAAACAACATTCATAGAGCAAGCATCAGAGGGTTCAAAATGTTCCCCGTGGCTGGTGAATGAGATCGAGCAATGTTCAAAGACCCCTACTGGGGACGGGACCTCGCCAGGCTGATAAGCAGACAATGGGTTTGTGAAGCGAACCTAAAGCCGAAGGCAGGATAGGGCCTTGAATGTGTAACTTCAAGAGATTAAATATTGACGCTTAAACCCCAAACCACTTCTAGGGGCTTAAAAAAAAAAGTCATCCTGGGAGACTCCAAATGCCTCCAAATCCCATGTGCCCCAGGAAGGAAACACTGGGCGCTGGAGAGGACAGGCTTCCCCTGCTCACTCACTGGTCACCAGCAGGTCTCCCTCCATCCCTGATGTGGCTGCCGGCTCCAGGGCTGCTGAGCTCAGAGCCCTGGGATGTGGACGCCCAGGGGCAGAGGTCTCACAGCCTGCCAGGGCTGTTCCCCAGGGCTGAATCTGCACCTCAGAAAAAGCTACCAGCTGGTCACCCCCCTCACCAGTGGCTGTCACCCCCCTCACCAGTGGCTGTCAGCAGGCAGCCTCAGCAGGGTTTGGAGGTCGCCAAGGTCCCCACAGGTTCACCTGCTTCCTGGCTCTGCATGGATGGAGCCTGGGCCAGGCATCTCCCGACCCCTCCCAAAGGGGTGAGCCCTGGCCCACACCGAGGGCCCCACGCTGGGCTGGACACTAGGCACAGGTTCCCCGCTCTGAACCCCATGTGGAAGGTGTCACATCATGGAAGTCCTGGTGAGGAGACAGAAGCCCTGGTGAGGCACGTCTGGTCCCAGGCTGCCCCCCAGAAGCCCCCTGGATTGGGGTTCAGGAGGCACTACCAATCGATGGGGACACTGAGGCTCAGACACAGCATGGGACGTGCCCAGACTGGCCGACTCCAGGGGCCCCAGCGCCACCACTTGGTGCCATGGTCCTGAGGCAGGAATGCCACATCAGGCCATACGTCATCCTGGGGGGTGGGGGCGACAGGGCCCTTTTCAGCCTTCCAGCCTCTGCGGGCTCCCGCGTCCTGGGTGGGTGGCGGCATCACTCCCGTGCTGTGCAGCATGTGGCCGGATCCTCCTTTGTTGAATCTGTCCTGTCTTTTAGGAGGACACGTGTCACTGGACTTGGGCCCCCTGGATAATGCAATCACGCCTCTCGGGACCCTCAGCCTCAGCTGCAAAGGGGTGTTTTCTATGTCAGGTCACATTTGCAGCTTCCAGGGATGGAAACCAATGTTGTGGGGGGGGGCCAACACCTGCTGTACTATGTAAGTATTTAATACATTACTTATGATCACTATTGGTAGATTTTGAATTCTTAAACAACAGAATTAGGTATTGGTCAAAAACATATATTAGTTGTTGTTGTTTTTTGGTTTTTTGTTTTGTTTTGTTTTGTTTTTGAGACAGAGTCTTGTTCTGTCACCCAGGCTGGAGGACAGTGGTATGATCCTGGCTCACTGCAGCCTCGATTTCCTGGGCTCAAGCGATCCTCCCAACTCAGTCTCCCAAAGTGCTGGGATTACAGGCGTAAGCCACCATGCCCGGCCTCATGTCTTAATTTTTAAAACATAATTAAAAATGTACTCAAAGCTCAGAGTTTCCTTTTCATCCTCTCACCTCCAGATCCTTAATGGAATTGCATCTGAAAAAATTCTTTTAAAAAGAGGGTCACGTCCACGCCCACTGGTGTCAGCACAGGGACGCCTCTCTCACCATTCAGCCCACAGGGCATCACCCGAACCCTGTCATGTTGGAGAGAAGGGAGCTGGGGGTGGTGATTCCCGGCACAGGCGGGACATGGCTGGCCCATCTGCAGCAGGCAGCTGCCACGTCGGGAGTAGGTCCATGAGGCTCCCTAGCACCCCAGCCCTTCAGGGACCGCCACTTCTCACCAGAACGGCAACAGCTGCCCCCCAACCATTGCCCCTCAGGCCCCCACACAGCACCCTGTCTGCCATTGTCCACACTGCCCAGCTGGTTGGCAGGGCCTTGGAAGCCCCTCCCCTGGCAGCCACAACAGGGCACAAACCACAGAAGGAGCGTGGATGTGATCCCACACCCGCTTCACAGACCCACAGCCTGGTCCTCCCCGTCCAGCTCCGGGTGAATGGACGCCTCCCCACCAGACTGGGCCTCCTTGGCCCAGGGCTCCCGTGGCCACCCCATGCCTCACGCTGTCTTATACTCTTTACCTGTGGCTTGTTCCGCGGCAGCTGAGTCTCATTTCTTTAAAAAGTTCTTGAAAGCCATGGGATCCCAGCCCAAGGGACACAACAATGGGTGACTTGGTGTGGCCGGTGGGTAAGATTTCTGCCCTCATTGTCTCCCGAAGCCCCAAGTGTGCTGTCCCCGTTAGACAGAGCCGCCAGCCCGCCTATCCAGGAGCCATCTGGAGATTAAACCTGTGTCCCACAGCAGGACCAAGGCTGTCCCCAGCCTCTTGGGGTTTCAGCTGACACTTTTTCCAACACAGATCTGGACTGGGAACCCCAAGAAACAGGTCCCTTCCTGCCAGCTTTCGGCTGGGTCCACACAGAACTCCTGTGCCTGCAGCACCTCCCCAGAGGCTGGTCCCCCTGCCGGGGCCACCAGGCCTGCACCCCAACTGCAGCCCACTCCCCTGGTCCCCCCGCCTCTGTCTCTCCTGTCCCAAGGCAGCGTCTACCCTCCCATGTTACAAGACCCCCCACATGAAGCCTGGACCCCAAACCCTCCTTCTGCGGAGGCCCTGGCCTGGGCTTCCCTGCCAGGCTCTCAGGAGGCCTCCGGCTCTGGCTTGCACCAGTTCATGGACCGCCAGGCAGCCACTGCCACCACTGCCTCCCCGACCAGAGCAGGGGCTCCCCAGGCAGGGGCCCACCAGCTGCATTCCCTCCCTCCGAAGGCCCAGTGCCAGGCGTGGGATGCACGTTTGTGAAGTGTTTGCTGAATGACTGATGGTGTGAATGAATGTTAGGGTAAACCCTCAAGCTCGGTGAATGAAGTCTCAGTGCCGCCTCCTCCATGCAGGCCTCCGGGTGAATCTGGAAGTGAGTTAGGCTCCTTAGACTCTGTTCTTTTCCTTCCTATCCCACCGCACACCACAGGCTCAGCCTAGCTCGCAAGTGGCCTTTGAGCAGGACGTGGTACTGAGGCAGCGTTCCGCCACCCCTCACCCCCAGGCTGCATGCCAACAGCACAGGTTGACAGATCGCTGGGAGCCTCCTGGGGTGGGCTCTGACGTGAGCTGCGGGCGCAGGCATGGCCCCCCCAGCAGGCAGGTGTGAGCGGGCAGGACGTGCAGGCATATGCTCCCAGGGCCATGGTCCCACTGGCCAAACCGGTCCCTCTTCCCTGAAGAAGCGTCTTAGGGGCTGCCCCAGAAGACCAAGTCAGGACAGGTGCAGGAGGTGGGGATCCTGCCAGGGGGAAACCCTGCCATCCCACCTGGTTGCCACGCCACATGCCTGGATGTCCTGGGACAAGGTCCTGCCTTTACTTCCATTCTGCCTGAGTCCTGCCAGACAGAGAGGTGAGGCGCCACAGGCCAGACAGTGACGCAGCGGGGACTCAACACGCGTGGGGCCCTGGGGAACGCGCCCCAAATCCAACCCGTCCCAGGGCTTCTCAGCCCTGAGCCCCCTTCGGTGCAGACAGAATGCCATGTCTCCCACCAGAGCCCTCCAGGGTGTCCCAGGAGCTTCCCACCTGGAGGTCCATCAGGTGCATCTCACCCCATCCCCATCGCCAGGAACCTGGATGCCCCCGCACCAAGAGGTGACAGGTGTGCATTCCCTCTTCAACGGCCCTGCAGGGTGGGGACTGATGGGTCCAGCTGCGCACGGGGCTCCTGGACGCTCAGGCCTTGCAGTGGGGATGAGGGCTGGCCCCGCCTGGCACCTACCAAGGGCTCATTCCCATCTCACCCGGACGCCCAGGGCCCTCGACCACACCTCAGTGCGGAGCGTGGAGCCTGGGCCCTGATCCCTCCTTTCCAGGAGCAGCCTGGGGGGTGAACACAGCCGTGCTTGAGGGCCCTGCCATGCCATCCCGAGTGTCACGTCAAAGCCCTTCAGAGGCCCTAGAGGGACAGGTGCTGGGGGACCCTCGGGCAGCCAGGAAGCTTCCCGGTGACACCAGGCAAACTCTGGGGGGTCGTGGCAAGGTGGGGGAGAGATCAGGAGGGGCCAGAACAATGTCCCTCCCCACCAGAAGAGCCCAGTGCAGCCCTGGCACACCTCTGGGCCAGAGAGGAAATGTCCTAGGCGTGGTGGGGCAGGTGGCCTCTGTGGCAATATTCGGCCGGGCATGGCTGTGTCCTAATAAAACTTTATCGACAAAATCAGGTGGTGGCCGTAGCATGAGGATCCCGGCAAAGAGTCCTGCTGAGAACCCAGGGCTCTGGCAGGATGGCATGTGGGTGTCTGCACCTGTGTGTTGGTTTCAGGGGACCCGCTACACAATCAGGAGCACCCAACAGTGGCATGTAAACATCAAGCAAGGGCAACCGAATTGGGAAGGTCCAGCTCCCTGTCCATCTCAAAGGCTTTCTGGGGGCCAATTTTGAGCCCGGAGATTGAGAATTCAAACAGGAACGTGTGCCCCCAGAGCTGGCCGCCACATCCCCTTTAAAAACAGGCTCTATGGTGGCCCCCAAGAATCCCGGTGGGTCAGCGGTCCCAGGCATGAGGGGACGCTGGGACTGAGCCATTTAAAGCCCACCTCCTCCTGTCGCCTCTAAACTTCATGAGAAGCCTGAGAAGTGGACCCATCCTTTGTTCACAGGAGAGGAGGAAGCTCAGAGAGGTTAAGGGACCTGCCTCAAGTCACACAGCATCGAGCGGTTGGCGAGAACTGGACTCCGGGTCTCCCTGACAGCATCACAGGTCCCCACAGCACCTCGAAGCACCCCGAAAACTACAACCCAGAAGTAAGCCTGGAGTGGTGGGCATCCAGGCAGCCTGGCCTTCCACAGGGAGATTCCAGCAGGAGCCCTGGCCTGGGCGTGGGCGGATAGGCCCAGGGGCTCAGTGAGGAGAGCTGTGGGATGCCCGGCCCCTGGGGTCTGGGCTGTCACTGCAGCCATGGCACACATAGAGGTGGTCAGGGCCTCAGCAGAGGACAGGGGTGGCCAGGCTCTGGGGTGCAAGCAGGAAAGGCATGAGCTTCTCCTGGGGCCCGGAGGGTGCAGGTGGCCCGGCAGAGCACAAGCCCCCCAGGGCCGAGGGCTGCTGGGAACGGGGCTCTGTGCTCCCAGGGCCGGCCACACCAAGCCTGGCTCCCTGGGCTGTGATAAGACACCCACAGAGAGTATATTTAGAAGGCGCCGGGAGGACAAACTGAAGTGACCCCATGGATGTGGCCCTATCTGCCCTAGGACACTCGTCTTGTCTCTGTGAGAGGCCTGCCTAGGGTGAGGAGGGGCTGGGCAGACCAGATGCACCTGTGCACCCCCCACCCCAGAAATGGCGAGGCTCTGCCTGGGCGAGGCCTGGTCCCAGCAGCCTTGTCCCCTCACCCCCACTGATGGCGGCTGCGCTGTCCTGGAGCAGAGGGTGGTGGTCTTGCTGGGCAGCAGGGGCCTCGGGGACGGGTGGGAGGGGTGGACAGGCCTCCCCGCCCCTGGGCCAGGGGCTCCGCCCTCCCTCACACAGGGCAGGCGTTAAAGCCTCCAAGAAGTGAATGAAATCATGTCCTTTGCAGCAACACGGATGGATCTGGAGACCATGATCCTAAGTGAACTACCGGAAACAGAAAACCAAACACGGCACGTTCTCACTCATGAGTGGAAGCTAGACAGATGGGATGCTTGGACAGAAAGACGGAGAAAGGTCACTCTGGGACTCCAAAGGGGAGGTGGAGAGGGTGAGAGGGGGAGGGTTGAAAAATTACCTATTGAGTATAACGTCCAATATCCGGCTGATGGGCGCACGAGAAGCCCAAACCCCACCATTACGCACGTAACAGACAAGTATGTGTACTCCTCAAATCTAAAATAAAATAACATAAAAAAACAAGAAAGACTTGAGGAAGCAGGCAGAGCTCCCAGAGCACCTCCACTCGGGAAGGGGGCGAGGTGCGGAAGGACAGCGAAGGCCTCAGGTGCCCTGGAGCTGCCAGGTCAACACGACCCACTGGCGGCTCAGGGTGTGGGTCCTCAGGGTTCATCCCTACTTGGGAAAGTCCCTCCTCACATCTAGCCCAAGTCTCTTTTCGAGACGGAGTCTGGCTCTGTCGCCCAGGCTGGAGTGCAGTGGCGCAATCTCGGCTCACTGCAAGCTCTGCCTCCCGGGTTCATGCCATTCTCCTGCCTCAGCCTCCCGAGTAGCTGGGACTACAGGCGCCCGCCACCACGCCGGGCTAATTTTTTGTATTTTTAGTAGAGATGGGGTTTCACAGTGTTAGCCAGGATGGCCTTGATCTCCTGACCTCGTGATCCCCTTGGCCTCCCAAAGTGCTGGGATTACAGGCGTGAGCCACCGCGCCCATGAGCCACCTCGCCCGGCCAAGTCTTTCTTGCTGTAGCTTGGTCTCCTGTATAGGGAAACCTCCTACCCACTACAGAGAACACTGGGTGTCCCTGGAAATGGAGCTGCTGTGTGGCCTCCTTGAGCCTTGGTTTCCCCACTGGGACATGGGAATGCGTCAAGGGCACCCGGCAACCTGAGCCACATTCATCCTCAGATCAGCCCCAGCCACACCTCAATATTCCAGAGATGGGGCAGCCCCAGGATCTGGGACCACAGGCACCTGGCAAGATGCTGCCGGGCTCTATGACCAGGCTAAGAGTGAGCTGGGAGGCAGCCAGTGTCCTGCACGGAAATGCGCCCCGGCCAGCTCCCTCGGCTCTTCTCACTGCCTCCATGGCCGCCAGCGAGGTAAGGTACGATAATGGCAGGGGAGGGGGGCATCTCCCACTCCGTGGAGGGCCAAGCCAGGAGCTGAGGGCAGCTCAGGTTGGGGAAGCTGACCAGGGCACCAGGAGTGACCTGCACACCCCCCAAATGGAGACAAAGAGTCCCCCAGTGTCACTGTGGGGCCCGGGAGCCACTTGCCTCTCTGAGCAGCTGGGTGAGCCAGCATGGGACAGGCCCCATGCACACACCTTGCAGGCCGGGGGGCATCAGAGGCCTTGAAATAGGCAGGTGGGGCTTTAGCCGGGCAGGTGAATTCTCTTTCTGCACCTGGCCTTCCTCCCTCTCCCAGCCCACTGGAAGGGGCAATAAGGGAGGGCTTCTCAGAGGTGGAGGCCCAGTCTAGGCAGAGAGAATGGCAACCTGTGCAGATCCCAGAGGAGAGAGGAGAACCCAACCTGCAGGGATGGATGGAACTCAGGAGAGAGGCCGGTGCGGAGGCAGAGAAACAGCGGCCAGGGTGGCTGGGACACCCCCAGGCTCTGGTGATGGAGGCTCCCGACAGCAGGCGGGTGGCTGTCTCTCCCAGTAGGCCCCAGCATGGTGGACTGGTGCCTGTGGAACTCTGAACACGGCAGGGATGCCTTGGGCCCAGCAGGGACCTCAGGCCAGCAGGTGCCTGGGCCATGCCCTGGGGAAGAGGGCCCAAGACCCCCTAGGCTCTATGGCTCTGAGGGACTGCCCAGCACTTTGAGGGCAGGGCAGGTGGATCCCATCCCAGACACTCCCCTTTGATCCACAGGGCAAACAGCTGCCCCACCCTCAAGTCCCATGGGTCCCTTGAGGTCATGAAACCTTTCCAGCTGAGTCCAGAACTGACACTTAGAGATAGTCTCTGCGTGGCCATATCAGGGAACAGCCAAGAAGAGCAAAGAGGGCTCAGGTGAGTGACGGCCCCTGGAGTTGTGCAATGACACGGCCAGGAGAGTACAAAGGTCCTGGTCGGAGGGTGGGGGAGTCCCTGCACTCACATCACACAGGGTCAGGATTCCCCCCAGACAAGACCTGGTGGCCCAGAGCGCAGCACAGCATCATGGCTTTCTCCTCGGGAGCTCTCTCCTCCAAGGACCGCTCTTCCCAGTGAGCAGGCCGGGGCTTGAGCAGCCTCCTTCCTGAGCCGCCAACTCTCCATCCTCCCAAGATCCCTGCTCCAGGGTCCACTGCCTTCCCAGAGCCAGAGCTCCTAAAGCCCCATCATCTGCTCCCCAAGACCCTGGGCCAGGAAAACCCTCTGCTGACACAGCAAGGATCTCGCCAAGGGGACAGACCGCCCTGGGGAGCAGGACACGCCAACTCCCACGGCTAGGGGTGCCTCCTCAGTGGGGTTGTTTACCTGAACTCCAGGCGGGCAGACAGGCAGGCGCCCCCAGCCTCCATGACCAGTGGTGGCCCTGAGGCATCCCCTGTAACAGCAGGCTGGACCAGAGAGTGTGGCCCCAGACACCCAGGGACCTAGCCCAGCTCAGCCTCAGGCCCAAGGCACGGACATCCCTGCTCAGAGAGCAAGAGGCGGCCAGAGGGCCTCAGGGCAGGGCTGCACATCCCCGGAAGCCACTGCGGGACACTTCAACTCACACCCTGCTGGCCCCATGCGGTCATGGCCACACTTGTCTTGAGGGAAGACTGGGAGGGGTTGTCATCCCAGGTGGCCGTGTGTCCCATTGCAAATCTGGGTGTGTGGGGGCAAGGATGAGGGGGAAATGGGGATTCAGAGAGGGAGGTAGGCATATTGGGATAGGAGACAGACAGTTCTCCTGGCTGCCCATCTCGGGGGCATCCCTTTTCTGCCAATCCCAGTGGCCCCAGGCATCGACGGGGAGGATGCAGAGGCAGGGGCAGCCTGCGGCCCTCTCCCGCCCCGGCTCCAGCACCCGTAGGGCCCTGAGTCCAGGGAAGGCTGAGCATGTGCGGTTCTCATTGTCACCGGCTGGGCAGGCCAAGTGCTCAGCGAGCTTATGGCCCAGGTTTTGTGCAAATCTTGTTCGACTGAGTGTGTATGGCCCATGGGAAGCCCTGGCATTTGGGAGGCACCTAACCCTGGGATGAGACACAAATCTTGCACGCCGAGCCCGACAGCGCAGCCCCTGATGTCTCTGCCCTCCAGGAAGCAGCCCCATTTCCTTTCTCCAGCTGGCCCGAGACAAATGCTCACGCTTCCTCTGCACTGCTTCCTCATGCCCTGTCCATGCCCGCTCTGACCTGTGCCCTCCACCAGGGAAAACCGCGGGTTTTTCCCTGCACAGGGGGCTGCAGGCCAGGCCGGGCTCCACAGGGCAGATTGAGGGGCCCGCATGTGGCCAAGCACCCCCTCCCCTGGGCTCCTGCATGGAGGTTCCCAGCTCCCAGAGAACCTTCCGGGCCACAATTCCACTAGGCCTGGCTTTCACCAAATCCAGGAGTCACTCATGGGCCTGGAGGGAGGAAGTGGCTAATTTTGCAACAGGCCTGGCATGGGGCATTGAATTATTCAACAACAGATGCATTTAGCAGTTTTATTTCTGTCTCGGTATCCTCAGTCCCGCCCAACAGGAGCCCAGCTCTGGCAGGAGGGGCAGGTTGGCACCTCTACACAGCGGCTGGGAGCATGGAGACCACTCACCCGTCACCTGCCACAAACCACTAGTCATGGAGGGTGGACTCCCAGGCCACAGACTGACCAGGACTCAGGTAAGCCATATTACCACCCATGCAGAGACTGACCCTGAAGGGCTGCTGGGCCTGACGAGGTGGTTCTGGTTCCATGGGGGTGGGGGAGAGTGAGAGGGCATTCAGAAACAGGAATCAGGCGGTGCCAGCTGCCTCCCCAGGAAGCCCTCCAGTGGCAACCTCTGGCTCTCAATTCTGGCCCTGCTGCCAGGAACAGTAGGGGCTGCCCCCTTCCCCACCCCACGTCTCCTCCTTTTCCGTGACAGTCACACCCAAGGTGCATCCCACAAGAGCCACATCCCATGCCTGGCTTTTGTCCCTGCTGCCCCCAACCCAGGAGGCACGTAGTGTGTGCCTGGCACCACGCTGGGCTCCAGGGGTGCAGAGACAGATAACAGACACAGGGAGAGAGAAAATAAACCGTAAATGAACACATAAAACCACCACCAATGGGGAAAAGAGAAAGGGTGACGTCTCGGGGAGAGGCAGGGCAAGAGGGCTGCCCCAGGAGCTGGTGTGGGATCTGAATCGGGTAGAGAGCTAGGGACAGACCCTGCAGGCAGAGAAAACTGCACGTGCAGAAGCCCTGAGGCATGGCCTGGTCTGGGCCAGGGGAGCAGAGTGATGGGCAGGGAGATTCGCTCACACTGTGATCGGAGGAAGGCCACGCCCAGGAGTGCATCTGAGCGTGCCAGCCTTCCCAGGACCTGGAGGCAGGCTCTGGCCTAGAATCTGCTGCTAACCAGAGAAGCATCTGGCCTGGGCCTCAGAGACCAGCTGGAAGGAAGGGTGGAACAACACCAGTGCGGCTTCAATTTCACGGACATTGCCCAGAAGCAGAGAAAGCCCAACATGTTAGCCTTGTTTGTTCCTTTGAGAAAGGGCCTGGTTCTGACACCCAGACTGGAGTGCAGTGGCACAATCTGAGCTCACTGCAACCTCTACTCCTGGGCTCAAGTGATCCTCCCACCTCAGCCTCCAGGGTAGCTGGGACTACAGATGTGAGCCACCACACCCAGCTAATTTTTGTATTTTTAGTAGAGACGGGGTTTCACCATGTTGCCCAGGCAGGTCAGGCTGGTCTCAAACTCCTGGCCTCAAGCAATCCACTTGCCTCAGCCTCCCCAAATGCTGAGATTGCAGGCGTGAGCTAACATGTCCAACAAACCTTTATTTATTTATTTAAAAATTTTTTTTTTTTAGACACAGGGTCTCGTTCTGTCACTCAGGCTGGAGTGCAGTGGCAAGATCATAGCTTGCTGCAACCTTGAACTCCTGGGCTCAAGTGATGCTCCTACCTCAGCCTCCCGAGTAGTTGGGACCACAGGTATGTGCCAGCACACCCAGCTAGTATTAATATTTTAATTTTTTTTTTTAGAGATGGGGTCTTGCTATGTTGCCCAGGCTGGTCTCGAACTCCTAGGCTCAAGCAATCCTCCCACTTTGGCCTCCCAGTGTACTGGATTGACAGGCCTGAGGCACCACGACCGATCCCAATTAGCCTTTAAACACCAGGAAACCAAAGTCAGATGCCAGGACATATCTAAAGAGAGAGGCAGCCCTGGCAGTGGGTCTGTTCCCGGCTGTCACTTGTCACCTCCATGGGCATTTCCCAAGCCAGGCTGCATCACGCCACCATTGGCCGGCCCCGCCAGGGTTCCCTGTCCACACCTCCCAGTCCACTTGGCTCAGCCAGCAGCCGCCCAGCCCCGCTCCCCACCCCCGGAAGCCCCTCTTTTCTTTCCCTATCCCAGGACTGTCTCCTGGCCCAGTCCCAGACAGTTCACAGCTGAGGAGGAACAAAGCAGAGGAAAGGGACGTGGCGTGACGTGCTGGGAGTGAAACGCTGACACCTCCGTGGCCATCTGGGACCACGACCTGCACTACTGCCCTCACACCCGGACCTGGAGCTGCCACTTCCTGCCTGCTTCCCAGAATAGCTGGGCTCATCCTCTGAGCAGGCTGCCCTGCCTTCCTCTGTCTCTGCTCAGGACAGAGACTCCTCCTAGGACACCAAACACCCCCCACACAGCACAGACCCAGCCTCCCAGCCAACGGCCACTCACTGGAGCAAAGGGAGCCAAGTCTGGCTTTGGACAGGAAGATGGGGTTTGCCAGGCAAGGGGTGCAGAGATGCTGAACTTGAACATGGAGGGGAAACAATGATGATGCCAAGGGAAGGGGCCCTGGGATCCTACCAGACCCTACCCCAAAGTCCGAAGCCACTCTTCATGAAATAATATGTGATATTAAAAACTTAAATTTTCAGTTTCATGAAACAGCAAATAAAAGCCTTGAGATAGTTGCTCTCCCAACCTGTGCTGTGTGCTTTTGGTAACAGAGTCCTTCCCCCAGGGACCCCCAAATTCCCCAGTATGGGGCATGTGTTGTACTAATTTCAAGACCTCTATTTCACCCTGAGCAATAGCTCCTCCTCCAGGAAGCCTTCCAGATTGCTCAGTCAAATCCCATGCAGACTCTGCACACCCTTGCCCAGGGCTGTGCCCCTTCCCCACGGCCCTCATCCAGCTGGAGCTCTACATTCTTCGTTTGCCTCTGTGACTGTAGGGTGCCCTCCAGTGCCCACAAGGGCCAGGCTGTGTGCATCAGGCACATGGGTGTGGAGGGAGCATGCATTCAACTGTGACTTTCCTTAGCCCTCCTCAAGCCTGTATGAGAGCAGGGGAATTGATGGCTTTCTTCCTAAAAAGCTTAGTTCAACAGTCTTTCCCATCCCTCCCATTCGGGGAGTTTCTATAGAGGAAGCCAGGTGGTCACTGCCATCTTCAAGGATTCCCTGGGGGTCTCTGAGCAACAACAGGATATCTGGGTCACCCACACCCTCTGTGCTCTGAGAAGCCCACCTGCTAGTCTGGGAGTCTGGGTCCTGGTGGGTCCCAGCCCCGTACATGGAGGCTGGGACCCTGCCCCGAAACCTCTCAGGTGCGAACACCCAGCTGGTTATATCATCACCCTCTCTGCATGACAGATGGGACACTCCACTCAGGACCCACACTCCTCCCCATGCAGAGCAGCCAGGCCTCGGGAGCTGTGTCCTGACCTGAGGTGCAGTGTCCAGGGCACTGTCTGGACAGTGCTCCCCAAAGCTTGCCCTGCCAAGCCCAGGTTCCAGGACAATGATGGGCTCCTGGCCTAAAGTCTTTCCAAGACATATCTCCGCCGGGTAACGGCAAGTCAGACAAGCCAGTATGGTCCCCACAGGAGCCCAAAGACCCTTGGTGACCACCATGGGTTGGTGGAGGTTGTGGTACCTCAAACATGCATGCCTAGTGTTTGCAAACCTCACCTTCAGCAGCAGCATCCCTGGGAAACCCCAGCTCCACTGCCGTGGGGCCAAGGCAACACAGACCCCTGCTGGGGCCCAGGCCAGCTCTGTGGGGCCGAGCTGGGTGTTTGTGTCTGAGAGGTTTCAGGGCAGGGTCCCAGCCTCCATGTACGGGGCTGGGACCCACCAGGACCCAGACTCCCACATACGTGTGTGGAATAAAACTCATAACCCCACATCACCAAGTCAAGGCCAGTTCCAAAACCTCTCAGGAGGGCTCAACACAGAGTCCTTTGTTCTTCCTCCATTGCCCCTGTGGAGGCTGCAGGACACCCAACCTCCCGGACTTGCCTTCCTTGCCCTCAGCCTCCACAGCTGCCATCACTTGGCCCTTGCCCTCTGCCCTTCCACCCACCCAGGCTACAGGAGGCCCTGTCTAGCCCCTGCGCTCATGTCATTTACACACTGACACCTCCCCTAACTTGTGAGCCCAGCCCGCACTCTCTCCCCAGAGCTCCCACCTGCAGGTCTTACTGCCTTCAACCCACCTCACCTGGCTGCCTCACAAACACCTCCAAAATAACATGTCCCCAGCTGGACTCCTTCGCCCCAACCCTGACCCATGTCAGAAACAGAAAGTGCATCCTCCCAGGTGCGAGGGGTCCCAGCAGCATCCTTTTCTCTTCCTCCCGCTGCACCCGCCACCTTATCTACCTGCAAACCCTGTTTTCTACAGCAGTGGTCCTGACTTCTCACCCTTCCTTCAAACCCTCTAGAGCAAACCACGCCGTCCCATCCCACAGCCACCTCAGTCACAGCCTCCTGCGCATCTCGTGTCCTGCCCGATGACCCCACACTCCATGCTCCACTTAGAGGCCAGAGGGGCCTCGTGAAGGCCCCAGCCAGTGGGGTGAACTTCTAAGGAAGAGGTCTCAGGCCACTCTCTGAGAAAAGATTACCTTAGATCATGCACAAGAGCAAACTCCAAACGGACAAGGAGCTAAATGCTGAAGACAAGACCCCAAACCTCCAGAAGAAAACACAGTGGATTCCCCTTAACCTCGGTGGAGGAAAAAGCTCTCAACTGTGGCCCTGAATCCGGAGTCAGTAGAAAGAAGCATGATAAATTTGATGATATAAACATGCGAAATTTCTCATAGCAAAAAGCACCATAAGCAAAGTCAAAGACAAGTGACCAGCTGGGAAAACAATTCACATTAGTCCAGACAAACGTTCCCACAATATAAATGACTTAAAAATTGAGAGACCAAGAACCAAAAACCCAATGGAAGAAGTTGGAAATGAGAAGACAGACGATTTACAAATACACACACACATGACTTTTAGACACAGGGAAAACATTCAAATTCAATGTAATTACAGAAATACAGATTAAAACAAAGCTATGGACCTGGCAAAAAGTGGTGTGACAGCACGCTGCTGGCGCAACTGTAGAAAAAACCGGTATGCTCATGCATTGCTGGGGGAGTGCAAATGTGCAACCGTTCTGCAGGGAAATTTGGTCACATCCAACAAAACTACGGGCTTCTCTTTCAGCCCAACACTCCCATTTCTAGGAATCTACCCTGAAGATAACACCTCCAACAATAGGAACATCCATACCTACGAAGTTATTCTTTGCAACATTGTTTCAAGAATACAATAGACATATGTATAAGGCTATACTTTGCAACATTATTTATCATTGCACAATATCAGAACAACCTAAATGCCCATAAATAGGAGAGGGTTTGAATAAGCATGGCACATCCAACCATAAAGTATGGGGTGGCTGTAAAAAAGAATATGGAAGGACCCCACGAACTGATATGTAGTGGTCTCTAGGAAATACTATTACGTGAGAAAAGCAAATTCAAAAAGTTCACGTATAGTCTTTTCGACAAATGATGGTGGGATAACTGAGTATCTACATGCAAAAGAATAAAGCTGGATATAAAAAATTAACTCAATATGGGTCAAAGGTATAAATGTAAGACCTAAAGCAATAGGAACACATAGGAGAAAATAGAAAGACTTTGGATTTGAGGATGATTTCTTGAATACGACATTGAAGGCACAGGCTCCGGTGAACAGTGCCGCAGTAAACGTAGGAGTGCGCATCTGTCCCTGCTGGACTGATTTTCTTTCTTTTTGGATATATAACTAGCAGTGGGATTGCTGGATCACAGGGGCTAAGCACGTGGACAAATTAAATTTTATGAAAATGTAAAGTCTGTATATCAAAAGGTGATATCGGCAGTGGCAGAATAGATAAACATGATCCAGCTACATGCTGTCTACTAGAGACTCGCGTTAGAGCCAAAGACACAAAAAGATTGAAAGTGAAAGGGTGGAAAGAGTGGAGAAAGAGGTTCCATGCAAATGGCAAACACAAAAAGCAGAGTGGCTACACTAACATCAGCCAAAAATGGTTTTATAATAAACCTAGAAAGGTCACAAGAGACAAAAGAGGACGCTGCACACTTAAAGGTTCGAGGCTGCAAGAAGATGTTACAGATAACCATTATAAACATTTATGCCTCTAACAGCTAACGATCAAAAGACACAAAGGAAAAATTTACAGAACCGAAGGGAGAAATAGTTCTACAATGATGGTGAGAGACTTCAGTACCACATTCTCTATAATGAATAGAACAACCAGGCAGAAGATAAGTTACAGAATAGAGGACTTAACACAATAAGCCACCTAGATCTAACCAACATGCAGAGAACACTCGACCCATGACCACAGCATGCATGTGCATCCCAAGTGCACGTGGAAATGTTCCCAGGAGAGATCAGGCCACGAATTAAGTCTCAAAGTACTCAAAAAGATGCCAGTCATACAAAGGATCTTCTCCAACGATAATGGGATAAGCTTAGAAATCAATAATAGAAGTAAAATGGAAAAATTAACAAATGTATGGAAATGAAACAACATACTCTTAACCAATGAATCAAAGAAAAAGGGGGGCAGAGGGAGAGAGAGCATCAGAATAAATAGTTAATGCATGTAGGGCTTAACACCTAGGTGATGGGTTGACAGGTGCAGCAAACCACCGTGGCACACATTTACCTACGTAACAAACCTGCATGTCCTGCACATGTGTCCTGGGACTTAAATTAAAAAAAAAAAAAATCAGAAGGGAAATTAGAAAATACTTAAATGCAAATAAAGATGAGAAGACAATGTACCAAAACTTGCTGGGACACAACAAAAGCGTTACTAACAGAAAAATTGATACCCATAAGCTCTTTTTCTTTTTGCTTTTTGTGGGTACATAGTAGGTGTATAGGTTTATGGGGTCCATGAGATATTCTAACATAGACAGACAGTACATAATAATCACATAGAGGTAAATGGGGGTATCTACTACCTCAAACATTTACCCCTTGTCTTACAAACAACCTCATTATACTCTTTTCGTCTTATTTATTTAGAGACAGTCTCACTCTGTTACCCAGGCTGGAGTGCAGTGGCGCGATCTCAGCTCACTGCAACCTCCGCCTCCTGAGTTCGAGTGATTCTCATGCCTCGGCCACCCAAGTAGCTGGGATTACAGGTGTATGCCACCAAGTCCAGCTAATTTTCCTGTTTTTTGTAGAGAAGGGGGTTTCACCATGTTGGCCAGGCAGGCCTCGAACTCCTGGCCTTAAGTGAGTCATATGACTCGGCCTCCCAAAGTGCTGAAATTACAGCTGTGAGCCACTGTGCCCAGCTCTCTTTTAGTTATTTTTAAATGTATAATTAAATCATTGACTATAGTCACCCTGTTGTGCTATCAAATACCAGGTTTTAATCATTTTTCTATTTTTTTTTTGTTTCCATTAACCATCTCTACTTCCCTCACAACCCCCACTACCCTTCCCAGCCTCTGGTAACCATCCTTTTACTCTATCTCGAGTTCAATTGTTTTAATCTTTATCTCCCACAAATAAGTGAGAACATGCAAAGTTTGTCTTTCTGTGCCTGGCTTATTTCACTTAATATAGTGACCTCCAGTTCCATCCATGTTGTTGCAAATGACACGTTCTCATTCTTTTTCATGGCTAACTAGTATACCGTTGCGTGTATACACAGCATTTTCTTTATCCATTCATCTGTTGATGGACACTCAGTTTGCTCCCAAATCTTGGCTATTGTGAATAGTGCTGCAATAAACACAGGAGTGCGGATCCTTCTCTGCTGGACTGATTTTCTTTCTTCTGGATATATAACTAGAGTGGGACTGCTGGATCAGAGGTAGCTCTATTTTTAGTTTTGAGGAACCTCGAAACTGTCCTCCACGGTGGTTGTAGTAACTTACATTCCCACCAACAGTGTACAAGGATTCCCTTTTCTCCACATCCTCACTAGCATCCATTATTGCCTATCTTTTGGATAAAAGCTATATTGACCAGGGTGGGGTCATATCTCATTATAGTTTTCATTTGCATTTCTCTGATGATCAGTGACGTTGAGTACCTTTTCATTTATTTATTTGTCATTTGTTTTTTTATTATTATTATACTTTAAGTTTTAGGGTACATGTGCACAATGTGCAGGTTTGTTACATATGTATACATGTGCCATGTTGGTGTGCTGCACCCATTAACTCGTCATTTAGCATTAGGTATATCTCCTAATGCTATCCCTCCCCCCTCCCCCCAACCCCACAACAGTCCCCAGTGTGTGATGTTCCCCTTCCTGTGTCCATGTGTTCTCATTGTTCAGTTCCCACCTATGAGTGAGAACATGCGGTGTTTGGTTTTCTGTCCTTGCGATAGTTTGCTGAGAATGATGGTTTCCAGTTTCATCCATTTGTCTTCTTTCGAGAAATGTCTATTCAGGTCTTTTGCCCATCTTTTAATTGGATTATTAGATGTTTTCCTTGTGCGGTTGTTTGAGCTCCTTACATATTCTGGTTATTAGTCCCTTGTCAGATGGGCACTTTGCAAATATTTTCTCCCATTCTGCAGGCTGTCTCATTGTTTCCTTTGCTGTGCAGAAGCTTTTTAACTTGATGTGATCCCATTTGTCCATTTTTGCTTCGGTTGCCTGTGCTTGTAGGGATTACTCAAGCAGTCTTTGCCCACTCCAATGTCCTGGAGAGTTTCTCCAATGTCTTTTTAGTAGTTTCATAGTTTGAAGTCTTAGATTTAATTCTTGAATTCACTTTGATTTGTTTTTTTTATATGGTGAGAGATAGGGGTCTAGTTTCATTCTTCTGCATATGGACATCCAGTTTTCCCAGCATCGTTTATTGAAGAGACTGTCCATTTCCCAATGCATGTTCTTGGCACCTTTGTCAAAAATGAGTTTGTCGTAGACATATGGATTTGTTTGCTGGGTTTTCTATTCTGTTCCATTGGTCTACGTGTCTGTTTTTATGTCAGTACATACTGTTTTGGTTACTATGACTCTGTAGTATAATTTGAACTCAGGTAATGTGCTCCCTCCAGTTTTGTTCTTTTGCTCAGGATAGCTTTGACTATTCTGGGACTTTAGTGATTCCATATAAGTTTGAGGAGTGTTTTTACTATTTCTGTGAAGAATGTCATTGGTATTGTGATAGGGGGTGCACTGAATCTGTAGATTGCTTTAGACAATACAGACATTTTAACAATATTGATTCTTCCAGTCCATGAACATGAAATATCTTACCATTTTTGGGTCCTCTTCAATTTCTTGCATCAGTGTATTATAATTTTCATTGTAGAGATCTCTCACTTCTTTGGTTAAGTTTATTCCTAGGTATTTTATTTGTAGCTATTTTAAATGGGATTACTTTCTTGATTTGTTTTTCAGATTGTTCACTGTTGGCATATAGAAATGCTACTGATTTTTGTATGTTGACTTTGTATCCTGCAACTTTACTGAATTTATCAGTTCTAATAGTTTTTTTGTGGGGTCTTTAGATTTTTCCAAATATAAGACCACATCATCTGCAAACAAGGATAATTTGACTTCTTTCTTTCCAACTTGGATGCCCTTTATTTTCTTCTCTTGTCTGATTGCTCTAGCTAGGATTTCCACTACTGTGTTAAATAACAGTGATGAAAGTGGGCATCTTTGTCATGTTCCAGGTCTTAGAGGAAAGGCCTTCAGTTTTTCCCCATTCAGTATGTTACTAGCTGTGGGTCTGTCATATATGGCTTTTATTATGTTGAGGTATGTTCCTTCTATACCTAGGTTTTTGACAGTTTTTATGTTGAAGGGATGTGGAATTTTATCAAGTGCTTTTTCAGCATCAATTGAAATGCTCATGTGGTTTTGTCCTTCATTCTGTTGATACGATGTATCACATAAAGTGATTTGCATATGTTGAACTATCCTTGCATTCCTGGGATAACTCCCACTTGGTCATGAAGAGTGATCTTTTTTAAGGTGTTGCTGAATTTGCTTTGCTAGTATTTTGTTGAGGATTTTTGCATCAATATTTATCAGGGATATTGGCCCGTGGTTCCTTTTTTTTTTTTTTTTTTTTTTTTTTTTTGATGTATCTTTGTCTGGTTTTGGTAACAGGGTAATACGGGCCTTGTAGATGAGTTTGGAGGTATTCCCTCCTCCTCTATTTTTCATAATAGTTTCAGAAGGATTAGTATTAGTTCTTGAAATCTTTGGCAGAATTTAGCAGTGAGGCCATCAAGTCTCAGGGTTTTCTTTGTTGGAAGATTTTTAAATTACAGGTTCAATCTCATTACTGCTTAGTGGTCTGTTCAGGTTTGCATTTCTTCCTGGTTCAATCTTGGTAGGTTGCACATGTCTAGGAATGTATCCATTTCTTCCAGATTTTCCAATTTATTGGCATAGAGTTGCTCATAGCAGCCACTAATTATCCTTTGAATTTCTGTGGTATCAGTTGTAATGTCTCCTTTTTTTGTCTCTGACTTTAGTTACTTGGATCTTCCCTCTTCTTTTCTTAGTCTGGCTAAAGGTTTGTCAATTTTATCTTTTAAAAAAAAAACCAACTTTTTATTTTGTTGATCTTTTGTCTTGTTTTCTTCACTTCAATTTCATGTATTTCTGCTCTAAGCTTTATTATTTCTTCTACTAATTTTAGGTTGACTTACTCTTGCTTTTCTTGTTCTTTAAGATCATTAGGTTGTTTACTTGAAGTTTTTCTCTTTATTGATGCAGGTGCTTTTAACTAGAAACTTCCCTCTTAATACTGCTTTTGCTGTATCCCACAGGATTTTTATAAGTTCTGGGGTACATGTGCAGAACATGCAGTTTTGTTACATAGGCATACACGTGCCATGGTGGTTTGCTGCACCCATCAACCCGTCATCTACATTAGGTATTTCTCCTAATTCCCTCCCTCCCCTTGCCCCCACCCCCCAACAGACCCCGGTGTGTGATGTTCCCCTCCCTGTGTCCATGTGTTCTCCTTGTTCAACTCCCGCTTATGAGTGAGAACATGTGGTGTTTGGTTTTCTGTTCTTGTGTTAGTTTGCTGAGAATGATGGTTTCCAGCTTCATCCGTGTCCCTGAAAAGAACATAAACTCATCTTTTTTTATGGCTGCATAGTACTTCACAGTGTATATGTGCCACATTTTCTTTATCCAGCCTATCATTGATGGGCATTTGGGTTGGTTCCAAGTCTTTGCTATTGTGAATAGTGGTGCAATAAACATATGTGTGCATGTGTCTTTATAATACAATGATTTATAATCCTTTGGGTATATACCCAGTAATGGGATCACTGGGTCAAATGGTATTTGGGTTCTAGATCCTTGAGGAATTGCCACACTGTCTTCCACAATGGTTGAACTAATTTACACTCCCACCAACAGTGTAAAAGCGTTCCTATTTCTCCACATCCTCTCCAGCATCTGTTGTTTCCTGATTTTTTAATGATCGCCATTCTAACTGGTGTGAGATGGTATCTCATTGTGGTTTTGATTTGCATTTCTCTAATGACCAGTGATGATGAGCACATTTTCATATGTTTTTTGGCTGCATAAATGTCTTTTTTTTGAGAAGTGTCTGTTCATATCTTCAAGGAGAACTACAAACCACTGCTCAAGGAAGTAAAAAAGACACAAACAAATCCCACAGGTTTTGGTAAGTTGTGTTTCCATTGTAATTTATTTCAATAAAATTTTCAATTTCCTTCTTAATTTCTTCCTTGACCCTCTGGTCATTCAGGAGCATATTGTTTAATTACTATGTGTATGTCTGTATAGTTTCCAAAATGTCTCATTATTAACTTCTAGTTTTATTCTGTACTGGTCAGAGAAGATGCTTGATAGTATTTCAATTTTTTAGAATGTTTCAAGACTTGTTTTGTGATCTAACATATGGTCTATCCTTGAGAATGAGCTATGTGCTGAGGAGAATGTGTATTCTTCTCTTGGAATTGCTGGATGAAATGTCCTGTAAATATCTATTAGGTATATTTGGTCTACAGTGCAGATTAAGTTAGATGTTTCTTTGAAATTGTTATATCGTCTTGCTGAATTGATCCCTTTATCATGATGTAATGACCTTCTTTGTCTCTTCTTATAGTTATTATCTTGAACTCTACTTTGCCTAATACAAGTATAGCTACTCCTGATCTTTTCTGGTTTCTATTGGCACGGAATATCTTTTTTCAAGCCCTTAATTTTCAGTCTATGTGTATTTTTATAGGTTGAAATGTGTTTCTTGTAAGCAACAGATAATTGGGTCTTTTTTTGTGGGGGCAGGGGTCCATTCAACCACTCTGTCTTTTGATTGGCAAGGTTAGCCCATTTACATTTAATATTATTATTGATACGTAAGGACTCACTCTTGCCATTTTATTATTTGTTTTCTGGTGAAGATATTCTCTTCCTTTGTTACTTCCCTTCTGTCTTCCTTTTAGTGAAGGTGATTTTCTCTAGTGGCATGCTTTAATTTCTTGCTTTTTATTTGTGTGTCTGCCATATGTTTTAGATCTGAGGTTACCATGAGGCTTGAAAATATCTTACAACTCATTATTTTAAACTGATGATGACTTAACACTAATTGCATAAACAAGCAAAAAAACAAAATCAAAAATTCTACACTTTACATCTGGCAAGATGGCAGAATAGGAAGAGCTCCAGTCTGTAGCTGTCAGTGAGATCAACACTGGGTGATTTCTGCATTTCTGACTGAGGTACCAAGTTCATCTCATTGGGACTGATTAGGCAGTGGGTGCAGCCCACGGAGGGCACACAGAAGCAGGTGGGGCATCGCCTCACCTGGGAAGTGCAAGGAGCCGGGAGACCTCCCTCCCCCAGCCGAGGGAACTGCAAACATGCAGTTTGCATGCAGTTGCTGCACCCATCAACCCGTCATCTGTGATACCCGGGACTGTGATACCCGGCCTGGATACTATGCTTTTCCCATGGGTTTTGCAATCTGCAGATCAGGAGACTCCTTCATGTGCCTATACCACCAGGGCCCTGGGTTTCAAGCACAAAACTGAGTTGCTGTTTGGACAGACATTGAACTAGCTGCAGGAGTTTTTTCTGTACCCCAGTGGTGCCTGGAACCCCAGCAAGACAGAATCATTTACTCCCCTGGAAAGGGGGCTGAGGCCAGGAAGCCAAGTGGTCTCACTCAGTGGGTCCCACTCCCATGGAGCCCAGCAAGCTAAGAACCACTGGCTTCAAATTCTCACTGCCAGCACAGCAGTCTGAAGTTGACCTGGGATGCTCAAGCTTGGTGGCGGGAGGGGCATTTGGTATTACTGAGGCTTTAGTAGGCGGTTTTCCCCTGATAGTGCTAAGGAGGCTGGGAGGCTTGGACTGGGCAGAATTCACCAAAGCACAGCAAAGCAGCTGAGGCCAGACTGCTTCTCTAGATTCCTCCTCACTGGGCAGGGCATCTCTGAAAGAAAGGCAGCAGCCCCAGTCAGGGGATTATAGATAAAACTCCCATTTCCCTGGGACAGAGCACCTGGAGAAGGGGTGGCTGTGGGCACAGCTTCAGCAGACTTGAACTCTCCTGCCTGCTGGCTCTGAAGAGAGCAGCTGATCCTGACAAGGGGGATTCTCGCAGCACAGTGCATGAGCTCTGCTAAGGGACAGACTGCCTCCTCAAGTGGGTCCCTGAGCCCCATGCCTCCTGAGCAGGCAAGACCTCCCAACAGGGGTCAACAGACACCTCAAACAGGAGAGCTCTGGTTGGCATCAGGCTGGTGCCCTTCTGGGACAAAGCTTCCAGAGGAAGGAGTAGGCAGCAATCTTTGCTGTTCTGCAGCCTCCACTGGTGATACCCAGGCAAACAGGGTCTGGAGTGGACCTCCAGCAAACTGCAGCAGACCTGCAGGACTGCAGGCTTGACTCTTAGAAGAAAAGCTAGCAAACAGAAAGCAACAAAATCAACATCAACAAAAGGGACCCCCCACACAAAAACCCCATCCAAAGGTCATCAGCCTCAAAGAGCAAAGGCAGATAAATCCACAAAGATGAGGAAAAACCAGCACAAAAATGCTGAACATTCTAAAAACCAGAATGCCTCTTCTCCTCCAAATGATCACATCTCCTCTCCAGCAAGGGCACAAAACTGGACGGAGAATGAGACTGACGAATTGACAGAAGTAGGCTTCAGAAGGTGGGTAATAACAAATTCCTCTGAGCTAGAGAAGCATGTTCTAACCCAATGCAAGGAAGCTAAGAACCTGATAAAAGGTTACAGGAACTGCTAACTAGAATAACCAGTTTAGAGAGGAACATAAATGACCTCATGGAGCTGAAAAACACAGCATGAGAACTTTGTGATGCATACACAAGTATCAATAGCCAAATGAATCAAGTGGAAGAAAGGATATCAGAGATTGAAGATCAACTTAACGAAATAAGGCATGCAGACAAGATTAGAGAAAAAATGATGAAAAAGAACGAACAAAACCTCCAAGAAATATGGGACTATATGAAAAGACCAAACCTACAATTGATTGCTGTACCTGAAAGTGACGGGGAGAATGGAACCAAGTTGGAAAACACACTTCAGGATATTATCCAGGAGAACTTCCCCAACCTAGCAAGACAGGCTAGCATTCAAATTCAGGAAATACAGAGAACACCACTAAGATACTCCTCAAGAAGAGCAACCCCAAGACATATAATTGTCAGATTCTCCAAGGTTTAAATGAAGGACAAAACGTTAAGGGCAGCCAGAGAGAAAGGTCAGGTTACCTACAAAGAGAAGTGCATCAGACTAACAGCAAATCTCTCTGCAGAAACCCTACAAGCCAGAAGAGAGTGGGAGCCAATATTCAACATTCATAAAGAAAAGAATTTTCAAGCAGAATTTCATATCCAGCCAAACTAAGCTTCATGAGTAAAGGATAAATAAAATCCTTTCCAAACAAGCAAATGCTGAGGCTTGCCTTACAAGAGCTCCTGAAGGAAGCACTAAACATGGAAAGGAAAAAGCAGTATCAGCCACTGCAAAACCACACCAAAATATAAAGACCAATGACACTATGAAGAAACTGCATCAACTAATGTGCAGAATAACCAGCTAGCATCATGACGACAGGACCAAATTCACACATAACAATGTTAACGTTAAATGTAAATGGGCTAAATGCCCCAATTAAAAGACACAGACTGGCAAACTGGATAAAGAGTTAAGGCCCATCAGTGTGCTTTATTCAGGAGATCCATCTCATGTGCAAAGACACACATATGCTCAAAATAAAGGGATGGAGGAATATTTACCAAGCAATGGAAAGCAAAAAAAAAAAAAAAAAAAAAAAAAGCAGGGGTTGTGATCCTAGCCATTTTTTTTAATTTTATTTTTTATTTTTTATTTTTTCTGAGATGGAGTCTCACTCTTTTGCCCAGGCCAGACTGCAGTGGCGCTATCTTGGCTCGCTGCAAGCTCCACCTCCCGGGTTCACGCCATTCTCCTGCCTCAGCCTGCCGAGTAGCTGGGACTACAGGTGCCCGCCACCATGCCTGACTAATTTTTTTGTATTTTTAGTAGAGATGGGGTTTCATCGTGTTAGCCAGGATGGTCTCGATCTCCTGATCTCGTGATCCAACCACCTCAGCCTCCCAAAGTGCTGGGATTACAGGCATGAGCCACTGCACCCGGCCAAGATCCTAGCCTTTGATAAAACAGACTTCAAACTAAGAAAGATAAAAAAAGACAAAGAAGAGCATTACATAATGGTAAAGGGATCAATGCAACAAGAAGAGCTAACTATCCTAAATAAATGCACCCAATACAGGAGCACCTAGATTCATAAAACAAGTTCTTAGAGACCTACAAAGAGACTTATATTCCTACTCAATAACAGTGCGAGACTTTAACACTCCACTGTCAATATTAGACAGATCAATGAGACAGAAAATTAACAAGGATATTCAGGACTTGAACTCAGCTCTGGACCAAGCGGACCTAATAGACATCTACAGAACTTTCCACCCCAAATCAAGAGAATGTACATTGTTCTCAGCATCACATAGCACTTATTCTAAAATTGACCACATAACTGGAAGTAAAACACTCCTCAGCAAATGCCAAAGAATGGAAATCATAACAAACAGTCTCTCAGAACACAGTACGATCAAATTAGAACTCAGGATGAAGAAACTCACTAAAAACCACACAGATACATGGAAATTGAACAACCTGCTACTGAATGACTACTGAGTAAATAACAAAATCAAGGCAGAAATAAAGAAATTCTTTGAAACAAATGAAAACAAAGAGACAACGTACCAGAATTTCTGGGACACAGCTAAAGCAGTGTTTAGAGGCAAATTTATAGCACTAAATGCCCATATCAGAAAGCTAGAGAGATCTGAAATCGACACCCAAACATCACAATTAAAAGAACTAGAGAAGCAAGAGCAAACAAATTCAAAAGCTAGCAGAAGACAAGAAATAACTAAGATCAGAGCAGAACTGAAGGAGATAGAGACATGAAAAACCCTTCCAAAAAAATCAATGAATCCAGGAGCTGGTTTTTTGAAAAGATTAACAAAATAGACTGCCAGCCAGACTAACAAAGAAGAAAAGAGAGAAGAATCAAATAGATGCAATAAAAAATGATAAAGGGGATATCACCACTGATCCCACAGAAATACAAACTACCATCAGAGAATACTAAAAACACCTCCATGCAAATAAACTAGAAAATCTAGAAAAAATGGATAAATTCCTGGACACATACACCCTCCAAGACTAAACCAGGAAAAAGTCGAATCCCTGAATAGACCAACAACAAGTTCTGAAATTGAGGCAGTAATTAATAGCCTGCCAACCAAAAAAAGCCCAGGACCAGACGGATTCACACCCAAATTCTACCAGAGGCACAAAGAGGAGCTGGTACCATTCCTTCTGAAACTATTCCAAACAGTAGAAAAAGAGGGACCCCTCCCTAACTCATTTTATGAGGCCAGCATCATCCTGATACCAAAATTTGGCAGCGACACACAAAAAAAGAAAACTTCAGGCCAATATCCCTGATGAGCACCGATGCAAAAATCTTCAATAAAATACTGGCAAACTGAATCCAGCAGCACATCAAAAAGCTTATCCATGGTGATCAAGTGGGCTTCATCCCTGGGATGCAAGGCTGATTCAACATATGTAAATCACTAAACATCACATAAACAGAACCAATGACAAAAACCACATGATTATCTCAATAGATGCAGAAAAAGCCTTTGACAAAATTCAACATCCCTTCATGCCAAAAACTCTCAATAAACTAGGAATTGATGGAACATATCTCAAAATAACAAGAGCTATTTATGACAAACCCACAGGCAATATCATACTGAACGGGCAAAAGCTGGAAGCATTCACTTTGAAAACCAGCACAAGACAAGGATGCCCTCTCTCACCACTCCCATTCAACATAGTATTGGAAGTTCTGGCCAGGACAATAAGGCAAGCGAAAAAATAAAGAGTATTCAAATAGGAAAAGAGGAAGTCAAATTTTCTCTGTTTGCAGATGACATGATTGTATATTTAGAAAACCCCATTGTCTCAGCCCAAAAACTCCTTAAGCTGATAGCCAACTTCAGCAAAGTCTTGGGATACAAAATCAATGTGCAAAATTCACAAGCATTCCTATACACCAAAAATAGACAAGCAGAGAGCCAAATCATGAGTGAATCCCCATTCATAATTGCTACAAAGAGAAGAAAATACCTAGGAATACAACTTACAAGGGATGTGAAGGACCTCTTCAAGGAGAACAACAAACCACTGCTGAAGGAAAGGAAAGGACACAAACAAATGGAAAAAAAATTCCATGCTCATGGATAGGAATAATCAGTATCATGAAAATGGCCATACTGCCCAAAGTAATTTATAGATTCAATGCTATTCCCATCAAGCTATCATTGACTTTCTTCACAGAATTAGAAAAAACTACTTTAAATTTCATATGGAACCAAAAAAGAGCCCATATAGCCAAGACAATCCTAAGTAAAAAGAACAAAGCTGGAGGCATCACACTACCTGACTTCAAACTATACTACAAGGCTATAGTAACGAAAACAGCATGGTACTGGTATGAAGACAGATATATAAACCAATGGAACAGAACAGAGACCTCAGAAATAACACCACTCACCTAAAATCATCTGATCTTTGACCAACCTGACAAAAAAGCAATGCGGAAAGGATTCTCTATTTAATAAATGGTGCTGGGAAAACTGGCTAGTCATATGCAGAAAACAGAAACTGGACCCCTTCCTTACAACTTATATAAAAATTAACTCAAGATGATTAAAGACTTAAATGTAAAACCTAAAACCACGGAAACCCTAGAAGAATACCCAGGCAATACCATTCAGGACATAGGCATGGGCAAGGACTTCATGACTAAAACACCAAGAGCAATTGCAACAAAAGCCAAAATTGACAAATGGGATCTAATTAAACTAAAGAGCTTCTGCACAGTAAAAGAAGCTAGCATCAGAGTGAATAGGCAACCTACAGAATGGGAGAAAATATTTGCAATCTATCCATCTGACAAGGTCTAATATCCAAAATCTACAAGGAACTTAAATTTACAAGAAAAAAACAACCCCATCAAAAAGTGGGTAAAGGATACGAACAGATACTTCTCAAAAGAAGACATTTATGTGGCCAAGAAACATATGGAAAAAAAAGCTAATCATTACTGGTCATCAGAGAAATGCAAATCAAAACCACAAGGAGATACCATCTCATGCCAGTTAGAATGGCGATCACTAAAAAATCAGGAAACAACAGATGCTGGAGAGGATGTGGAGAAATAGGAACGCTTTTACACTGTTGGTGGGAGTGTAAATTAGTTCAACCATTGTGGAAGACAGCGTGGTGATTCTAGAACTAGATTCTAGAACTAGAAATACCATTTGACCCAGCAATCCCATTACTGGGTATATACCCAAAGGATTATAAATCATTCTACTATAAAGACACATGCACACATATGTTTACTGCACCACTATTTACAATAGCAAAGACTTGGAACCAACCCAAATGCCCATCAATGATAGGCTGGATAAAGAAAATGTGGCACATATACACCATGGAATAATATGCAGCCATAAAAAAAGAATGAGTTCATGTCTTTTGTGGGGATGAAGCTGGAAACCATTCTCGGCAAACTAACACAGGAACAGAAAACCAAACACCATATGTTCTCACTCATAAGTGGAAGTTGAACAATGAGAATACACGGACACAGGGAGGGGAACATCACACACCGGGATCTGTGGGGAGATGGGGGCCAAGGGGAGGGAGAGCATTAGGACAAATACCTAATGCATGTAGGGCTTAAAACCTAGATGATGGGTTGATAGGTGCAGCAAACCACCATGGCACTGTATACGTATGTAACAAACCTGCACGTTCAGCACACGTATTCCAGAACTTAAAGTAAAACAAAAAATCTCTACACTTCAACTTTTGTCTCTCCGCTTTTTAAGTTTTTTTGTCTCTATATCTTATTGTACTGCCTATTGTACCGCAAAAGTTGTTGTAGTCATTATTTATCAGTTCTTCTTTTCATCCTTCTACTTAATATATGAGTAGTTTACACACCATAATTACAGTGTTATAATACTATTTGTATTTCTGTGTATGTATTACCAGTGAGTTTTGTACCTTCACATCATTTCTTGTTGCTTATTAACACCCTTTTCTTTCAGATTGAAGAATTCCCTTTAGCATTTCTTGTAAGACAGCTCTGGTGTTGATGACATCCTCAGCTTTTGTTTGTCTGGGAAGGTCTGTATTTCTCCTTCATGTTGGAAGGATATTTTCACCAGATATACTATTCTAGAGCAAAAGTTTTTTTCTTTTTTTTCCTTCAGCACCTTAAATATGTCCTGCCACTCTCTTCTGGCCCATAAAGTTTCCATTGAAAACTCTGCTGCCAGATATAATGGAGTTCAATTATAAGTCTTTTTTTTCTTGCTGCTTTTAGGATCCTTTCTTTATCCTTGACCTTTGGAACTTTGACTATTAAATACCTTGAGGTAGTCTTCTTTGGGTTAAATCTGCTTGGTATTCTAGAATCTTCTTGTATTTGAATATTGGTATCTTTCTCTAGGTTTGGGAAGTTCTATGTTAGTATCCCTTTGAATAAGCTTTCTACCCCTATCTCTTTCTCTACCTCCTCTTTAAGGTCAATAAATCTTAGATTTGCCCTTTTGAGGCTATTTTCTAGATCATGCTTCATTCGTTCTTATTCTGTCTCCTCTGTGTATTTACAAATATCCTGTCTTCAAGCTTACTAATTCTTTTTTGTTCTTGATCAATGCTGTTATCAAGAGATTCTGATACATTCTTCAATATGTCAGCTGCATTTTTCAACTCCAGAATTTCTGCTTGATTCTTATTTTAATCTCTTTATTAAATTTATCTGATAGAATTCTGAATTCCTTCGCTGTGTTATCTTGAATTTGAGTTTTCTCATAACAGCTATTTTAAATTCTCTCTCTGAAAGGTCACATATCTCTTTTCTTCAGGATTGGTCCCTGATGCTTTATTTAGTTTGTTTGGTCAGGTCATGTTTTCCTAGATGGTCTTGTTCATTGGTGTCTAGGCATTAAAGAGTTAGGTATTTATTGTAGCCTTTGCAGTCTGGGCTTGTTTGTACCCATCTTTCTTGGTAAAGCTTTCCAGGTATTCAAAGGGACTTGGGTGTTGTGATCTAAGCCGTATCTGCATTAGGCAGCATCCCAAGCCCAGTAACACTGTGGTTCTTGCAGACTCATAAAAATACTGCCTTGGGGCCAGGCGCAGTGGCTCACGCCTGTAATCCCAGCACTTTGGGAGGCCGAGGCGGGCAGATCACCTGAGGTCGGGAGTTCAAGACCAGCCTGACCAACATGGAGAAACCCTGTCTCTACTAAAACAAACAAACAAACAAACAAACAAAAATTAGCCAGGCATGATGGCACATGCCTATAATCCTAGCTACTCAGGAGACTGAGGCAGGAGAATCGCTTAAACCCGGGAGACAGAGGTTGCGGTGAGCTGAGATCACACCATTGCGCTCTAGCCTTGGCAACAAGAGTGAAACTCTGTTTCAAAAAATAAATATTAAAAAAAATACTGCCTTGGTGGTCTTAGATAAGATCCAGAAGAATTCTCTGCATTACGAGGCAGAGACTCTTGTTTTCTTCTCTTACTTTCTCCCAAAGAAATGGACTCTCTCTCTATGCTAAGCCACCTGAAGCTTGGGGAGGAGTGACACAAGCTTACCTGTGGCCACCACCACTGGGACTGTGCTGGTCAGACCTGAAGCCAACACATCACTGGGTTTCACCCAAGGCCCGCTGTAAGCACTACCTGGCTACCACCTATGTTCACTCAAAGCCCCAGGGCTCTACAATTAGCAAATGGTAAAGCCAGCCAGGCTTTTGTCCTTCACTTTAGGGTGGTGAGTTCCCCCAAGTCCAAGGTGGGTCCAGAGATGCCATCCAGGAGCAAGGGTCTGTAGTCAAAGACCTTAGAAACCTACCTGGTGTGGTATACTACAGAGGCTAAGCTGGCACTCAGTAGTAGCACAAGACAAAGTCATACCCAGAATTCCTTCTCCTTTCCATAGGCAAAGGAGCCTCTCCCTGTGGCCACCACCACTACAGGCCCATAGGCAGTACTGTCAGGCTACCATGGTTGTCCACTGAAGGCCTGAGGGCTCTTCAGTCAGCTTGTGGTGAAGGCTTCTAGGCTGTGGACTCACCTTTCAGGTCAGTGGGCTCCCTTCTGGCCTAGAGCAGGTCCAGAAATGCTGTCCAAGAGCCAAGGCCTGGAATCAGGGACCCCAAGAGCCCATTTGGTGCTCTACCCCACTGTGGTCAAGCTGGTACCTGAAGCCAGTATATTTCAGAATCTCATTCAAGGCCCACAGGATACTACCTGGCACTGCTGGTTGTTCAGGGTCCAAGGGCTCTTTAGTCAGCTGATGATGAATTCTGACAAGACTAGGTCCTTCCCTCCAAGGCAGTGGATTCCCTTCTGGCCCAGGGTGTGTCTGGAAATGTCCAAGAGCCAGGGCCTGAAATGTGTGCCCATTGACTCTGCCCAGTGTCCTCTCCTACTGTGGTTGAGCTGGTATCCAAGATGCAAGACAATGTTCTCTTTACTGCTCCATCTCCTCTCTTTAAGCAGAGGAAAAGAGTCACTTTTGTTTCTGTGAGCTGTGCTGCCTGGGGTTAGCCACCCTGGCTGGTGTCTCACTAGGTTGTGTGCCCCCCACATCCACTGGCTCTGAGCCCATCTCAGCAATAGGACTTGCCTAGGAATTGCAGTTATTGTGGCCTAGACTGCCTTACAAGTTTATTTAGAACCCCAGAGCACTTTAGCCCGTGGTGGCAAGGTTTTCTGGAACTCAGTTTCTGACCCCTGAGATATGTGATTCCCCTCTGGCTAGGGCTGGTTTAAATGCTCCCTCTGTGCTGGGTGTGGGCTGAATTTAGCCTGGTTCTGCTTTCTGTGGCAACAGGGAATCACTGAGCTCGATGGACAGTCCCAAAGCACTGCACTTTCCCTCCCCCAAGCTCTCAGATTCTCTCTCCATGCCACATAGCTGGGGGATGGGAGGCACAGTGCTGTCAGTGATTCAGTACTGTCTCTCTTGCCCTCTTCAGTGCCTCTTCCAGCAATATAAAGTTAAAAGCAGATACTGTGATTGCTTATCTGAATTTTGGTTCTTATGAAGGTGCTTTTTTGTGTAGATAGTTCTCAAATTTGGTGTTCCTGTTGGGGAGGACAATTGGAGGCTTCTATTTGGCCATCTTGCTCCACTCCCTCCCTATAAATTGTTACATTAATAAACAAGAAAGATCTCCAGTAAATAACCTAACTTTACCACTTAAGGAACTAGCAAAAGAACTAAACCCAAAGCTAGCAGAAGAAAGAAGATAATAAATACCACAGCAGAGACCAACAAAATAGAGAATAGAAAAACAATAGAGAAAAATCAATTAAATCAAAGTTGCTTCTCTGAAAAGATTTTAAGAATTGACAAACCTTTAGCTAGATGGACTAAGTAAAAAAGAGAGAAGACTACTGAAATCAGAAGTGAAAATAGGGACATGACTATCAATTCTACAGAAATAAAAAGGATTATAAGAGAGTATTGTGAACAATTGTGTATCAACAAATTGGATAACCTAGATGAAATGGACAAATTCTGAGAAACACGAAACCTACCAAAACTAAATCACAAAGAAATACAAAATCTTCATGGACCTATAACTAGTGAGGAGATTGAATCAGTAATCAAAAAACTCTCAACAAAGAAAAGCCTGGACCTGATGGCTTCCCCAATGAATCCTACCAAATATTTAAAGAATAAACTCCCATCCTTCTCAATCTTTCCCAAAAAATTAAAGAGGAGGGGAAAGGTTTCTAACTCATTCTATGAGGAGAGCATTACTCTGATACTAAAGCCAGACAAAGACTACAAGAAAACTACAGACCAATATCCCTTATGAAAACTGATGCAAAATTCTCAACAAAATAGCAAACTGAGTTCAGAAACATAGTTAAAGTATTACATATCATGACCATGTGAGATTTAGTCCTGGAATGCAAGGATGGTTCAACATACAAAAATAAATCCATGTAAAAGAGCATATTAACAGAATGAAGAAATAACACTCACATGATCACATGATCTCAATTGATACAAAAAGCATTTGACAAAATTCAACATCCTTATTAAAAACTCTCAACAAACTAGGAATAGAAGGAAACTACCTTAACATAATAAAAACCATATGTGAAAATCCACAGCTAACATCATAATGATGAGACTGAAATTTTTCCCTCTAAGGTCAGGAATAAGGCCAGGGTGACCACTTTCACCACTTCTATTCAACATTGTACTGAAAATTCTAGCCAGAGCAATTTGGCAAGAAAAAAATTAAAAGAAATAAAAGGCATCCAGAATGGAAAAAAAAGACGTAAAACTATTTCTATTCACAGATAACATAATCTCATATGTAGAAACCCCTAAAGATTCCACAAAAACTTATTAGAGCTAATAAATGAAGTCAGCAAAGTTACAGAATCTAAGGTAAACATGCAAAATCAGTTGCATTTCTATATGCTAACAATGAACAATCTAAAAATGAAATTAAGAAAACAATTTAATTTATAATAGCATCAAGTAGAATACTTAGGAATTAACTTAACCAAGGAGGTAAAAGACTTCTGCAGCAAAACCCACAAAACATTACTGAAAGAAACTTAAAAAGATGCAAATAAATGGAAACATATCCCATGTTCATGGATTAGAAGACAATGTTGAGATATCAATACTACCCAAAGTGATTTATAGATTCAGTGCAATCCCTCTCAAAATCCCAATGACACTTTTTGCAAAAATAGAAAAACCCATCCTAAAATTCATATGGAATCTCAAGGAACTTAAAATAGCCAAAAGCAATATTGAAAAAGAAAAGCCAAGCTGGAAGCCTAACACTTTCTGATTTCAAAACTTTACTATAAACTTACAGTAATCAAGACAGTGTGACACAGGCAAAAAGACAGACATATAAACCAATGGAACATGAGACAGCCCAGAAATAAACCGTGGCATAAATGGTTAAATGATTTTTGACTAGGGTTCCAAGACTATTCAATGAGAAAAGGACTGTCTTTTCAACAAATGGTGCTGGGAAAACTGGAAATCCACATGCAAGAGGGAAGCTGGACCCTTACTTCACACCATATACAAAAATTAACTCAAAATGGATCAAATATCTAAATGTGCAACGTAAAACTATAAAAATCTTAGAAGAAAACATAGGGCAAAAGCTTCATGACATTGGATTTGGCTATGATTTCTTGGATATAACATTGATAGAGTTCAGATATTTGTCCCCTCCAACTCTCATGTTGAAATGTGATCCCCAGCGTTGGAGGTGGGGCCTGGTGGGTGCTGTTTGGGTCATAGGGGCAGATTCCCCATGATTAGGTAATGAGTTCATGCAAGATCTGGTTGTTAAAAGGAGACTGGAACCTCCTTTCTCTTGCTCCCTGTCTCATCATATGAGACACCTACTCCCGCTTCACCTTCTGCCGTGATTGGAAGCTTCCTGAGGCTCTCGCCAGAAGCAGGTGCTGGCACCATGTTTCTTGTACAGCCTGCAGAACCATAAGCCAATTAAACCTCTTTTCTTTATAAATTACCAGCCTCAGGTATTCCTTTATAGCAATGCTAAATGGACTAACACAAAGACCAAAGGCACAGGCAACAAAACAAAAAGTAGACAACTTGGACTTCGTGAACATTAAAAATTTTTGTACAAAGACACTATCAACGGAGTAAAAAGGCACCCCACAGAATGAGAGAAAATATTTGCAAATCCTATATCTGATAAGGGATTAATATCCAGAATATATAGAGAAGTTCTAAAACTCAACAGCAAAAACAAACCTCTCAATTTAATGAAGTGGGCAAAAGAGCTGAGGAGATATTCTCCAAAGAAGATATACAAATGGCTAATAAGAGCATGAAAAGATACTCAACATCACTACTCATAAGAAAATGTAAATCAAAACTATAATGAGATACCACTGCACACCCACTAGAATGGCTACTATTAAAAAACCCCAGAAATTACAAGTGTTGGTGAGGATGTGGTAGCTACTGTGGAAAACGGCATAGTGGTTCCTCAAGAAATTAAAACTATAATTACCATATAATCCAGAAATTCCACTTCTGGGTATATACCCAAAAGAATTGAAAGCAGGGCGTTGAAAAGATATTTGTACACCCATATTCATAGTAGCATTATTCACAATAGCTAAAACATGGAGGCAACCCAAATGTTCATCAAAAGATGAATGGATAAGCAAAATGTGGTCTATCCATACAGTGGAATATTATTCAGCCTTGAAAAGGAAAAGGAAATTCTGACACATGCTACAGCATGAGTGAACTTTCAGGACATTATGCCCAAGTGAAATAAGCCAGTCACAAAAGACAAATAGAGTACTCAATGATCCCACTTTTATGAAGTTCCTGGATTAGTCAAATCCATAGGGACGAAAGGTAAATGGTAGGTGCCAGGGGCTGGGGAAGAGAGAATGGGGGAGTTGGTGTTTAATGGGGATGGAGTTTCAGTTTGGGAGGATGAGAAAATTCTAGAAATGGATGGTGGTGATGGTTGCATAACAAAATCAATGTACTTCATGCCACTGAACTGTGTGCTTAAAAATAGTTAAAATGGTAAATTTTGCATTAGTGTATCTTACCGCAATTAAAGATCTACAAGAGTATTGATAGTGTGCTTCCCTTTTTGTAAGAAAGAGGGGATACAGGAAAACACACGTGTATTTTCTCATCTGTGCGAGAGGCCTGCAAGAGAGACATGAAAGGCTGAAGAGCTGGTTTTGTCCAGGGTGGGGGGGTGGGGGATGGAGTGGGGAGGGAAGGGCTGGCAGGGTGGGCGCCTGGCTCTCCTCTGAGGACACTCTTTGTGCACCTCTGACTCCAGGAGTCACAGCAGCTTTACATTCCCTTCACACAGACCCCCAGATAAGTAACTAAAAACAATCAGAATCGGGGGACACCCAAAATGGAATACCAACCTAACAGATAAATCTAAACATGTCACAGATGAATGACATAATCACACTGAAGGGAGTACAGAAGTAAAGAAATACTCAAAGTCACCGTGGGGAAAAGCACTGATGGGACGCAGTGAGGCTGAAGACAAGACGCGCCGTGCACAGACGCCATGCACAGGCGCCAGGCTCTGGGTGGTCAGTCACTTCTCATGGGGGCACGCATCAGCAAGTATGGAGCCAGTTCCCTTGCAGCTGGGGTTGGACGAGCAGGTGAAGGTGAGAGAGCCAGGTTTCTCACTATTGAAGAAAGGTGTTACAACAAAGAGAGAGAATTGGCCCCACTGGGGCAGAACTGGAGTTGGAGACAGTATGAGCCCACTCATGTATGAATATATCTGCAGATGAACACAGAAGCGTAGACGTGGGGGTGCCATACACATATTCCCCAGCTCCGTCGGCCGAGTGGGCGCAGAGCAGCAGGTCCACAGTGGCGATGAGCACACCATGCACCCAGGCCTGGGTTTCTAAAGACCACTCTCCAATGGAAGGAACCCTGGCTCCTTGGAGAAGTGGGTGATTTCAAGACTGAGGCAAGGAAATACAAGCTGAGCCCAGAGCATCTTGGGGTGCCAGGAAGGCAGTGTCCAAGAAAAGACAGGGCCCACCAAAGGGGCATGGAAGCTGAATGGAAGGTTGTTTCTGGGGCAAAAGCCAGCACAATTTGAGCAATGAAAATAAATAATGAGGCTGGGTGCAGTGGCTCACACCTGTAATCCCTGCACTTTGGGAGGCCAAGGCGGGTGGATCACCTGAGGTTAGGAGTTCAAGACCAGCCTGGCCAACATGATGAAACCCCGTCTCCACTAAAAATACAAAATATTAGTTGGGCGTGGTGGTACGTGCCTGTAATCCCAGCTACTCAGGAGGCTGAGGCAGGAGAATCACTTGAACCCCGGAGGCAGAGGTT